>NC_000002.12:112035072-112338102 GCF_000001405.40 Homo sapiens
CTCTAACGATCTATCTTCAAGTTTGCTAATTCTTCTTCTCTCAGCTCACAGCTACTATTGAGGCCCTCTAGTGAGTTTTTCATTTCAGTTATTGTACTTTTTCAACTCCAGAAATTCCATTCAGTTATTTTAATCACTTCTATCTCTTAATTGATATTCTCTGTTTAATTTTAAATTCAAAAATATACAACGTGGTGTTCTTTAGTTTTCCAAACATATTTGCAAATAGATGCTTTTGCTTTTTTTCTTTTTTTTTTTTTTGAGATGGAGTTTCACCCTTGTCGCCCAGGCTGGAGTGCAGTGGTGCAATCTTGCCTCACCACAACCTCCACCTCCCAGGTTCAAGCGATTCTCCTGCCTCAGCCTCCCGAGTAGCTGGGATTACAGGCATGTGCCACCACACCTGGCTAATTTTGTATTTTTAGTGGGGCTGGGGTTTCTCCATGTCCGTCAGGCTGCTCTCGAACTCCCGACTCCAGGTGATCCACCTGCCTCAGCCTCCCAAAGTGCTGGGATTATAGGCATGAGCCACCGCACCCGGCCTACCAATAGATGCTTTTCTATAATGAAGTACAGTCATGTGTCACTTAACGATAGGTATACATTCTAAGAAATGCATTGTTAGGCGATTCCATCATTGTGAGAACATCATAGAGTGTACTTACACAAACCTAGATGGCATAGCCGACTACACACTTGGGCTATATGGTATAGCCTATTGCTCCTAGGCCTATTGCTCCTATAGAAACCTGTACAGCATGTGTACTCTACTGAATACTAAAGACAATTGTAACACAATGGCAAGTATTTATATACCTATACATAGAAAAATGACAGTAAAAATACTGTATTACAATCTTATCAGAACACAGTTGGATATGTGGTTTGACTTTGGCCAAAACCTTGCTATGCAGCACATACTGCATTTATCTGCTAAGTTCAATATCTAGGCCTCGCCAGAGACAGTTTCTATTGGCTTTTTTCCTCCATGAGATAACTTTCTTGTTTACTTGCATATTTTGTATGTTTTTATTGAAACTGGATATTTCAGATCATAGATTTCAGAAACTCTGGATTCTAAAGTACCCCTCTCCCAGAGGTGGTTATTATCACTGTGTGTTTGTTTAGCAATTTGCCTGAATTAATTCTATAGATGGTGTTTCTCCTGTAGTGTTTGAGCACTAATGTCTCTGCTCAGTTGCTTTTTAAAAATTATACTTTTTTAAATGTTGAAGCCTGACTTTCAACAAGGCACCCCTGGATCAACGTAGCTTAGTAATAAGCCGATTGATTGGTCAGAGGTTGTGCTTAAACATCTTGAGCCAGTATGATTTCTACATTTTGCTTTCTGTGGCTTGCAGAATACAGTGCAAGTTCAGGAAGTTTCTTGTTTATCCAGGAGTAAATAATTCAGTAAGTGTAAATGGATTAATCATTCCGGTAAAAAGACAAAGGTTGTCACGCTAGATAAAAAGAGATGTATATCCTGCAAAAAAATTAGCTGGGTGTGGTGGAGCATGCCTGTAATCCTAGCTACTCGGGAGGCAGAGGCAGGAGAATCCCTTCAACCAGGGAGCTGGAGGTTGCAGTGAGCCGAGATCGCGCCACAGCACTCTAGCCTGATGACAGAGTGAGACTCTGTCTCAAAAAAAAAAAAAAAAAAAAGAGATGTATATCCTGAATATATAAAGAACACTTGCAACTCAACAATGAAAGGACAAATAACTCAATTTAAAAATAGGCAAAGGATTCAAATATACATTTCTCCTAAGAAGGTTTATAAGTTGCCAATAAGCACATGAAAAGATGTTCAACATCATTAGTCATTAGGGAAATTCAAATTATAACCACAAGATACCACTTCACACCCACTAGGATGGATATAATCTAAAAGACAGGCAACAACAAGGGTTGGAAAGGAGGTAGAATAATTGGAACCCTCATTCATGGCTGAATTATAAACATTCAGTTCATAATTCAGCTGTGAATGAGGGTTCCAATTATTCTAAATTCTAAAATTCATACGTTGAAGCTCTGAATCCCAGCTGTATTTTTATTAGATGGGACCTCTAAATAAATAATTAATGTTAAATGAGGTCAAAAGGGTGGGGCTCCAATCTGATAGGATTAGTGTCCTTAATAGGAAGAAACACCAAAGAGCTCAATTGCATTCTTTCTGCATGCATGCACAAAGAATAGGTCATGAGAGCACACATTGAGAAGGTGGCCATCTGCAATCCAAGGAGAGAACCCTCACCAGACACCAACCTTGCTGGCACCTTGATCTTAGATTTTCAGTCTCCAGAACTGTATTTCTGTTGTTTACACCACCTAGTCTATGCTATTTTATTAAGGCAGCTGATGGGAATGTAAAATGGTACAGCTGCTTTGCAAAACAGTTTGGCGGTTCCTCAAAAAGTTAAACATAGAATTACCATATGACCCAGCAATTCCACTGTTAGTTACATAGCCAGAAGAATTGAAGCACGTCTTTAAATAAAAACTTGTACATAAATGTTCATAGCAGCACTATTCACAATAGCCAAAAGATAGAAAGGAACTAAATGTTCATCAATAGATGAATGGATAAAACAAAATGTGGTATATATGTACAATGGAATATTATTCAGCCTTAAAGAGGAAGGAAATTCTGACACATGCTACAACATGGATGAACCTTGAAGATAGTATGCTAAGTGAAAGAAGCCAGTCAGGAAAGAGTAAATATTGTATGATATTCAACTTATATGAGGTTCACAGAGTAATTAGATTTATAGAGACAGCAGAATGGTGACTGCCAGGGGCTGTGGGGAGGAAGGAATGGGGACTTAATGTTTACTGAGTATAGAGTTTTAGCTGGGGAAGATGAAAAAGTTCTGGAGATGGATAGTGGTAATCGTTGCACAACAATGTGAATTTCCTTAATGCTATAAAACCGTACACTTAAAAATGGCTAAGATGATAAATGTTATGTTGTGTATATTTTACCACAAATAAAAAAGAGTGAATTTTATGGTATGTGTGAATTATATCTTAATTAAATCATTGTAAAAAATAATGACTCACACCAAACAAATAGCATAAAGGGGAGAAGAACCCACATGATTATCTCAGTAGACACAGAAAAAATATCTGTAAAAATCAGCATTCATTCATAATAAAAACTCTCACAAAACTGAATTTATATGTTTTGACAGAGAGTTCATTTAATACTTGGAGCTGAAACAAACAAATAAAACTCAAAATAAACAACAAAACTAAAAACCAACCACCTCTCCCAATCTTTGCAAGTTAGCTCTATGCTGGGACGCACCTTCAGCACTTAGCAAGGCTCACCCTGAGCCTAGGGTCAGCCTTCAGTGAACACTTAGTATCTTCTCAAGTCTTTTCTAAGCATAGATTTTGCCTGGGTGTGTTTGTGGCTTTCTAAATTCCTTGGTATACATGGCTGCTTTTGCATGTCCTAAGTTCCCAAAAACATCTCACCCCAGATTCTCCTTTAGGCCTTTGATGGTCTATCGTACGTCTCTACCCAGAATCTCTTGCCTTAGGCATCCATGGGTCTGTAGTCACCTGGCAGTTTTTATGAGTGATACCCACCATTTTTCTTCCTGAGTTCCAAGTTAGGGAAGACAGAGAGAAGCACCTTGTGTTCACCCTTCAGATATCCCGTGGAGAAGTTAGAACAGGTGTACATAATAATTTGTAAATAAACTCTGCTCTGTCCCCTCTGCTTTGAGAGAGAGAGAACTGGGAATCCAGCTTCTGCAGTTTCAAGACTGAGACTGCCACTGCAGCAGTGGGTGGGGGTGGGGTCATGCTGGGCAAAGATAAAATCACTACAAAACTTTTCAACCACTTTGAAGATTTCATTTCATTTCTTTTCTTTTTTAAAATGAGATAGGGTCTCACTATGTTGACCAGGCTGATCTTGAACTCCTGGCCTCAAGTGATCCTCCCATATTGGCCTCCCAAAGTGCTAGGATTACAGGCGTGAGCCACCATGTCCAGCCAAGATGTCTTTTTCTTGACTGGGCATTTGCTTGGTTGCTGTTAACACTGGGTTGTTTTCCAGAGCACCAACAAAGTTTGTTCAGACAGTTCCTGCTTGTTTTTTCAATGTTCTGAAGTGAAGAACAATCCTTCGAGTTTTCTAGTCTGCCATTTTGTTGACATCACTGTCTCCTTTGCTTTAGAAAGATATTTCTGCTGGGTATAGTATTGTAGATTGAAAGAATTTTTTATGTCAACGTTTTTTTTTTTTTTTTTTTTTTGCAGGTGCAAGATTTAATAGAGTGAAAACAGAGCTCCCATAAAATGGAAGGAGACCCAAAGGGGGTTGCCGTTGCCGGCTCGAATGCCTGGGTTTCTATCCCAATCATTGTCCCTCCCCCTGTACTCTCAGGTGATAGATATTAGCTATTTCTTTACCTCCTGTTTTTGCCTAATTAGCATTTTAGTGAGCTCTCTTTACTACCTGATTGGTCGGGTGTGAGCTAAGTTGCAAGCCCTGTGTTTAAAGGTGGATACAGTCACCTTCCCAGCTAGGCTTAGGGATTCTTAGCCGGCCTAGGAAACGCAGCTAGTCCTGTCTCTCAGTCCCTCCTCTCAACAGGAAAACCCAAGTGCTGTTGGGGAGGCGGGCCAGCGACTGCTCTAACTGCTTCCTTCTGAACTAGGGCGCAGTAGGGGTCATGCAGTTGAGATTTCCTCGGGAGGGGTGCCTTTGATGTCATCAACATCGAAGCATGGGCTAGCAGGCTGGTCCAGGGGGCTGCGGTAGATCTTAGTCCTCGACTGCACCTGGGGCTCCATTTGAAGAACGATTTGTAGTTTTACAGCTTCGATTCTGGAAGAGACAAACTTAACAAGGAGGTTAAAAAGATACAGGGATTGAAATGTATGGCCTGCAGTGCAGGGGATTATTTCTTTGGCACACTTCACAGGCCCTGACTATCTGCTTGTTAGTTTTGAAAAGGCCTGGTCCAGTAAATAAAGATTCAGCCATCTGATGAGTGCTATCAATGCCTAAGTGAAAGGTTTGGTGAAGAGTTTTAAGTAATTTCCATTGGTTAGCTGCAGGCAAAAGTATTTTTCCTTCTTTGGTGGCTAACCATCCTGAGGGGAGGAAACTATGTCCTCATGAGGTTCCCCATTGTCAGGCCTCTGAGCCCAAGCTAAGCCATCGTATCTCCTGTGACCTGCACGTATACATCCAAATGGCCTGAAGCAAGTGAAGAATCACAGAAGTGAAAATGGCCTGTTCCTGCCTTAACTGATGACATTCCACCACAAAAGAAGTGAAAATGGCCTGTCTCTGCCTTAACTGATGACATTACCTTGTGAAATTCCTTCTCCTGGCTCATCCTGGCTCAAAAGCTCCCCCACTGAGCACCTTGTGACCCCCACCCCTGCCCGCCGGAGAACAACCCCCCTTTGACTGTAATTTTCCTTTACCTACCCAAATCTTATAAAACGGCCCCACCCCATCTCCCTTCGCTGACTCTCTTTTCGGATTCAGCCCGCCTGCACCCAGGTGAAATAAATAGCCTTGTTGCTCACACCAAGCCTGTTTGGTGGTCTCTTCCCACAGAGGTGGATGCGAGTGAAACCCATCTATTTCTCCTGCTGAGTAGTGGGGCTTGGTTTCCCAGAGGGGACTACCCCATACTAGGGATACTTCTATAAGCATTTCTAATGGAGGGTCCCGCCTTGTGGCTCTTTCGGCTTCAATATCCACTTGGCGGTTCCCTTCTATTTCCCTTTCCTTTCTTTTCTGATGACCCCGGCAGTGTAAGACTGCCACCTCTTTAGGTTTCTGTACAGCCAATAATAATCTCCTAATGGCTTCCTGATGTTTGATAGGTGTTCCTTCAGAAGTTAGGAATTCCCTTTCTCTCCATATTGCTGCGTGAGCATGGAGGACTAGGTAAGCATACTTAGAGTCTGTATATATATTTACCCATTTTCCTTCTCCTAATTCTAGTGTATAATGGCCCTTGCTTTTGCTAGGATGTCTCTCCCTAAGAAAGGAGTGGGGCTTTCAGGCATAATTAGAAAGGCATGTGAAAAGAGTAAAGGTCCCCAGTCACAGCTTGGCAGCTGGGAGAAGTACCTAGTGACTGCCTGTCCTAGGACCCCTCGGATAGCGACAGATCTGGAAGACAGTTGTCCAGGACAGAAGAGTAAGACTGAGAAGGCCGTGCCAGTGTCCAGGAGACAGTTAACCTCCTAGCTTTCAATGGTCAGGCATACCCGGGGCTCTGTGAGGGTGATGGCATGGGCTGGCACCTGCCCCAGGCCCCCTCAGTCCTGCTGCTGGATCATCTGGTTAGTGGCTTCTGATTCAGAGGACCTTCATCCCCTGGGGCAGTGGGCCTTCCAGTGATTCCCTTGACATAAGGGGCATGGATGAGGGGGTGGCTTATTTCTATTCAGACAATCTTTTTTAAAGTGTCCTCATCGACCGCACTGGAAGCAAGCCCTATTAGGCATTTCATTTGCCCAGCTGTTCCGTGTTCCAGAGCCTCCAAAGTCCGCTTGCCTGAGGGTCATGACTAAAGCAGTGGCCTTTTTCTTATCTCGTTTGTCCTGTTCTGCCTGCTCCTCCTGATCTCTATTATAAAAAACCAAGGTTGCCAAGTTCAATAGGGTTTCTAAGTTTTGCTCCAGGCCTAAAGCGGACTTTTGAAGTTTTTTTTTTTCTAATGTCTGCAGCTGACTGAGTGATAAACTTATCCTTTAAGATTAGTTGGCCTTCAATAGAGTCAGGTGACAGGGAGGTATGCTTCCTCGATGCCTCCCTTAGTCTCTCCAGAAAGGCAGTAGGATTTTCTTCCTTTCCCTGTGTTATAGTGGATATCATTGAATAATTTATAGGCTCCTTCCTAGTTTTCCTTAGTCCTTCTAGCACACAAGTTAGTAAATGTCTGCGGCACCAATCTCCATGTTCTGATTCTGCGTCCCAGTGAGGGTCTATGCTGGGAACTGCCTGCTGGTCTGTGGGGAATTGTTCTCTTTCCTCTATTGTCACCCTATCATTGACCTGACTGAGATACCAGAGATCTCCAAACTCTAGGGCTGCAGTTATGATGGCACTTCTGTCATTTGGGGTTAGTGTCTGATCTAGCAGTAACGTTATATCTCTCCATGTCAGATCAAAGGATTGTCCTAACCCTTGTTAAACATCAATATAGCCATCAGGGTTATCTGATAATTTACCTAGGTCTATTTTAATTTGCTTCGAGTCTGACAGGGAAAAAGGTACATACACTCTGACTGGGCCGAATTCTCCAGAATACATCTTAGGGGCGTTTTTGCCTTGTGGGGAACGTTTCCCATCTGAGAAAAAAAAAAACATAGGGATGTCAGCACCCCTAGTCATTTTCCAATGAGCATTAGTCCTAGAGCATCCTCTATGGTCCTAATGCTTATTCCTTTCCAGTGTGCGTAATCACCCATGGACTTCTGCTTATTGGAGTAGTTACGCTCACCAATGTAGCAGTCCTGCACCTGTTTTCCTGCCTTTCTTGACCACAAAGAAAGGGGTCCAGGCTGCTGGATTCTAGTGGTCCTTTACCAGCGTGCCCAACATTGCCTTTGTGCTCAGGGGTGAGTCCTAAAGCTGGGCTGGGTTCCTGAGTATTTCATAACAACCCAGCTGCCCCATTAAGATGCATTCCTATAAACAACAGTTCTTATGGAAATTCATTTCAGAGGGTGTAGGTAACCTTTTGAGTCAGGATTGAGATAGAATTTTTTTTTTTGATTCTGTAAGTACTTTAAGGCTTGGCTGAGTGCAAACAGCTCCCAGTTTGAGCAGATCAATTATTAGGCAATTTTCCTAACTCTGTTTCCACAAGAGTCTCCCTATCAATTACTGAATACCCATTGTGTTTTTTTTTTTCCCTCAATCACCTGGGAGGAACCATCTATTGTCCTGTCCTGAAGGGAGTTCCTTCTAGGTCTGGCTGGGCCTTTGTATGGTAATTGATATTTAAATCCCCTGTTAGGAAATCTGCTGGGTTAA
The DNA here is from genome assembly GCF_000001405.40 of Homo sapiens. Taxonomy (NCBI): domain Eukaryota; kingdom Metazoa; phylum Chordata; class Mammalia; order Primates; family Hominidae; genus Homo; species Homo sapiens. The sequence continues at coordinate 112,043,102 of NC_000002.12, forward strand.
GGGAATTTTCAGTGGTTAATGTTATGTTGTTTTTTTTTTAACCGACTATCCCTATACTTCAAGATTTTTGAGTTAGTAAGCTACCTTTTTGCTTTTTTGACTTAGAATAATTCTGAACTGGCGAGGTGTGCTCACAATGAGGTTTCCTCTAAAAGTTACTTTTCTACTTTCTTCTGTTAGCAAAGCAGTTGCTGCTACAGATTGAATGCATTTGGGTCATCCGCGGGTTCCTGGGTTAAGGATTTTTGACAGGAAGGTTACTGTTTGTCAGTGGTCTCAGTGTTTTCAGGCAATGCCCTTGTTTACACTGACAACAAGGTAGTATTGAAGTGTTATAGGGTCATGGAGAAGCTCTTCAATTATCAATTATAGGTTTTAAATTTACCCTGGCTTTTAAAGGAATAGGGCACACTGTTTTTTCTTTACTACTTCTATCTCTCTTTTCTCTCTCCCTCTCTTTTCTCTCTCTCTGTCTCTTCTCTCCTTGACTTACTCAAGTCGCTTTCATCCTGATCTGTTATGTTGTTGTAGACCCAGTTCCAGTTGTTAAAGTACTGGGTCATCAGTTCTAAGGCCCTGGCCAAGGAGCTAAGACTTGGAGATTGTATTGCAGAGGGGTAAGCTGGGTAGAAATTGGGGGAAGAGAGCATCTTACACAATGGGAGAGCAATCCTCATAGCCATTTACAAACTTGGGGCCCTGGCAAGGGTGGTGGGGAACGGGTCCCACATAACTGCCCATGTCGAGAGCTATATGCCTAAATTGGGAGGGACACCAGGGACAAGACTCCCTGGGTTCATAGCCTAGATGCCTAAGGACACAGTGTAGAGCTTCCTTAGATCCCTTTGGAGATACAACTTGCTCTAATACTTGGGAGAGGAAATGAAAGTCTGAACCATTAGTACCTAGGAGGCAGGGATTGGAGGAAGTAGATTCAGAGGTAAAGAGAATTTTGGGGCTACACTTTCAAGAAAGTTGTGGTTGGGACCCAGGATGTATGGGTCAGAAAGAAAGGTAGGGGTGCATGCATGGGCAACTGTTGAGTAGAGAGTTCTGGCTGCACCATGATCTCAACTGGCTAATGCTGGGAGTTCGGGACAACAGCTTTCTGCCTCTAGTTGGCCCTCGGCTTCCCCAGGAAAATTGAAAGCGGAAGCTGGTTCCAGGCAGAACAATGCTCCCAACCCAGAAGGGTTGGGTTGTTAGAAAGCCCTTTCCCAGACAGCCTCACACGTGAGTCTTAAGTCCAGCAGCCATGCTAATCATTTTTAACCAGCCGACAGGTGCCTGGTATTTTCCTCCAATTCTAAGGGAGGATAGTAAGCTAAAGTGGTCCAATATTACCGCTTTGGAGGTCCCTTCATGGTCGCTAAAATGTTACCGGGGGTGGCGGGGGCTCCTTGTTCTTAGAGCTCCCAAGATGGTGGTGGGCTGCTTCCAAGATGGTGGCAAGCCTCTTGTTCTCTGACCTGGGGTTCTTGGCCTCATGGATTCCAAGGATGGAATCTTGGGCTATGTGGTGAGTGTTATAGCTCTATTAGAAGCCGTGGGTCACGGAAGAGAGCCGTGGAACCCAACGACTAGTGTTCAGCTCGATTAGAATGAACCTGGGCACTTAGCCACGCAGGAACAATGGTGAGCCTTTAGCCCAATTGGGAGGGGCAACGGGCACCTCGCTGGATCAGGAGCGCAGCAGACAGCCTGCTGGATCCAGAGGGATGGAAGTCAGTGGCAGGTCTGCGATGGCGCCAAATAGCAGTGGTGGATGCCGAGTGAAAGCTCAGCTTGAGCCGTAACAAACACGGACCAGAAGAGTGTGCAGTTGCAAGATTTAATAGAGTGAAAAAAGAGCTCCCATAAAATGGGAGGGGACCCAAAGGGGGTTGCCCATGTCAATGCTTTAAAGATGTCCCCACGCTGTTTTTTTTTTTTTTTTGAAACAGAGTCTAACTCTATCACTCAGGCTAGAGTGCACTGGCACTATCGTGGCTCACTGCAACCTCTGCCTCCCGAGTTCAAGTGATTCTTGTACCTCAGCCTCCCAAGTAGCTGGGATTAGAGGCATGTGTCACCACACCTGGCTAATTTTTGTAGTTTTGGTAGAGACAGAGTTTTACTGTGTTGACCAGGCTGGTCTCAAACTCCTGGCCTCAAGTGATCCCTCTGCCTTGGCCTTCCAAAGTGCTGGGATTACAGGCATAAGCCATTGTGCCTGGCCCCCTACTGTCTTCTTTGCTTACATTGTTTCTAAAAAATTGATGTCATCCTTCTCTTTATTCTTTCCCTTGTATCAAACATGTCTTTTTTTCCCCTCTAACTGCTTTTAGGAGTTTCTCTTTTCACTGATTTGTGCAATTTGCTTATGATGTGCCTTGAAGCAGTTTTCTTCATGTTTCTTTTGTTTAGCTCTAATTGAACTTCTTGGATCTATGGGTTTATTGTTTCATTAAGTTTAGAAACATTTCAACCATTCTTCCTTCAAATATTTTTCTATTTTTTCCACTGTTTTTTGGAGCCAATTACACATATATTAGGCCATTTGAATACTCACTAATAGTCTGTTAATTTTTTAAGTTTTTTCTCCAAGATTTTGGTTATTTTCTATCCTTATGTCTTCAGTTTTACTAATCTTATTAGGCCATTTGAATACTCACTAATAGTCTGTTAATTTTTTAAGTTTTTTCTCCTAGATTTTGGTTATTTTCTATCCTTATGTCTTCAGTTTCACTAATCTTATCTTCTGCAGTAGCCAATTTGCTATATTAAGCCCATTCAGTGTATTTATTTCAGGCATTGCATTTTTCATCTTTAGAAATTTGGATTTCATGTTTTTTCTTTTAATATTTCTACTTAATTTTTGAACATATAGGATACAGTTATAATTTTTAATGACTTTTTTGTTCATTCTAACATATGTGTCAGTTCTGGCCAGTTTCAACTGATTATTTTTCTCCTCTTTATGTCTCACAGTATCCTGATTCTTTGCATGCCTAGTAATCTCCAACTGATGCCAGACATTACAATTTTACTAGTTGAGTGTTACAGATTTTTGTACTCCTATAAATATTCTTGGGCTTTGTTCTAGGGCATAATTAAGTTACGTGGAAACTGTTTGGTTCATTTGGGTTTTGCTTTAAAGATTTGTTTGTTGAGGCTCAATTCATCTGGGAGGAGGTGAAAAAATAAAAAGAGACTAAAGCCCTGTTTAGTCTAAAACTAATTACTCTGTACTATTGAGGCAAGACCTTTTTGAGTATTCTACCAATGCCCTGTGAATTAGGAAGTTTTCTAGGTTAGCTGGTGAGAACAGGCTATTTTCCCAGCCTGTTGTGATACTATTTCTTCTTCTTCTTTTTTTTTTTTTTTTTTTTTTTGCTGACTCTTTCCTCTACTTCATGTAGTTTCTTCACATACAGTGGCTGATAATTTCTCTGCTGAAGATTTAAAGGGGACCTTTTGCAGATCTCAAGAACTCTCTCTGTACCACTCTCACCTCTCCATATATATTGTCCTGCAAACCACTGCTGCTTTGCTCACACTGAACTCCCAGCTTTGTCTTCTCAACTCAGGGAATCTGCCCGGCTCTGCTAGAGTTATTCCTCCCCATGCTGTGGTCTGAACATTCTCTCAAGCCAGTAAGCTGAGGCAGTCATAGGACTCAACTTTCTTTTTTTTCCTTCACTCAGGGGTAACTGTCTTTCATTGCCTGATATCCGGTGTCTTAAGAACTGTTATTTCATCTATTTGGTCTGGTTTTGTGTTGTTGTTCTAGGCAGGAGGGTAAATTTGGTACCCATTATTACATCTAGCAGAAGTCTTGAATGTACTTGTTAACAAATGTTTTATTAGGGAAAACTTCAAGCTTATATAAGTGGGCAGAATAGTTTTGTCACTGCCTATGTCTTCATCTCTAGGCTTTAAAACATGATCAAATCAGGGCCAATCTTGTTTTATCTGTGCCCCCACTCACTTCTCTCCCTCTTGCTTTTTTTTTTTTTTTTTTTTTTGAGACAGAGTCTCACTCTGTCGCCCAGGTTGGAGTGCAATGGCACAATCTTGGCTCACTGCAACCTCCACCTCCCAGGTTCAAGCAATTCTCCTGCCTAAGCCTCCTGAGTAGCTGGGATTATAAGCACGTGCCATTACACCTGGCTAATTTTTGTATTTTTAGTAGAGACGGGGTTTCCCCATGTTGGCCAGGCTGGTCTTGAACTCCTGGCCTCAAGTGATCTGCCTGCCTTGGCCTCCCAAAGTGCTGGGATAACAGGCATGAGCCACTGCGCCCAGCCTCCCTCTTGCATTTTGAAGCAAATCCCAGACATCATGTAAGCTCATCTGTGAATATTTCAGGGTGAGTTTCTGTAGGGGTCCCTGCCAGTGCTCCACCTGTGTCTATCCTGCCTTTTCATTTCAGTGTGCCTGAGCTGACTTCTAGCTGTCATGATCTGCATCTCTTTGCTTGAAGGCTTTCCTTAAAGCTCAGAAAAGCCACTCTGCCCTGCGCATAGTGGGCTGGAACCGCCAGTGTGATTGGTGCTCTCCCCGGCGTAGCCCTCCACATCCCAGCTCCCTCACCCTTGTGTGAGATAATTCTATGGTGTTTGTCTCACACCTTTCCCTAAGTTTCTCTGTGGGATTGCGTTCCATTCGCCCACAGTGGTAGCTGACTTGATAATGTCCCCTTTATGTCTGCATTCCTTTCTCTGTCACATTTGCTCTTTCCCTGGATTTGTTTGCTAGTGCTGCCAAAACAAAGTACCAGAAGATAGGTTGATTTAGGCAGTAGAAATGTATTTTCTCACAGTTCTGGAGGCCAGAAGTCCTAGATCAAGGTGTCATTAGGGTTGGTTTCCTCTCTCCTGGGCTTGTAGATGGCTGTTTTCTCCCTGTATCTCCACATGGCCCTCCCCTCTGCATATTTCTGTGTCCTAATCTCCTCTTCTTGTAAGGATGCCAGTCTCATTGGATTAGGGCCTACCCTAATGACCTCATTTTACCGTAATAACCTCTTTAAAGGCCTTATCTCTGAATACACATTTTGAGGTACTGGAGGTTAGGACTCCAACATAAGAACTTGGGAGGTGGAGGGGACAGGGTTCAGCCCATAATACTCCCCTACTGGCATTTACTCTACCTCTCAAATCAGCTACTGCCACTCAAGCCCTTATTTCAGGATCTACTTCTAGGAAAATCCAAATGAAGGAAACCTCTAAAAGATAAGTCCTCTTTTGAAAAAAGTAACCACATTTCCCCAAAAGCACTCCTCATATCCACACTTAAGGACTTTCCCACCGTGCTGTTTACATGCATATCCCCTCCGGTGACGGCAAGGACTACCTTTTATGGATCTTCTTATGTAGGCAGTTCCTCAGATGTAGGAGATACCAAACGCTGCTTGATTTGCTTAACTAAATGCCATGAGTTCTAATCTTCCTTGGAAACTTGGTTATAGCCAAATAGAAAAAAATACTAACTAACAAATAAAATTGCTCCTTAATAATGCAGAAATCCCTGCTGCCTTCATTACTAGCTGTTTGTGCAATACCCAGCACTCAGTAAGGCACATAGTGTCTTCCAAATAAATTAAAGTTTTTATGTCTTAAATTAGGGCTACTCACTGTGATGTGGGATGTTGATAGTGGGGAGAGGTTGTGGGGGGACAGGGAGTATATGGGTACTGTCTGTACTTTTCTGCACAATTTTGCTGTGAACCTAAAACTGCTTGAAAAATAAAGTTTATTAATTTGAAAATAAATATATTAGAAATATAGTGTCACCAATTAAAGTTAGAAACGGAAAACAAGACTAGATTTAAAAGACCTTTAGGAAAGACCCAATTTTATATAAAATATCATCAATCTGCTAGTGTCACCTACTGGTGAAAAGTGGCTACTGCTGTGGAAACAATTCTATCCATTTCTTAGTGCTCTTGAATTTTGATGGTTATATAACAAGTGTTCTGTAGGAAGTATTAGTAAACAATAAAAATTCAACAAAATAGAAAAAGTATTAATATTTATATGATATATAAGATGTGGGTGGCAAGCCATCCAGGTACCGAGGCAAGAGACCGAGGGCACAAGCTGTTCCAGTGTAATAAAATATATAAAACAACAAGAGTTATACTAGATCTAGATCATAGACATGATTATATATGAATATCATTAATCATTAGTTTGTAGCAATTACTCTTTATTCCAATATTATAATAATCCTCGCTCTATAATCATAATCTAGGAAAAACCAGGCCATACAGAGATAGGAGCTGAGGGGACACAGTGAGGAGTGACCAGAAGACAAGAGTGCGAGCCTTCTGTTATGCCCAGACAGGGCCACCAGAGGGCTCCTTGGTCTAGCAGTGACACCAGCGTCTGGGAAGACGCCTGTTGCCAGGCGGACCGTGGTCTAGTGGTAGCGTAAGTGTCAAGGAAAAACACCCACTACTTAGCAGACCGGGAAAGGGAGTCTCCCTTTCTCCAGGGGAGTTTAGAGAAGACTCTACTCCTCCACCTCTTGTGGAGGGCCTGACATCAGTCAGGCCCGCCCGCAGTTATCCAGAGGCCTAACCGTCTCCCTGTGATGCCGTGCTTCAGTGGTCACGCTCCTAGTCCGCGTTCATGTTCCATCCTGTACACCTGGCTCTGCCTTTTAGATAACAGTAGCAAAATTAGTGAACATACTAAAAGTCTCTGATATGCAGAAATAACGGCATAAGCTGTCTCTCTCGCCCTCTCTCTCTCTGCCATGGCTGCCAGGCAGGCAAGGGCCCCCCGTCCAGTGGACACGTGACCCACGTGACCTTACCTATCATTGGAGATGACTCACACTCTTTACCCTGCCCCTTTTGCTTTATATCCAATAAATAACAGCGCAGCCAGACATTCGGGGCCACTACCAGTCTCCGCGACTTGGTGGTAGTGGTCCCCTGGGCCCAGCTGCCTTTTCTTTTATCTCTTTGTCTTGTGTCTTTATTTCTACACTCTCTCATCTCCACACACGGGGAGAGACCCACTGACCCTGTGGGGCTGGTCCCTACAATTTATGTGATATATAAGTTGCACATGAAGAGGAAATATCAGAAAAACAACCTTTATGTTTACATATCCATAAGCCTCAACTCAAAACTAAAATCAGTTTTGATTTAGGGAAGAAAAAGTTAAATGAAGGCAAATGGAAGTATGTGGAAAAGGTGCTTTATATGATACTCTCAAAATTTCTCATACAATCCAATATTTTAATTAAAAGCAATGAATCAAATGTACAGCTTTTTATGCAAAAATAGCATCTATTCATTTTTGGTGTTAGCCATACCCCAAAGTCTCTCATTAATAGCACTGAATTCAGGATCTCATGATACTTCGTGTTCTCAAATGCCTTTTCATTTCCCTGCACAGCAACCTCTGAACTGTGATTCAGTTTTATAACAGCTGCAATAAACTCCACTAGAGGAAGGACTGGTCTATTGATGGGGGCCTTTCAGTTCTAGCTTACAGTCAACTATTGCCAAATTTTTCCTTATTTGTTCTTTGGACAATTTTTGTTTGCTCCAGGATTTAATTTTTCAAATTAAAAATTATATGGTAGCTGTTTTGTTTGTTTGTTTGTTTGTTTTTCTAAATCCCATAAGACTCAAAAGAGAATGAGTAAAGCACTCTGGCAATCAGTTGACTATCAATCTATTTTTACCAAGTAATCATAAATTTTCCATCTGCTGTGGAGGACACCAAGTTGGATCCCTATATGGGATGTGAGAGGTGTGAGATACTCCCTTCCTTCTTCCTTCCTCCTCCTCCTTCTTAGAAAGGCATATAAATTTTATTAACATATATACAGGGAGAACCACAGAGTGATTACCCCCTTCTTTCTTAGTTTTGGAAATTTTTCTTTTGAAATGATTTCAGACTCAAAGAAAAGTTGCAAGAAGAATACAAAGAACTCCTGCATACTCTTCATTCAAATTGGTTTTATTAGATTATCTTGATAGATAGATAGAGATGGTATACATGTTATACATATATAAAGCTTATATATATAATATATAAAAAGTTTTTTGTAACCACCAAAGAATAAGTTCAGATGTGGTGCCCGCTTACCTTTAAATACTTCAGTGTGCTTTTCTCTAGAAAGAGGACCTTCTCTTAGTGTGATAACGGTGCCATTTTCACATTCAGGAAATTCACATTGACAATACCATTTTCTTAAAGTCCTTGTTCAAATTTCACCAATTGTCTAAAGAATTTTAATAGCAAAAACAATTTTTCTGGTGTAGGCTCCAGACTGCTAGGCCTATATGTCACATTTAGTTATCATGTCTCTTGGGTCTCCTTTAACCTCTAACTTCCTCAGCTGTTTCAAGAACCTGGCATATATATATATATATATATATATATATATATATATATATATATTTTTTTTTTTTTTTTTTTTTTGGTAAATTATACCAGCTAGTTACTTTGTAGAATGTCTTTCAATTTGGGTTGTCTGATGTTTCCTTGTGATTAGATTTAAGTATGTGAATTTTTTCCTCATTTCCTTGAATAGCTTGATTAGATGCATTTTTGCATTTTGGGCATGCATTTTTGGCAGGAATATCACAGAAGTCATGCTGTTTCTTTTCAGTTAATCAAATCATGATACATATCATGTCTGTTTGTCCCAATCCTTGTGGGATTAACCTTGATCATTAAGTTGGTGTCTGCCAGGTATCTCCACTGTATAATTACTGTTTTTCTCTTTGTAATTAATAAGTAATTTTTGGAAGATATTTCCTCATGAAGCTTTTGCCAACTAACTTTAGAATAGAATTGATGATTCTTTCTGAATCAATTTTAATTGTGATAGTTGCCAAATGGTGATATTTTAAATTTGTTATTCCTTCTGCATTTATTAGTTTTCCAACTGTAAGAAAGTGATTTTCTTTCCTATTTATGTAATCATTTATTTATTTATGTTAGTATAGACTCATGGATTCCTATTTGAGTCAATGAGTTACAATCCACTACTATCATTTTGGTGACCAAATTGTCCCAGATCTGGTAAGTGGAAGGGAGCTCCTTCAAACTGGCTCCTATGCCTTTTTGACGTGTCCTCATAATTTTTTACCCACTTCCTTACTTTCTGGCAAAACAAGATTCTCAAGTTCATCATGAATTTCTCTATTCCATTCCTGGGCTCAGCCACTTCTCCAAGGATCCCTGGTTTATTTTAGTGGAGAATGATATTTATAAAGCAAGATCTGGTGCTAGATGTACCTATTGCTACTGGGGTGTCGCTGCTTCTAGGTCCTCCTGGGAATCAGTGCAAGAAAATATAAACACACACACACACACACATATCTACATCTATTTATAAAACTAAATTTTAAAAATGAGTTCACACTGATATCATCAGTTGCAAGCCAGCATTATAGTTCATTCTAACCTTCCTCATTTTCCTTTTTTTTTTTTCCTTTTCTTGCTTTCTTTCTCTTTCTTTCTTTTTTTTGTTTGTGACAGGTTCTGACTCTGTCACACAGGCTGGAGTGCAGGGCTCACTGCAACTTTCGCCTCCCAGGCCCAAGTGATCCTCCCGCCTCAGCTTCTTTGAGTAGCCAGAACCACAGGCACGCCACCACACCTGGCTAATTTTTGTATTTCGTGTAGAGACAGGATTTCGCCATGTTGTCCAGGCTGGTCTCAAACTCCTGAGCTCAAACTATCCACCCGCCTTGACCTCCCAAAGTGCTGGGATTACAGGCGTGCCCAGCCACTGTAAACATCTTACGACCATGGGTGGTGACTGGCAAGAAATGTACCTTGCTAGTTTTAAGATGGAGTTATTTTTAAAATGGTGTCACCCTGGCTCTCCTATGCTCCTGTTTCCCAATTTGACAACCAACACGATCTTTCTGATCAGCTCATCCTTACTTAAAAACCATCATTGGGGCCGGGCGCGGTGGCTCACGCCTGTAATCCCAGCACTTTGGGAGGCCGAGGCAGGCGGATCATGAGGTCAAGAGATCGAGACCATCCTGGCTAACACGGTGAAACCCAGTCTCTACTAAAAAATATAAAAAAATTAGCCTGGCGTGGTGGCTGGCGCCTGTAATCCCAGCTACTCAGGAGGCTGAGGCAGGAGAATGGCGTGAACCAGGAAAGCGGAGCTTGCAGTGAGCCGAGTTCGCGCCAGTGCACTCCAGCCTGGGCGACAGAGCGCGACTCAGTCTCAAAAACAAAACAAAACAAAAAATCATTGCCTCTCCAGTGTTCTTAACTAAAGGTGCCATCTGCCTAACTTAATTTAGGAATGCCTGTATGTTTTGGTACTGTTTAAATATTCCCAGCTTTGCCACTCTCCGTCTCACACCAACATCCAGTCATCTGGAAGATCTTTCCATTCCTCCAGTTCTCTCGTAACTAAAACGATTTCAGACTTACCCCTCACTCCCACAGGTAACTCGCCCTTAACTCTTCTTGTAGAACTTAAATTTCATGTATTGTTCTCTCCTTCTGTCCCTCACTTACTTCCTAAATCTCTGGTGGATGTTCCCCTGTGGTCCTGTTACAGTTATTCTGACCTAAACAGAACTGATCACGTTGCTTACTGGGAAGATGCACATGCAATCTCTAGTGTATAGTAGGTCCTCAATAATTACTGGTGACTGGTAAAGCAGCCAAGGCCTTTGGACTATAAATCGATCTTATTCTACGTTAATAACAATATTAGCACAGGATTCTATTCCCTTGCTGGATATTATTTACATTTGATAATGAATGAACTAATTCTCTTTGACAGCAAAACATGTATTCAGCTTACAGCCGAAAATGCAAGGGAAGGTACACAATAAGACGGATCCAAGCCCTGACCCCTCTGAGCTTTAAGCCAGTCAAGTAACTACTTGTTCTGAAAAGTATTAACTGTCCTATTAACGTTAACCTTCACAACACAATGCCTTGTGTTCAACTGGCCTTGGCCTCAAAGCACTTTCCTGGCACATTCCCTGAATTTAAAGAACGGTTTCCATACAGCTGAGAGGGTCGAGGCAGGGGTAAGTGTAGAAGACGCAAGAAATGGAGACACCCTGGGAACAGAACTCTAGACTGCACTCCAACCGTAGCACTTACTAGGCATTCGACTCCAGGACCTTGACACTCGCGCTCGCTGGCGGCGAGCCCCGCCTCCCCACTGCGCCTCATCTCCCAGACAGGCCCCGCCTCCCCACTCAGGCCCCGCCTCCCCACTCAGGCCCGTCTCCTCACTCAGGCCACGCCTCCCCGCCCAGTCCCGTCTCCGTACTAGGGCTTGCTCCAAGCCCTGCTTCCTCGCCCAACCTGGCCTCCCCACTACGGCCTAACCCCAAGCCCTTCTCGTCCAGCCCCGTCTCCACACTACTGCCTGGTCCTCAACTCCGCCTCCCCACTCCGACCCCATCTCCCTGACCAGCCCCGCCTTTACGCTCAGGCTCCGCCTCCCCGCCGGGTCTTGCCTCCAAATCCCGGCCCCGCCTCCACGCGGCCCCGCCTCCACGCGGCCCCGCCTCCACGCTCGGCCTGGCCCCAAGCTCTTCCTTCCTGGGGCACTCTGTCTCCGCACTCCGGCCTGGTCCCGAGCCCCGCCCCGCCTCCACACGGCCCCGCCACCACACGGCCCCGCCTCCACGCGGCCCCGCCTCCACGCTCGGCCTGGCCCCAAGCTCTTCCTTCCTGGGGCACTCTGTCTCCGCACTCCGGCCTGGTCCCGAGCCCCGCCCCGCCTCCACACGGCCCCGCCTCCACACGGCCCCGCCTCCACACGGCCCCGCCTCCACACGGCCCCGCCTCCACACGGCCCCGCCTCCACACGGCCCCGCCTCCACACGGCCCCGCCTCCACACGGCCCCGCCTCCACACGGCCCCGCCTCCACACGGCCCCGCCTCCACGCTCGGCCTGGCCCCAAGCTCTTCCTTCCTGGGGCACCCTGCCTCCGCACTCCGCCCTGGTCCCGAGCCCCGCCCCGCCTCCACAGTCCCGAGCCCGCCTCCAACCCTGCCCTGTCCCCACACCCAGCTTGGCCCCGAGCCACGCCTCCCACCCCGCCCCCACACTCCCGAGCCCCGCCTCGTCTCCACACTCCGGCGGCGCCTCCCTACCCGGCCCCGCCTCCGCGCTCGGGCTGCCAGCCCTCCCTTGCACGTTCCGGCTCCTCTTCTATCTTCACGCCCACGCTAGGCCCTGAGCCCAGCCTCCACGTCTCGCCGCCAACTCCACATCCTGGCTCCTATCTCTGCCTTCCAGGCATCTCCCAGCTGCACGCTCGGGCCCGGCTCAGAGCCCTAAGCCCTGCCTCCCGGTCCTGGCCGGGTTTCCCAGAACTGCACGGCGCCTCTCCGCCCAGGCCCAAGCGCGAGCCCCTCCTCCACACCCGAGTCCGAGCCCCGCGTCCCGGATTCGGACCCGCCTGCCTGGGGCGGTGCTGCACCAGGTGCGGGTGTGGCAGGCGTCTCGGAGCGCCAGGTGCAGCTTCCTGGTCAAGATGGTCGCCGCCTGCCGCTCGGTAGCCGGGCTCCTGCCACGCCGCCGCCGCTGCTTTCCCGCCCGGGCCCCGCTGCTGCGCGTCGCCCTCTGCCTCCTGTGCTGGACCCCGGCGGCTGTGCGCGCGGTCCCTGAGCTCGGGCTCTGGTTAGAGACAGTCAACGACGTAAGTGGAGTGTCGGGACCCAGGCGTGGCACGTCTCGGGCCGTCAGGGCCGTCGTGCGGCTTCGCTTGACCCCGGGCTTGTTCACCCTGCCTCTGCCGGGTCAGCACCGGGTCCCCTGATACCCTCCCTGAGCCTTTTGTCTGTTACAGCCGGGGAGCGGGGAGCGGCCCCTCCTCCGGCCCGACCTGGGCTGCAGGCAAGAGCCGTCAGGATTGCGCATGGGACGGCCCTCGGGTCCGAGCGCTCGGACTGTTACTGAGGGTCACCATGCCCGACGCCGTGGCCCTCATTCTGCTCTGACATGTTTTGGCTGGATCAGGAATCTCTCGGCACATCTAGCAGCATCTTTGGGATTCGACTCTTCCTGTCCGGATGCAGCCACAGTGGGCCACACCCCTGAGGCCGCAGGGAGGACTTGCCAGCGCTTCAGTTTCTGCATAAACTTAGAAAGCGGGTCTGCCGCTTCCTTAAAAAAAAAAAAGAAAGAAAAAATTTAAATGAGGGGGAAACGTGCAGTAGTCACCCTACCTCTATTTCTCTCTTCTTGAGTTCCTGAATTTCTCTACAGTTCCTGTCACAGTTCCGGGAGAGAGAGTGTGTGTGTAGGTGGGGCGGGACTTGTGATTAGGGAGTGCTTGAAAGGCGAATCTGGAGGCATGAGTGGGTGGAAACTCTTCTTTCCAAGGCAGGCTATTAGAAAACTTGGCGTCTGGTAATTAGAGGAGATGATGTGGGAGAGATGCAGGGGCAGAATTATGGAAAGTCTTGCAAAAGAGAGACAGGAAGTCTGGAAGAGGCATTATCTCCGGCTTCTCTGGGGTCAGATGACTCATCCAGCACTGTTTGGGATGGGTATTTTCCACATGCATGAAATAATGTCCAGGTTCTAAAGATGAGACTTATATTTTGATTTCCTTAACCAGAAAAAGAAAGTAGTTCCAAAGACTACAAATACTTCCCACAACACAAAAGCTACTCAGAGGAACACGCTGGGTATCTTTCTGGATCTTTTAAGACCTAGTGCAGCCATTTCCTCCAGGATTGGATTCTTCTGGGTTGGTGACCTAATTTGTGTGCCAGTTATAGTCTGCACATCTCCATTATTTAATTTCCTGAACGGGAAAAAGTAGAACTCAGTGAACTACTCTCATGGCTTCCTGCTGCTACGATAGTGAATAGTCAATATAACTATATTGGAAGTGAATCAGTTGCATGCATATTGTTGGATTACTTGAACATATCTGTATAGATCTTTGCTAAGTGTACTGTGAACATACCTGCAAAGATCTTTGCCAAGTGTACTTCTTCCTGCATGAGGAAGAGAAGTTTGCTCCTTGAGTGCTGCATGACCTTTAGGCTAATTTTACTCCTGTGTGACCCTGGGCCGCCAGAAGTCTAAAAGCCCTTCTCTCCCAAGAGTGGACTTATATTTTCCACATTTCAGGTTGTCAGAAACAGGAAAGGAGAGTGGGGCTTTCTTTCATTTGTACTGCAAATCTATCAGGAAATTTTGTTTCTTTGTTTTTGTTTGTTTGAGACAGAGTCTTGTTCTGTTACCTAGGCTGGAGTGCAGTGGCACAGTCATATGGCTCACTGCAGCCTCAAACTCCTGGGCTCAAGCAATCCTCTAGTCTCAGTCTCCTGCGTAGCGAAGACTATAGGTACATGCCACACACCAGTTAATTTTTAAATTTTTTTGTAGAGATAGGGGTCTCACTATATTGTCAAGGCTGGTCTTTAACTGCTGGCCTCAAGCCATCCTCCTGCCTCAGCCTCCCAAAGTATTGGGATTACAGGCATGAGCCACTACACCTGGCCAAGAAATGGTTCTTTTGAGTGTACAAGGGAGCAAATGGTTGAAGCACCACTGTGTGTCATATGTTAGACTGGTCATTGCTGTTGCAAAGATGAATTTTAGCCACAGCCCCTTCTCCCAAGACGTTCACACAATAATACGGATAACAGATTTATGAGTAGATAGTCATATACACTGTGATATACTTGGGATATTACTGGAGCACCAAGGGGGTCACCTAACCCTGCTTCCTGGAGGAGAGACCTGCCTCAGTCTTTTTTTTTTTTTTTTTGAGACGAAGTTTCGCTTTTGCTGCCCAGGCTGGAGTGCAGTGGCACAATCTTGGCTCACTGCAACTTCCACCTCCCGGGTTCAGGGGATTCTCCTGCCTCAGCCTCCTGAGTAGCTGGGATTACAGGTGTGTGCCACCACGCCTGGCTAATTTTTTATTTTTAGTACAGGCAGGGTTTTTCCATGTTGATCAGGCTGGTCTCGAACTCCTGACCTCAGGTGATCCTCCCGCCTCAGCCTCCCAAAGTTCTGGGATTACGGGCGTGAGCCACCGCACTCGGCCTCAGTCTTAAAAGATGGATAAGTACTACCTTGATGAAGAAGAGGAGGGGAACAGAGCAGCAGCAGTGCAGGAAATTATTGGTGTTCCTGCTACATCAAGTTCTGGCAGGGTTGTTAGAGGGGACTCAGGTCACCACAAGCTTTCCATGCCTGAGCTTGGCCTTGAGCCTGAGGCCAGAGGCCTCAAACTCAAGGACCTGTGTTGGCCAAGGCAAGTCATATCATTAAGCACAGTGAGCTAAGTTCAGGACTGGAGGGGGTAGTGAGGAATGTTGTGGACTACAGATTGCATGCCCATTCTGAAGAGGGCAGCTGCCATTTGGCTTCAGCTTACTCTGCATACATTCTAGCAGAGTGGGCACAGAATTGCCACAGCTCGTTTTTTTAAGTGAGACTGGAATCCATCTTTTTATTATGTCAACTAAAGTTTTAAAAAGGCCTCTTGTGGGCCCAGTATATCCCATTTTTAGGTTGGATTAGACCTCCAGACTCCCAGTAGCTACTTTAGGATGTGAATGAGGGAGCCATTGAAAGATCTTAGACATAATGCTAATCACTATGGCTGCTGTCTAAAGATGAATTATAGGATCAGATCTGGAGGTAGAAGTACCAGTTAAGCTATTGCAGAAATTAGGCAGGAAATGCAGAGGGCCTAAATTAGGGCAGTGGTGACAGAGATGGAGAGGAAGAACTAAATTTGATAAATGTTTGTGAGATAAAGTAGGCATGCCTTGGGGATTGGGTGATGGAAGTGGGGAACTGGAAGGAGCCATGGCTTGGGTGACTGTAGATGGTACCACCTCCAGCCAAGGTGGACAATGTAGGAAAAGTTGGTGAGCAGAGAGGAGTGTGTCTGGTTTAAAACAGGTTTGTCTGTTGGACATCTGTCAGTGGACATGTCCTTTAGGCAGTTGGGTATTTGGATCTGGAGCTCAAAGGAAGGATCCAAGTTGGGAATTTTATTGTTGTTGTTGAAACTCTGTTGGGGAAGGGAAGAGGTTACCACTTGTCCTATCAGTGTTTTTTGTTTTGTTTTGTTTTGTTTTTAATGCCTAATCATTTGTACATTTAACACAGTCTCTAACTGCAGGATTTTTATTCCTGAGAAGACATTAAACAACTAATCAATTATTTGATTTAAATTGTGGAAAGGTTGTGAAGAAGAAAGGGTGCTAGGGATTATATAAGGGAGGGCCTGGCCGGATATGGGCCACAGTGGAAGAATTCCTGCAGAACGGGCTTTTGAGCTGGGCTTTGAAGGGTGAGAAGGAGCCAACTAGATGAACAAAGGGTGAAAGGAAGGATTTTAAAGTAAATTTTTCAGGTTGACCACTAATCCTGAGGGCAGGAAAGAATATCATGCTTTTCTGGAACTGGAAAGTTGAGAGGTGGGCAGGACTTGATTATTCACGTCCTATAGGCTACAGTAAGAATTTCGGTCTGTTGTAATTGCATTGGTAAACCATAACGACTTGGAGCTGGGAGAGGGGGACAGTTCCTTATCAAAAGTACATTCAAATTGACGCCAGGAGAGCAACATGCAAATGCAGTCAGTTCATGTCACGTCTGAGCAGCACTAATCCTGCAATGGCAGCATCTTTTACCTCTTATGTGTCACTGGCCCTAACTGAGTCTGCTAGAGGCCAGAGCCCTCCTGATCCTCAGGGTAACTGCAGGAAGTAGAACCATGACAAGGTTTTAAGCAAGTTAGTGATGTGATCAGATTTACGTTAAAAAAATACTCTTGTCAGAGAGAGGAGTGCAAGGCTTAGAACTCTATATGTTGTGGGGTAAAACAGTTGCAAAAAAAACTTTCTAACAAGATCTTCCTGTGTTTGTTTTTCATTTTAGAAATCAGGACCTTTGATATTTAGGAAAACTATGTTTAACTCTACAGATATCAAGTTATCTGGTAAGTATAATAAAACAATAAAATACTAGACTGGGCGCAATGGCTCACGCCTGTAATCCCGGCACTTTGGGAGGCCGAGGCAGGTGGATCACAAGGTCGGGAGTTCAGGACGAGCCTGGCCAACATAGTGAAACCCCGTCTCTACTAAAAATACAAAAAAAGTTAGCTGGGCATGGTGGTGGGCACCTGTAGTCCCAGCTACTTGGGAGGCTGAGGCAGGAGAATCACTTGAACCCGGGAGGCAGAGCTTGCAGTGAGCCGAGATCGCGCCACTGCACTCCAGCCTGGGCGACACAGTGAGACTCTGTCTCAAAAACAAACAAACAAGAATAATGAAATACTAATATATATATAAACAACATAATATAAACAAATACATTCATGTAAATGAATATAACATATATAATAAACTAAGCAAATGTTTTGTTTTTAAGTAGTTCTAACATTTTAAGGTTTTGTTTTGTTTCAGTCAGCACTTGGTTATTTACAAGAATGGATTTTTCTTTTTTTTTTTCTTGAGACAGAGTCTTTCTCTGTCACCCAGGCTGGAGTGCAGTGGCAAGATCTCGGATGACTGCAACCTCCGCCTCTCAGGTTCAAGTGATTCTCCTGCCTCAGCCTCCCTAGTAGCTGAGATTACAGGCGAACGCCACCACGCCCAGCTAATTTTTGTATTTTTAGTAAAGATGGGGTTTCACCATGTTGGCCAGGCTGGCCTCCAACTCTTGACCCCAGGTGATCCACCCACCTCAGCCTCCCAAAGTGCTGGGATTACAGGCATGAGCCACTGTGCATGGCCCACAAGAATGGATTTTTCTGATCTTCTTTCAGAAAATGTAATGTGAATCATTTTATGAAAATTATAATTAAAGTCTAATAGACGAACAAAAAAAATTTGTTTTTTGTGAAATTTAACTTTGAGTCTCAGATTTTTAAAACTAGATAAATTGCTTTTACGAATATATGAAATGTCATGATTGTGATAAACCCTTTATGGCCTTGAAAATTTTCAAAACGTACATATCCTCGTAAGAAGTAAAAATTGCTGGACAACATTTTAATTAGAGTTTTAAGGTTGATAAAAGTTAAAATATTCATTAGGTAGGGCCTGTCTTTTCTGTGTCAATACTGAGATACCAGAACTACCAAGGTTTTTTAAGAATTTCACTGGATTTTCATTGGATCGTATTCATTGTGGCCCAATTCCTCTTATTGTTTCCAGTAACCTAACTAGGAAAATTGGTTGCCAGAGTTAAAGTCTCAGGATAAGGAGCAGTTTTTTGCTGGGTAGAGCAAACTGGCTTCTACAGGATCCAAAGTCATGCCTCTTTCCTTTCACACAACAGATCATGCTCTGCTCATTTGTTGGGGGCAATTCTTCCTTTTATGGGTCTTTCCTGAGGGAAGTCAGGCTAGCCAGCAGCTAGAAAGCAGAGGTGGTTTCAAGCAGCTCTGTAATATCAATCATCAGTTGTGATAAGAGCTTGGTAAGAGGAAATTGAAGTCCAAGGTGAGAGAGAAAAAAATTTTGGCATCTGTTTATTTAATGAATTCATGTCTCAAAGTCTAGACAAAGGATTTAAAAGAATCTCAGTCTGGTGCTGACAAAAAGTTATATGGAAAAAAAAGTAACGTCAGCCACTGAAACAGAATTTGATTTTTAAAAATCATTACAAATGCCTGAGATCAACATATGAGTAGACTACAATCAAGACGTTGTTATTAACTTATCTAAAGAAAGAATGGGACAGCATGAGGGATTTAAGAGCAAAAGCATAATAAAACTAGGGTTTAGTCAGGCAAATGCTGGTCATGTCCAACAGCATTGTTGGGGGAGAGGTTTTCTTGAACCATGACCACAGCTATGACATGGGGCTGGCAGTTGTGGATATAGCATCCACCTGAGCCTCCTTGGTCTGGTGCCATGCTCACCAAACCACCTTCTCATCCGTATTGGGCCTCCAGGGAGGCATGCTGAAGGGAAAGAGTTGATCATTACTAGTCCAGTTTACGGTTTCTGTTCATTGTAAGTGAGTAATTGAGTATTCTAATTTATACATCTACATGGTAATCATGAAAGTGAGTAATTGAGCATTCTAATGTACACATCTACCATTGGGAAAGGGTGAGATGAGAATCTGTGTTTTCACAGAGCCAGATTTTAGTGCTTGTTAAGCTAAGGACTGGTCCCTTGGATATATGTCGATGCTGTTTGGGAGATCAGATATCTGGCTTTTTTAAGGCAACCTCTCTTCTGCTGTCTCATTCAAGTCATGTGGAGCCTGTGCTAAAAAATATCTCAATGTAATTCACCATATTAACAGAATATAAGAAATGAACCATATGATCATCTCAAAGTATACAGAAAGAGCATTTGAAAAAAATTCAACACCCATTCATGATAGAAACTCAAAGAAAGTTAGAAATAGAAGGAAACTTCCTCAACCTGATAAAAGGCATCTATGAAAAATCTGTAGCAAACATCATACTGTCAGTTCTTCCCAGATTGATCTATAAGTTCAGTTTAATCCCAGCCAAAATCCAAGCAGGCTTTTTGTTTGTTTGGTCGGTGCATATTGTGAATTTCACATTTTTGAGTGCTGGAGGACGTTGTAGTCCTTTAACAACTTTGTTCTAGCAGACATTTAAGTTCCTTGTGGGTCAGTTTGATGCTTTCCAGTTTTCTTGTTAAGTTCTTTTAGGATGGTTCTGCAGTAGCCTTTTGTCTAGGGCAAACTTAACAGTGCTTCTGTGGTGTGGTCTTTCTGCTTGTCTTCCAAATACCTGGTATATTTACTGAGGCCTTTCCACTCTGGCTAGTGGAAACTCAAACAGTTCCCAACTCTGTGTGAGCTCTGAGAATTGTTGGGCTTGTTCCTATGCATGGGCAGGCTGCCCTTCAGCCAGAAACTCCAGGGGATCACTATGCAGATTTCTCTTTCTCTTTATGTAGCTTCCATCTCTTGGGTACTGTCCCCCAGAAAATCTACCAGCCTCAGTTTGTTGAACTTGAATCTCTGGTCTCAGTTTGGTTTCGCTCTTTGTCATTATCAGCCTTTGAGATGTCTCCCAGTGATCCTTGCTTCCTGTTATTCATGATCTTGTGTGGTCCTCTAACACATTTTATCAGAGTTGGTCTGAGTGACTGATAGAGCATGGTGGAAATAATGGCACATCCCTTCTGAGGCTAAGTTATAAAAGATACTGTGGCTGCATCTTTGCTCTCTCTAATCACTCACTCTGGGGTAAGCCAGCTGCCATGTCGTGAGGACGTTCCCAACAGAGCTCTCCTTAACTCCAGACTTAATGCTTTTCAGTCTGCCTATTTGTGTCACTCTCTTACCTGGATCATTCAAAAGAAAGGCCAAACTCCTCAGCAGGGTCTAAGACCTCATGAATTTTCCCCAGCACTCTTCTCCAGCTTCAACTCTTTCTCCTTTCCCCAGCCTGTGTTCTAAGCATAGCAGACTATTTTCAGGGGTCATACTCATGCTGTGCTTTCACTCACCCTGGGCATTTACATGTTTGGTCCACCCTTCTCTTCACCAGGCTAACTTCTGCTCTTCCTTCAAGTTACAGGTCTCCTCCTCCAGCAAGCTTACCCAGAACCCATTCTTCATGCTCTCCTGGGCTATGATAGGTGACCTGCTCAGTGCTCCCTTGACTATTCTCAGCCTCTGGGACTACTGAGAGTGCCTGTTTAGTTGTTAAAACTCACTCCTCCAGTACCTCTTAAGTCATAGACAGGCATTGTTCTTGTTTACCATCATAGCTCACAGGATGGCACACAGGATGGGGCTCACTCAGTATATTTTGAATGAATATGTGAGTGAGAAAAATGTTTGAGAGTGAAATAAGCAGTGACTTAGCATATCAGGCCACTCAGTTTATTTAATTTTAGACTTATACGTGAAATGAGCAGTATTACAGCAGCTTTTGGTTAACTGTAACAATTTAATGAATTTATCTGTCTCACTTTACAGTGACTTTTTGGAGAAATTAGCTAATGTTTTACTCATTGTTACATTAAAGTAGCCTATTTTTAATTGCATTCTCAAAACCTTAAGTTTATATTAGAGTGTATGTATTATTCATGTAAAACAAGACTTTCTTTTTCTAAACAGTTAAGTCATTCCATTGTTCTGGGCCTGTGAAGTTTACCATAGTGTGGCATTTGAAGTATCATACCTGTCACAATGAGCATTCTAATCTGGAAGTAAGTAAAACACAAGTTTTTAATGTATATAAAGCTATGAAGGAAAATTATGGGTATAAAGATTAGCTCATCAAGCGAGGAGGCTAGAAATAGAGATTACAGTTTTAGAAGTGCTACAGATTAATTTTGGGACTTATGGCAATAAACCAAGTTACATGCTGAGAATACTACGAGCTTTTAGTTGCCTTGTATGATATGAAAAATGTTAGTAAATGTTTAAATTCAGGCACGTAGGAGTCATTGATAAAGACGCATACATACAAATAAATGCTTAATTTGCAAAAGAAGTTTAAATATTTCACTTTTTAAAAAAATTATAGGGAAACTAGAACTGTATTGAGTACAAGTAGATTTAGTGAGCACAAGTAGATCGCAGAAAGAGGTGAGGAGAAGAAAGGAGGTATCTGGGGAAAGGCAGAGGATTCTGAGAGAGAAGGAGAAAGTGGCTGTGCTGAGCAAGGCTTTTCCTGCACCTGGCTGTGAAGCCTGGGTTTCTTCCTCCTGGGATGTGCACTGGGCTCTCAGCAAGGTGTTTCTCTTGATGATTCTCGTGATAGTTGCTTGGGATTGTTTCCTTTTCAGATTCTCTGTTACCTGTTTGGCTTCTACCTTGAATAATATATGGGTTTCCATATCTTTTTAAATTATATATGTATATATGTATATATCTATACATATACATATATGTGTACATATACCTATACATGTATATGCATGTAAATACATATGAGATCTCTCTCTGTCACCCAGGCTGGAGTGCAGTGGTGCGATCATGGCTCACTCCAGCCCTGAACTCCTGGACTCAAGTGACCCTCCTGGCAGGTTGTCTCAGGTAGCCTCCAGAGTTTCTGGGATTATAGATGTGAGCCATTATAGCTGGCTTTCTGTATTGTTATTAGTATTATATTTCTATTTGGATTGAACCATGCCATTTTCCTTGAACTGCCTTTTTGGCTTCATCTCTAAATATTTTACACCTTCACACTAAATACTTCAATGTAAATTTCCTAAGAACAGAGATATTCATTTATTTTTTTCACAGTATAATTATAGAATTCAAATTTAACACTGATAAAATGCTATTATATATAAACCTTATTAAAATTTTGCAACTGGGCAGGGTGGGTCACACCTGTAATTCCTGCGCTTTGGGAACCTGAGGCGAGAGGATCACTTAAGCCCAGGAGTTAAAGACCAGCCTGGGCAACAAGTGAGACCCTGTCTCTACAAAAAATTAAAAAATTAGCCAGACACAGTGGCATGTGCCTATAGTCCCAGCTGTTCGGGAGGTTTAGGCCGGAGGATCCCTTGAGCCCAGGAGTTTAAAGTTGCAATGTGCTGTGATTGCACCACTGCACTCCAGCCTGGGAGACAGTGAGACCTTGTCTTCAAAAAAAAAAAAAAAAAAAAAAAGTTCACCAGTGTCCCAATATTGTCTTTTAGAGCAGGCGCCCCCGCTCCCCCTGCACACACACTCCACACCCCATACCGGAACCAATTCAGGTTTGCATTTCATTTCCTTTCCTTGTTTTTGTTTTTAGTTCCTGATAATCTGGATTTCCCCCCTTTTTGGTGTGTCATGGCATTGATAGTTTTGAAGTGCACAGACCATTTATTTTTGCAAAATGCCCCTGAATTTGAATATTTCTGATGTTTATTCATGATCAGATTCAAGTTATACATTTTTGGCAGGAATACCACAGAATACTGATTTGTCTCATTTTTGGTGATGTTAATTTGATCAGTTGGTCAAGGACATATCTGCAAGATTTTTTCCATTCCAAAGTTACTACTTTTCTCTTTGTTATTAACAACAACTTGTGAGGAAAAACTTTTGAAACTATGTAAATATGTTGTGGTTTTCATCAAACCTTCAGCCACTTGTTTTAGCATCCTTTCATGATTCTTGCCTGATGAGTCAGTCATTACTGTGCTGATTGCTGAATGGTGATTTTCTAGTTCCATACTTTCTTCTTCCTTTGTTAGCATTCTACTATAAGGATGCACTCTCTCTACTCCCCTAATCAATCTGTCTTATCTGTCAGTCATCAGGTCGGACTTGTTGATTTTTACTTTGTTATATAGGTTATAATCTATTACTGTTTTTATATATTTTGCTCATATTGTCCCATATTTGGTCTGTGGGAGCCAACTCCACTTTTTTTGATGACTGGGAGCTGCCATTAAGGAGCCTGGTTCATTCATCCATTCAAGGATGCCAGGAACCTCAGGTAGTTGTGTAAATGAGCGTCTCCTCTGCACTCAGCTACCTTTGCTGTATCTTACTGTTTGCTTTCTCTTTTTTGTAGTTGAATGCTACTTTCTTTCTCTGTAAAATCTCTTACACATGGGATAAAATACAAGTAGCCCCAGAACAAAGTATGTTTTATTTCTCTGGGAACTATTTCATTGTAGTATCTTAGTCAGTTTTCTTATTGTAAGTGTGCTTGTGTTATGTATTACTGTATCTGAACACACTGGAATGGCTAAAAGGTTATGATTATCTCAATTATATTAAAATTATATTCGAAACAGTTTTTATTTGGTATTTTATTCTATTGCGTATTTCCAGGTATTTCAAACTGAATATACTTTTGGTATTATTTAGACATTAACTTTTATTTATATTCTAGGATAAGAAGTGTGGGAATAAATTATAACATAGAATTTTACCTTATATAGGAGCTGTTCCAAAAACATAAACTTAGTGTTGATGAAGACTTTTGTCATTATTTGAAGAATGACAACTGTTGGACAACAAAAAATGAAAACTTAGATTGCAACAGTGATTCACAGGTGTTTCCCTCTTTGAATGTGAGTATCTGACTTGCCATGTTAAAGTTTATTTTATTCCCAGTGAATACAAGTATCAACTGAAGTAATGTTTTATCGGAATTTTGATAAAGGTGGTATCTGACTTGCCATGTTAAAATAAAGTTTATTTTATTCCCACTGAATACAAGTATCAACTGAAGTACTGTTTTATCAGGATTTTGATAAAGGTGGTTAACTTGTAAATTTTTAGGTTTAGTTTGTTTGTGTGTATAGTAGTACATAATAAGTAAGATACGTGGCTGGGCGCGGTGGCTCACACCTGTAATCCCAGCACCTTGGGAGACTGAGGTGGGTGGATCACCTGTGGTCAGGAGTTTGAGACCAGCCTGGTGAAACCCCATCTCTACTAAAAATAAAAAAATTAGCCGGGTGTGGTGGCATGTGCCCGTAGTCCCAGCTACTCGGGTGGCTGAGGCATGAGAATTGCTTGAACTCGTGAGGCAGAGCTTGCAGTGAGCCATGATTGCGCCACTGCACTCCAGCCTGGGCGACAGAGCGAGACTCCGTCTCAAAAAAAAAGATAAGATACTGATACCATTGTTCCATTTCCTTGCAACTTATTTTGGCAATATCCTTGCAAGGTTCTTTTATATCTGCTACCTCCAATTTATCTCTCACTCTTCCTTCTGTCAACTGCAGTCAGACCTTTGCATCCATCATCCCATCAAAACAGCTCTAGTCAAAGTCACCAGTAACTTCCATGTTGTTAAATCCAATGGTCTGTTCCTCTTACCAAAAGTCTTGACTTACCAGCATTTGACACATGTCAACACTAACTCCTCCTTTATGCCTTTTCTCCCTACCAGTGTGGGAGCTTAGATTCTAAAATGATTAACAGCAGTTGGCTGGGCGTGGTGGCTCAGCCTGTAATCCCAGCACTTTGGGAGGATGAGGCAGGTGGATCACCTGAGGTCAGTAGTTCGAGACCAGCCTAGCCAACATGGTGAAACCCCATCTCTACTTAAAATACAAAAAATTAGCTGGGTGTGGTGGTACGCACCTGTAATCCCAGCCACTCAGGAGGTTGAGGCAGGAGAATCACTTGAACCCGGGAGGCAGAGGTTGCAGTGAGCCGAGATCACGCCATTGCACTCCAGACTGGGGGACAAGAGCGAGACTCCGTCTCAAAAAACAAAAACAAAAACAAAAATAAACCTAGCAGTCAGCCTTGGTTAGTGAGATTATGAGGCATTTAAATTTATTTTTTGTTCTTTTGTAAATTCTGAAGTGAAAGTCTTTAGTAAAAGTTTTAAAGGAGTTCTCTTTAAAATGTGTTGAAATATAATAAACACAGAAAAGTACACATCAGTGTACTCCTCAATGAATTTTTAAAAGGCCAGGCACAATGGCTCGCACCCATAATCTCAGCACTTTGGGAGGCCAAGGCGGGTGGATCATGAGGTCAGGAGATCGAGACCATCCTGGCTAACACAGTGAAACCTCGTCTCTACTAAAAATACAAAAAATTAGCCGAGCGTGGTGGCGGGCACCTGTAGTCCCAGCTACTTGGGAGGCTGAGGCAGGAGAATGGCGTGAACTCGGGAGGTGGAGCTTGCAGTGAGCCGAGATCATGCCGCTGCACTCCAGCCTGGGCAACAGAGTGAGACTCCGTCTCAAAAAAAACAGACAACAAAACTGAGCACAACCATGTAGACCCTGATGAATTATAGAACATTTTAGCACCTAGAACCCCCTTTTACTTCCTAACACTTTCCCTGCCAATGGCAACACTATCCTCATTAAGGAGAAGGTTTTATTTTTATTTTTTAACTTTTATTTTCAGGGGTACATGTGCAGGTTTGTTATATCGTAAACTCATGTAGGCCGGGCGCGGTGGCTCATGCCTGTAATCCCAGCACTTTGGGAGGCCGAGGCGGGTGGATCTTGAGGTCAGGAGATCGAGACCATCCTGGCTAACAAGGTGAAACCCCGTCTCTACTAAAAATACAAAAAATTAGCCGGGCGCGGTGGCGGGCGCCTGTAGTCCCAGCTACTCGGGAGGCTGAGGCAGGAGAATGGCGTGAACCCGGGAAGCGGAGCTTGCAGTGAGCCGAGATTGCGCCACTGCAGTCCGCAGTCTGGCCTGGGCGACAGAGCGAGACTCCGTCTCAAAAAAAAAAAAAAAAAAAAAAACTCATGTCACAGGAATTTGTTGTACGAATTATTTCCATGACACAGGTACTAAGTTTAGTACCCAATAGTCATTTTTTCTGCTCCTCTACCTCCTCCCAGCCTTCACCCTTAAGTAGGCCCCTCTTTGTGTCTGCTGTTCCCCTCTTTGTGTCCATTTTCTCATCATTTAGCTCCCACTTATAAGTGAGAACATGCGGTATTTGGTTTTCTGTTCCTGTGTTAGTTTGCTAAGGAAAATGGCTTCCAGCTCCATCCATGTCCCTGCAAAGGACACGATCTCCTTTTTTATGTCTGCATATTATTCCATGATGTATATGTACCACATTTTCTTTATCCAGTCTACCATTGATGGGAATTTAGGTTGATTCCATATCTTTGGCAACGTGAATGGTGCTGCAGTGAACATATGTGTGCATGTGTCTTTATGACAGAACGATTTATATCCCTTTGGGTATATAATATACCCAGTAATGGAAGTACTGTGTCAAACGGTAGTTCTCTTTTCAGCTCTTTGAGGAATTGCCACACCGCTTTCCACAATGGGTGAACCAATTTGTACTCCCACCAGCAGTGTATAAGCATTCCCTTTTCTCCACAACCTTGCCAGCATCTGTTATTTTTTGACTTTTTAATAATAGCCATTCTGACTGGTGTGAGATGGTATCTCATTGTGGTTTTGATTTGCATCTCTCTGATGATCAGTGATATTGAGCTTTTTAAAATATGCTTGTTGGCCATATGCATGTCTTCCTTTGAAAAATGTCTAGTCATGTCCTTTGCCCTCTTTTTAATTTTTTTTTGTTTTTTTTCTTGTAAATTTGTTTAAGTTCCTTATAGACACTGGACATTAGACCTTTGTCAGATGCATAGCTTGCAAATATTTTCTCTCATTCTGTAGGTTATCTTTTTATTCTGTTGATAGTTTCTTTTGCTGTGCAGAAACTCTTTAGTTTAATTAGATCCTATTTGTCAATTTTTGCTTTTGTTGCAATTGCTTTTTTGGCAACTTTGTCATGAAATCGTCACCTGTCCTATGTCCAGAATGGTATGGTCTAGGTTGTCTTCATAGGGTTTTCATAGTTTTAAGTTTTACATTTAACTCTTTAATCCATCTTGAGTTGATTTTTGTATATAATGTAAGCAAAGGGTCCAGTTTCAGTCTTCTGCATATGGCTAGCCAGTTATCCCAGCACCATTTATTGAATAGGGAGTCTTTTCCCCATTGTTTGTTTTTGTCAACTTTATTAAAGACCAAATTATTATACGTGTGCTCCGATATTTCTGGGCTCTCTATTCTGTTCCACTGGTCTATGTGTCTGTTTTTGTACCAGTACCATGCTGTTTTGGTTACTATAGCCCTGTGGTATAGTTTGAAGTCAGGTAGCATGATGCCTCCAGCTTTGTTCCTTTTGGTTAGGATTGCCTTGGCTATTCGGGCTCTCTTCTGGTTCCATATGAATTTTAAAATAGTTTTTTCTAGTTTTGTGAAGAATGTCATTGGTAGTTTGATAGGAATAGCATTGAATCTGTAAGTTGCTTTGGGCAGCAGGGCCATTTTAACAGTATTAATTCTTCATATCCATGAGCATGGAACATCTTTTTTTTTTTTCTTTTTTTTGAGATGGAGTCTTGCTCTGTCACCCAGGCTGGAGTGTAGTGGCGCAGTCTCCACTCACTGCAACCTCCACCTCCCGGGTTCATGCCATTCTCCTGCCTCAGCCTCCCAAGTAGCTGGGACTACAGACGCCCGCCACCATGCCCGGCTAATTTTTTGTATTTTTTTTTAGTAGAGATGGGGTTTCACTGTGTTAGCCAGGATGGTCTTGATCTCCTGACTTCATGATCCACCCGCCTCGGCCTCCAAAGTGCTGGGATTACAGGCATGAGCCACTGCGCCCGGCTGAGCATGGAACATCTTTCCATTTGTTTGTGTCATCTCTGATTTCTTTGAGCAGTGTTTTGTAATTCTCATTGTAGAGTTCATTCACCCCCTTGGTTAGCTGTATTCCTATGGGATTGCATTCATGATTTGGCTCTTGGCTTGGCTGTTGTTGGTGTACAGGTATGCTAGTGATTCCCCCCCCGCCCCCCCGCCGCCGCCACCACTGCCCACTCTGTCATCCAGGCTGGAGTGCAATGGCGCAGTCTCTGCTCACTGCAACCTCCGCCTCCTAGGTTCAAGCAATTCTCCTGCCTCAGCCTCCTGAGTAGCTGGGATTACAGGCACCTGTGACCATGCCCGGCTAATTTTTGAATTTTTTTTTTAGTAGAGACGGGGTTTCACCATGTTGGCCAGGCTGCTCTCAAACTCCTGACCTTAAGTGATCCTGCTGCCTTGGCCTCCCAAAGTGCTGGGATTACAGGAGTGAGCCACCACGCCCAGCCGCTAGTGATCTTTATATATTGATTTTGTATCCCAAAACTTTGCTGAAGTTGCTTATCAGCTCAAGGAGCTTTTGGGCAGAGAGTATGGGGTTTTCTAGATATATAATCATGTCGTCTGCACACAGGGATAGTTTGACTTCTTCTCTTCCTATTTGGGTGCCCTTTATTTCTTTCTCTTACTTGATTGCTCTGGCCAGGACTTCCAATACCATGTTAAATAGGAGTGATGAGAGAGGGCATTTTTGTCTTGTGCCGGATGTCAAGGGTAATGCTTCCAGCTTTTGCCCATTAAGTATGATGTTGGCTATGAGTTTGTCATAGGTGGCTCTTATTATTTTGAGATCTGTTCCCTCAATACCTAGTTTATTAGAGTTTTTAACATGAAAGGATGTTGTATTTTATCCAAAGCCTTTTCTGTATCTATTGAGATGATCATGTGGTTTCTGTCTTTAATTCTCTTTATGTAATAAATCATGTTTATTGATTTGCATGTGTTGAGCCTACCTTGCATCCCAGGGGAAAGCCTGCTTGATCATGGTAGATTAACTTTTTGATGTGCTGCTGGATTTGGTTTGCTAGTATTTTGTTGAGGTTTTTTGCATCAGTGTTCATCAAAGATATTGGCCTGAAGCCTTCTTTTGTCATGTCTCTTCTATGTTTTGGTATCAGAATAATGCTGGCCTTATAGAATGAGTTGGGGAGGAGTCCCTCCTCCTCAATTTTTTGGAATAGTTTCAGTAGGAATGGTACCAGCTCTTCTTTGTACTTCTAGTAGAATTTAGCTGTGAATCCATCTGGTCTTCGGCCTTTTTTTGGTTGGTAGGCTATTTCCATTTCAGAGTTTCTTATTGGTCTGTTCAGGGAATCAGTTTCTTCCTGGTTTAGTCTTGGGAGGGTGTATGTGTCCAGTAATTTATCCATTTATTCTAAATTTTCTAGTTTGTGTGCATAGAGGCATTGATAGTATTTTCTGATGGTTACCTGTATTTCTGTGGGCTCAGTGGTAACATTCCGTTTGTCATTTCTAATTAAGTTTATTGGATCCTCTGTCTTTTCTTCTTTATTAACCTACCTAGCAGTCTATCTGATTAATTTTCTCAAAAAAACAGCTTCTGGATTCATTGGTCTTTTGAATGGTTTTTCATGTCTCGGTCCCCTTTAGTTCAGCTCTGATTTTGGTTATTTCTTGTCTTCTGCCAGCTTTGAGGTTGGTTTGCTCTTGCTTCACTAGTTCTTTGAGTTGTGATGTTAGGTTGTTAATTAATTTGAGATCTTTTTAACTCTTCTTCTTTTTTTTTTTTTTTTTTTTTTGAGACAGAGTCTCATTCTGTTGCCCAGGCTGGAGGGCAGTGGTGCAATCTCGGCTCACTGCAACCTCCACCTCCCAGGTTCAAGTGATTCTCCCACCTCAGCCTCCCGAGTAGCTGGGATTGCAGGCACCCACCACCACACCCAGCTAACTTTTGTATTTTTAGTAGAGATGAGGTTTCGCCATGTTGGCCAGGCTGGTCTCGAACTCGTGACCTCAGATGATCCACCCGCCTCAGCCTCCCAAAGTACTGGGATTACAGGATTACAGGTGTGAGCTACCGCACCCAGCCAAGATCTTTTTAACTTTTCACTGTGGGCGTTTAGTGCTGTAAATTTCCCTCTTAATATTGCCTTAGCTATGTCGCAGAGATTCTGGTATGTTGTATCTTTGTTCTCATTAGTTTCAGAGAACTTCTTGATTTCTGCCTTAATTTCATTATTCACCCAAAAGTCATTCAGGAGCAGGTTGTTTAATATCCATGCAATTGTACGGTTTCGAAAGATTTTCTTAATCTTGATTTCCAATTTTATTGTTGTGGTCTGAGAGAGTGGTTGGTATGATTTTGGTTCTTTTGCGTTTTCTGAGCATTGTTTTATTTCTCATTGGCTGATTTTAGAGTATGTGCCATGCAGAGATGAGAAGAGTGTATATTCTATTATTTTTGGGTGAAGAGTTCTGTAGATGTCTATCAGCTCCATTTGATCCAGTGTTGAGTTCAGGTCCTGAATATCTTTGTTAATTTTATGCCTCAGTGATCTAATACTTTCAGTCGGGTGTTGAAGTCTCTCACTATTATTGTGTGGGAGTCTAAGTCTCTTTAAACGTCTCTAAGAACTTGCTTTATGAATCTGGGTACTCCTGTGTTGGGTGCATATATATTTAAGAGAGTTAAGTCTTCAGTTGAATTGAACCCTTTACCATTACATAATGCCCTTCTGTGTCTTTTTTGATTTTTGTTGGTTTAAAGTCAGTTTTGTCTGAAATTAGGCCTGCAACCTCTGCTTTTTTTCTGTTTTCCATTTGCTTGGTAGATTTTTCTCCAACCCTTTATTTTGAGCCTGTGGGTGTCGTTATATGTGAGATGAGTCTCTTGAAGACAGCAAACCAATGAGTCTTGCTTATTTATCCAGCTTGACATTCTGTGCCTTTTAATTGGGGCTTTTAGTGTTGACATTGTGGGTTTGATCGTGTCATCATGTTGTTAGCTGGTTATTACGCAGACTCATCTGTGTGGCTACTTCCTAGTGTCACTGGTTTGTATACTTAAGTGTGTTTTTTTAGTGGCTGGTAATGGTCTTTCCATATTTAGTGCTTCTTTCAGGAGCTCTTGTAAGGCAGGTCTGAATGAATTCCCTCAGCATTTGCTTGTCTAAAAAGGGTCTTATTTCCCCTTCACTTATGAGGCTTAGTTTGGCCAGACATAAAATTCTTGGTTGGAATTTCTTTTGTTTAAGAATGTTGAACATAGGCCTCCAATTCTCTTCTCCTTGTAGGGTTTCTGTGGAGAGGCTTAATGTTAATCTGATGGGCTTTCCTTTGTGGGTGACCTGACCTTTCTTTCTAGGTGCCTTTAACATTTTTCTTCATTTTGACCTTGGAGAATCTGATGATTTATGTGTCTTGGGGATGATCTTCTTATAAAGTATCTTGTGGGGGTTCTTTGCATTTCCTGAATTTGAATGTTGGCCCCTCTAGCTAGGTTGGGGAAGTTCTCATGGATGATATACTGAAATAGGTTTTTCAAGTTGCTTCCATTCTCCCATCTCTTTCAGGAGTGTCAGTGAGTCATAGATTCCATCTCTTTATATAATAGGGGCAATTTTTCAAAAGCAGAACTTTGTTACTTGTGTTTGGGATACAGTGAGATTTGTTCTTTGATGTTTAGCTTTTTAATTTTTCATTTTTCTTCTAACTTTTTTTCTTAATTATTAAAACAATTTTTCTCCGTAGAAATGCAGCAGTATAAAATGGCATTATTTACTCTTTTTTCCAGAATAAAGAACTAATAAATATCAGAAATGTTTCAAACCAGGAAAGATCAATGGTAAGCAGTTTGATTTGTCTTTAAATCAAATATACACAAGTTAACGTAAGACTGAAAAAAGTCGCTGATGGATAGATACTTAGAGAGTGATATAAAGTAGGGTTATTAGAACTGTGGAAGGAAAAGGAAACATTATTTAAAACCGTATGTTTTCAGGCCAGGTGCAGTGGCTCCTGCTTGCAATCCCAGCACTTTGGGAGGCTGAAGCAGGTTAATTGCTTGAGGCCAGCAGTTTGATACCAGCCTGGCCAACATGGCAAAGCCTCATCTCTACTAAAAATACAAAAATTAGCCAGGCATGGTGGTACATGCCTGTAATCCTAGCTACTTGGGAGGCTGAGGCATGAGAATCACTTGAACCTGGGAGGTGGAGGTTGCAGTGAGCTGAAATTGCACCACTAAACTTCAGCCTGGGTGACAGAGCAAGACTCTGCCTCAAAAAAAAGTTTTCTTATATATGTCTATATGAATTTTGTATATACTGTTACTATCTTTGTCTAAAAATATCCTTAAAGCAATTTAAGATGCATTTCTATGCAGCCTTTCTTTTCTTTAAAAAATAAAATTCCCCCTCTAAATGTGCAAGACAGCATAGCAATGGGCTGTGCGTGTCATTAAGGATTTAAAGAAATAGAAACCATGAATGTAGCATGTGGGAGGGAAATTTTGGCATTCTGGGGAATTACTAAAAGTTAGAAGACTGAGTAAGAGGTCGAAAGGGATGGGAGTTATGTGTAGGGACTGAAAACAGGTTTGGGAGAGCTTAATGTTTGCTTTTATACTATGACTCTTCATGTTTTCTCTTCAACCATCCTAAAGAAGTCTGATAATGGAAAGGCACTCGCTCTGCAGTGGCCAGGACAAACTTTGTACAAAATCTGTCATATGATGAGGAGTAGGAAATGAAAGAAACGGATAGGAAATATTCAGGAAAATGGAGTATAAGAAGTGTGATCCAGTTATGGGAGGGCACTGGAGAATTTACAAGCATTACAGTGGGAAGTTTTATTCCTTAGTGGAATTGCAAGTAACATAGTGCCTTAAGAAATTTGAATCATTTAGCTTATGTACTTAATCTGAGTCATTTCTGACAATGTTATCTAACTTCCTCTTCCCCCAATTCAATTTAAAAACCACACATTAGGCCGGGTGTGGTGGCAGGTGCCTGGAATTCCAGCTACTCGGAGGCTGAGGCACAAGAATTGCTTGAACCCAGGAGGCTGAGGTTGCAGTGAGACAAGATCGCACCATTGCACTTCAGCCTGGGTGACAGAGCGAGACTCCATCTCAAAAAATAAATGAATAATGAAAACCACACATTTAAATAAAACAAAATGTTTGATAAAATTAGGATAAAATATGAGAAGAGTATTGTTAGAAAAAAGAGGTTTTTTTGAGACACAGGCTTGTTCTGTCACCTAGGCTGGTGTGCAGTGGTGTGATCTCAGCTCACTGCAACCTCCGCCTCCCAAGTTCAAGCGATTCTTCTGTCTCAGCCTCCTAAGTAGCTGGGACTACAGGTGCCTACCACCACACCCGGCTAATTTTTGTATTTTTAGTAGAGACAGGGTTTTGCCACGTTGGCCAGGCTGGTTTCAAACTCCTGAGCTCAAGTGATCCACCCACCTCGGCCTCCCAAAGTGCTAGGATTACAGGTGTGAGCCACCCTGCTCAGCCCTAGAAAAAGTTTTTTATTGATAATATTAAACAATTTATAGATTGGTAATATTAGAGGGAACCTGTAAAAATATAAAAGATAGAAAACATTGAAGAATGAGAAACGCTTCTTTCCTCCTTTACCTTTTTAGGTCTGGAAGGATGGTGTTTAAAAAATAAGAGAAATAGCTATCTTTCCACTACCTGCCATTCCTTTTCTGTTTTGTGTGTGTGTGTGTGTGTGTGTGTGTGTGTGTGTGTGTGTGTGTGTCTGTGTGTGTGTTTAAAAGAAACCCAATATGACTGGACATAGTGGCTCACATCTGTAATCCCAGCACTTTGGGAGGCCAAAGCAGGAGGATCACATGAGGGGTCAGGAGTTTGAGACCAGCCTGGGCAACATGGTGAGACCCCCATCTCAAAAAAAAAAAAAAAAAAGGAAAAAATTAAAAAATAGAAAAATTTAAAAAGTAACCCGATTCAATTACTTTAAAATATGGCAAACAGTTGTTCAGCTATATTACATAGCAATTTGTTAAAAATAATGAAGAATTTTTTTCACCTCTATTTCAGGATGTTGTAGCCAGAACACAAAAAGATGGGTTTCATATCTTTATTGTTTCTATTAAAACGGAGAATACAGATGCAAGCTGGAATTTGAATGGTATAGTTAAACTGCATGCATGTTTACTGTCTGCATTTTCTGTATTCTGTATTTTTGTCACTGACCTGAGTCAACATTCTCTGTTTCAAATACATCATTCAAAAATGAATTTCTGTTAATCATACATTTATTTTAGATACTTAAAATGTAACATTAAGTTATCTTATTGCTACTATTTATTTTTTAATTGATTTAAAATTTTACTGTGTTAAGATAAATTTTTAAAATTTCAAACTTCATAGTGGGATATAAAATTCTCCATTCTTTCAGATTAAAAAAATTTTTTTAACATGTAGAAATGTGTAGGCAACTTTTTAGTTGTGTATTTCAAGTAGGTTATGTTCTCTGTTTCTTGAAAATGGCCATCATCAGGGATTTAAGATTTTTATTATTTGACAAATTTTATTTTAAAGGATCTGTCTGTAGCCTAGGAGTAGAAGCAGCATATCTGCCAGCATGTGCTTCTGTGGTCTGTGAGGCACCCCCACCACTGTAAGTTAGACCCTCTGTGCCTTGTTAAGCTGTGGTTCCTTAGTGCCACAAAAGTAGACTTGCAATAAGCAGTTTTCAAGAGAATGAATGCTTTCCCATATTCTAGAATCACTTTGGCTGATGTTTTCCATAGTGGGTGTGTCTGCTGGGGCCAGCAGTAGCCAATCAGCATGTGAGGGCCCTGGGGATTTGATACTGCTCTGATTCAGCCAGTCAGCTGGCAGAAACCAATGAGGTGAGGTAGGCATTGCTGCAGAGGAGGCTCGGTCTGTTGTACTGCATGGCCCTTGGAGGGAAGCTGGCAAGGTGGCTGCTCTGGAAGAGTGTGAGGTAAGGCTTCCTTCTGGAGATGGCATCATGAGCCAGACTGTGCCAAGTAGAGGGAGCAGGGACCCTGATGCCATTCTGTCACCTATCTTAGTCTGTTTGTGCTGCTATAATAGAATACTTGACACTGGGTAATTTATAAAGAACAGAAATTTATTTCCCCACAGTTCTTGAGGCTGCGATGTCTAAGATCAAGGTGCCACCAAGTTTGGTGTCTGGTTAGGTCCCTGGTGTCTGCTTCCAAGATGGCACCTTAAACGATGTGTTCTCACATGGCAGAAAGGATAGAAGGGCAGGAAGCACAAAAGGGGACAACCACTCTGCTCTCACGGGGTGGAGGCAGAAGAGCAAAGAAGGGCCTAAGCTAGTTCCCTCCAGGCCTTTTGTAAGGCATTAATCTATTCATGAGGACAGAGCCCTCATGACTTAATCACTTCCCAAAAGGCCTCACCTCTTAATACCACCACAGTGGGTATGAAGCTTTAATGAATTTTTGAGGACATTCAGACCATAGAACTAGGCTTGTGCCCACTTCTTTCCCAGGCATTGTGTCTTTTCCCCTGACACCAGCGGGCAGTTTTGAGCCCCTGCTAATTAGTAGCTGGAGCTGTCACTGAGCCCTGCATGTTTTGCACTGTACTCGGCACATGGTTTATTATTGCTATCTCAGACAAAACCCAACCTAGATGTGTGAGTTTGGTAATTTATTCCAAGTTACGTCAAGGAAGATAAGGTCCCGGTGAGATGAGTAAATTAGCAAGGGGGCCAGTCTGAGGTCTTGTTTGGTAGCTGGGACTACTGTGCTCTTGTATATGATCAGATTTGGCACAGGTTTTTAGAATAGCGTGTATACAAGTAGAGGGATCTCTTTTTTTCTTTTTATTGTAAATTGACAATTACATATGACATAAATGTATGGGGTACAAAGTAATGTTATAATCTATAAATACAGTGTGGAATAATTAAGTCAAACTAGTTAACATACTCATCACCCCAAATGCTTAACATTTTTTGTGGTGAGAACATTTGAAATGTACTCTCTCAGCAATTTTGAAACATACAGTACTCTGTTAACTATTCACCATGCTGTGCAATAGAACTCAAAAAAAGAAAAAACTTACTCCTCCTGTGTGAGATTTTTTTTTACCCTTGGACCATCATCTGCCCATGCCTCCTACCTCCCAGCCTCTGTACCCACCATTCTGCTCTCGTATTAGGAGTTCAATTGTTTTAGATTCCACATATAAGTGAAAATGTGCAGTATTTGTCTTTCTGTGCTTGACTCATTTCACTCAGCACAGTGTTTTCCAGTTCCATCCATGTTGTTGCAAATGACAGAATTTTCTTCTTTTTAAAGGCTGAATAGTATTTCATTGTGTATATATACACATTTTCTTCATCCATTCATCTGTTGATGGACACTTACCTTGATTCCATAACTTAGCTATTGTTCATACTGCTGCAGTGAACATGGGGGTGCAGACAGCTCTTTGACAAACTGATTTTAGATCTTTTGGGTAAATAGTAAAGTGGGATTACTGGATTATATGGTAATTCTGTTTTTAGTTTTTTGAGGACCTTCCATACTGTTTTTTATAATGGCTGTACTAATTGACATTTTCACAAAGCATCCCTTTTCTCCACATCTTCATCAGCACTTACTCTCTTTCATCTTTTTGATAAAAGCCATTCTGACAGGTGTGAAATGATATTGGGGTTTTAATTTGCATTTCTCTAATGACTAGTGATGTTGAGCATTTTTCATGTATTAATATCTTTTGCTCATTTATATGTTTTCTTTTGAGAAACATCTAGGTCCCTTGCCTTTTTTTTTTTTTTTTTTTTTGAGACAGGAGTTCGCTCTGTCACCCAGGCTGGAGTGCGGTGGCACGATCTCGGCTCACTGCAACCTCCACCTCCTGGGTTCAAGTGATTCTCCTGCCTCTGCTTCCCAAGTAGCTGGGATTATAGGTGCACGCCACCCCACCTGGCTAATTTTTCTGTTTTTATTAGAGACGGGTTTCACCATGTTGGTCAGGCTGGTCTCGATCCCCTGACCTTAAGTGATCTGCCCACCTTGGCCTCCCAAAGTGCTGGGATTACAGGTGTGAGCTGTAACGCCCAGCCCCTTGCCCATTCTTTTTTTTTTAATTTTTTTTATCTTTTTTTATTTTTTGAGACGGAGTCTTGCTCTGTCGCCCAGGCTGGAGTGCAGTGGCGTGATCTCGGCTCACTGCAAGCTCCACCTCCTGGGTTCACGCCATTCTCCTGCCTCGGCCTCCCGAGTAGCTGGGACTACAGGTGCTCGCCACCACGCCCGGCTAATTTTTTGTATTTTTAGTAGAGACGGTGTTTCACCGTGTTAGCCAGGATGGTCTCGATCTCCTGACCTCGTAATCCGCCCGCCTTGGCCTCCCAAAGTGCTGGGATTACA
This sequence comes from Homo sapiens, assembly GCF_000001405.40. Taxonomy (NCBI): domain Eukaryota; kingdom Metazoa; phylum Chordata; class Mammalia; order Primates; family Hominidae; genus Homo; species Homo sapiens. The sequence continues at coordinate 112,080,536 of NC_000002.12, forward strand.
GGGGTGAGCCACCACGCCCGGCCTGCCCATTCTTTTAATTGGGTTTTTTGTTTTCTTGCTATTGAGTTGTTTGAGCTTATGTATTTTGGATATTAACTCCTTCTTGGATATATGGCTTGCTAATTTTATCTCCCAGTACCTAAGTTGTCTATGTCTACTGTTAATTGTTTCCTTTGTGCAAAGAAGCTTTTTATATTGATGTAATCCCATTTGTCTATTTTTGCTTTTGTTGCCCGTGCTTTTGGGATCAAATCCAAAAAATCATTGCTCAGACCAGTGTTATGTAGTGTTCTCCCTATGTTTTCTTCTAGCAGTTTTACAGTTTCTGGTCTTACAGTAAAGGTATCTTGGTAAGGTTACATAATCAAACAAATACTAATTGTCCAATACCATGTATGTGCTACATACAAATTCAGCATTTGTTAGTGTGGTTTGTATTCTTGGAGCCTTCTGGGAAATGAACTTACATTTAAAGATTTAAGACTGACTGTTAATTAACTCTCTCTTCTTCTCTATCCTAGTTTCTCTTTCTATGATTGGGCCTCATGGATATATCTCTGCATCAGATTGGCCCCTAATGATTGTGAGTATTTCTCATCATTTTTTCCTTTTTAAAAAATGAATTTTATACCCTAAGAGCTTTGTGGTAGTAATTCCTCAGTAGTTAATGCTTTGACATATCCTGTATTTCTGGTTCCAGAGTGACTGGAAAATGAAGGGTTGGATACTTGAATGTAGAAGTGCCAACTTTCAAATGACCAAAAGGCTTAACTGACTAAAATTGCTTCTCTTCCTACAGTTTTACATGGTGATGTGTATTGTTTATATATTATATGGCATACTCTGGCTGACGTGGTCTGCCTGTTATTGGAAAGATATATTAAGAATCCAGTTCTGGATTGCAGCTGTTATTTTTTTGGGAATGCTTGAAAAAGCAGTTTTTTATAGTGAATACCAAAACATCAGCAACACTGGACTGTCAAGTAAGTTTTGACTGTCTCTGTAAATATAGTATGATCTAAGAGTTCCCCAGTATTTATGAGCAGAGCAGTGGGAGGCCCCCTTCTGAACAGTGGTTTGGAAACAGATATATTATAGATGAAGAGAAGGAAAGCCAAGGAAAGAATGTCAGAGTAGGCCTCTGATCTGGCCAAGCATGTGTCTTCTCTTCATTATCTGTTTTCCTTCTTGCTAAATTTCCCCTCACTTTCCTCCTGGGAAAAATAAAAGTCCCGTTTCCTAAGGTTCAGCTTGGATTAAAACAGCACAAAGTTCGGGACAGGGAGACTTCAGGTGCTGTCAATCCTTTTAACATACTTCTCCTTCCCCCCACATCTTCTTTTCTTTCTCCTTCTCCTTCAAAAAACGAAAGGAAATTGGCCGCAGGGAGTAAAATCAGGGGTGCTGGAAGGGATGGTGCCTGCAGCCTCCTTGTGCTCTCCCCACCTCTTTACTCCCACAAAGATCTTCATATAACCAGTGGAGGCACCATCACAGTTTACGCAGTGGAATATGTGAAGCAGGCAGGCCATACAGCTGGGCATCCTCAGATGTGTGCCCCAGACTTCTAGAAAGTGGATTTCAGGCCAGAGAAGTAAAGGTACAACTCTCCCACCAAAGCTTTGGAAAGAGAGAGCTCAGAGAGGTTGAAGGTGCTCAAGAGTGTACTTCTGAGTGACCAGTTACAAATGATCTTGGTGCAGATCTTCAAAGGGCATGATTTTGTCTGTTATTGATTGATTGACAAGGTCTTGATCTGTTGCCCGGTCTAGAGTGCAGTGGTGCGATTTTTGCTCACTGCAGCCTCGACCTCCAGGCCCAAATGATCTGCCCACCTCAGCCTCTGGAGTAGCTGGCACTATGTGTCTGTTACTTATTTTGAAATACTCTAGAAAAAAAATGAATTGGACTATAGATGAAACAAATTTGGCGTAACGTTGCTAATTATTGAAGCTGCATGATGGGCACAAGGGAAATCATTATATTGCTTTCTCTCTTTTTGGGAGTATTTGAAATTTCCCCAAATAAAAAGTTTAAAAGGACATGTACCAAAGAATAAAGAAAGGACAAACATCCAGGATGCATATTAGAGATATCACTACTCTGTAAGAAGTTTTTTATGGTGTGTGTGTGTGTGTGTGCGTGTGCGTGTGCGTGCATGTGTGCTCTAAACCAGATGATGAAGGAAGGGTAGATCTGCTGCTTAGAATTGAAGCATTCCTGAATGTAGAGAAGGCAGTTCTGATGCTTTGCTGTCAGTGGTGGTGATCTCTTGTTTAGTGAAGGTAAAGGGTGGCATGGACTTTAGTGAGGAGCAGCAAAAACCTGAGATCCATGAAGAGGTAAGAGGCCATCTGCCATCCTCAGGGAATCTAAGCTGTCTGAGATGGCACTAGAGGGCTTGGAAGAGATACCCAGACCGCTGTCAGGGTCTTTCAGGAGTCCCGTCCAATAGGAGAGGTGGGCAGGAGCTGATGTCCTTTCTGATTTTCCCAAGTGGGAATTCTGTGACAGGGGCTGTCTTGCCCAGCATTGATCTTGAAGCATCAAATTTAGAAAAATCATTAGAAGGATGAGAAGCATTGACTGTTAGGACCCGACGTGGGTATGTTAAGAATATCATGTCAGACTAATTTTTTTGTTTTGGGATGCTAGATTGACAGGAAGATGTAGTAAACTTAGTATAGCTGACTTCTTCAAGGCATTTGACAAGGTCTCTTGTGACTTCTTGTGGACAAGATGAGCTGAAAACTGGTGGTGCTGCCATATCTAAAGAGTTCATGGAGATAATCACTGGTCAGTCTAGACCGCTGCTGTTTTCTGTGGTAGCCACAAGCCACATCTGGGTACTTAAGTAAAATTAAATTAAATTAAAAATTAAGTTCCTCAGTTGTTCTAGCTTCATCTCAAGTGCTCAGTAGCCACAGGTGACCAGTGACTGCTGTATTGGACAGCACAGAGGTAGACCACTTCCATCATTGCAAAAGGGTCTGTGGGACAGCACTGGTCTGGAGCAATGGTTCTCATCCCTGGTTTTGCATCAGCATCACTTGAAGAACTTTAAAATGGTACCAGTGCCAGAGAGTCTGATTAGGGCAGACCTAGGAAGTGGGGCTGTGTAGAGGCTTCCAGGTGATTCCAATATGCATCTAGGGTTGAGAACCATTGAGCTAGGAGGCTTTGAATGGTGTCTCTCTCAGATTTTAGGCCTTGTTGCTGTTTTATTCTTCTTGTGAATCTGTTGGTTTGTTCAACTAACATTTATTGTGTGACTATGTAGACAGCATTCTCTTAAATTTTGTGGATGATGTGAGGCTGGCCAGGGTCGTAAATACTTAGGGGCATAGAGAATCATTTTAGATAGACCCTTTTCACTTGAAGATATGTGATGAGAGGCAAGAGAGTTGACATGCTGAATAGAAAGGTGAAATCTGATGATCTTGAACTTAGGTTTGGAGTACAAATTGCAAAAATACCAATGGAAAAGTTTTAAAAAGAATTTAAAAATTGAAGCTGATGAAAAGCAAACTCAACATAGGCAATAATAGGGTAGTTGCCTCCCACAAGCTCCCACAACCTCAGATTGCAGCAGGAGCCTGGAAGGAAAGTTGAGAATCTTGCTGTACAGGCCACACTGTACCAGAAACGTTGTAGTCACATTACCTCAAGAGGAGTATAGACAGCCCATGGAGGGATTGACAGCACACTCATCCCTCAACATTTGTGATGATAAACCCCTTCTTTACATTCTGCACTCTTTCGGAGAGCTCATCCATTGTTTTCCTCCTAAAGCTTTCTCTCCTGTGGAACTCTCTATCCTGAGCTACAGACATATATATCCAGTCACCTACAAAACAGCTTCTCAATGCCTTGCAATCTTCTCAACCTCTGAATGGCAAAAAGGGAGCTCATCCTTTCTGCCTTTGTGTGGCGGTCTCGCCCCAGCCCACACTTGCTGCCCTTCCAGGTGTTCCTCTCGCTGCATGATACTGCCAGGAGACCTCAGGACCATCTTTCACATCTTTCTTGGCTTCTTGCTCTGCCTGTAGTTCTAGATCTATCTTCGAGGCATTTGACAAGGTCTCTTGTGAGTTCTTGCAGGCAAGATGGAGCTGAAAACAGTGTGAACTGAAAACATCAGATGGATTCACAACTGGTTTTGCCACCATATTTTCTGAATATCTTTCTGAATCTTTCTGCTTCTCTCTGTGATCACTGCCGGTACTCTCATCATCTCTTAGTTTTCTGGAATAGTCTCCTGAGCATTTTCCTTGCCTGCAGTTTTGTTCCTCTCCAAACCATTGTAGGTAGAGCAATCTTGATAAAATAAAGCCATCCATTTTATTCCAGCAGTCAGCACATTTTTTCTGTCAAGGCCATAGAGGAAATATTTTGGCTTTGCAGGCCATATGGTCTCTGTTGTAACTATTCACCCTTGCCATCAAAGCATAAAAGCAGCCATAGACAACATGCAAACAAATGAGCATTGCTGTGTTCCCATAAAACTTTATGTTCAAAAACAGATCAGATGTAGGGCCAGATTTGGCCCATGGGCCATAGTTTACCAATCCCTCCTTTGTTCTTTTGTTTATTGTTATTGACTTCCCACTGCCCTTAACATCGAGTCCAGACTCCATGACAGGGGCTCCAAACTGCATGATTGGTCCCTGCCTTTATGACCAGCCTCTTTTCTTGACATCTACCATTACACTCTCTGCTGCAGGCATAATGAACTTTGACTTCTTGCAGCATAGTTTGCTTTTCCTCTTTTCTTCTCTGTGCCTTTGCACGTGCCGTGTTCTTTGCTTTGTCATCCCCCACCCCCAAATACTTAACTCCTACTTAGCCTTCAAGTCCTGATTTAGATGTCACTTTTTCTGAGTTTTTCAGGACCCAATTCTAGTTCCCCCAGGTGTAGATTAGACTGGCCTTCTTCCAAGTCTGGAGGGATGATGTGTTACCTCTTGCTCTTACCACACTGAGTTCTATTTACTTAGCCTAACCAGAGTACAAGCTCCATGAAGGCAGGGATCAAGATGTCTTTTTCACTATTATAGCCACACAGTAGGAGCATATCAGATACATTTTAAATGAATACATGATGAGGAGATCCTGGAGAAAAGAGAACTCTAGAGGATGTTGTGGTTTTTAAATATTTACAGGACAAGAAGAGAGAGTTCTGTAAAGAGCAAGAACAGAGGGAAGCTCAGGGAGACAGTGTTCGGGCTGATAGAAGAAAGCTGTGCCCAGTGGAGCAGATTAGATAGATAGGGAGTGAATTCTTGAGGCGAGTATGAATCCTTCACTGAAGTTTTCAAGCATCAGTTGGATTCAGTGACTTTTAAATCAAATGTGGCTGATTGGTCTGAAGTTCGAATGTAGTTATACACAGGACATGTTGTTGAGAATCTTGGTTGGCAGGCTTCCAGGTGTAGACAAAGTGAATTATTTTATTTTTTTCTTCCTCAGCCCAAGGCTTATTGATATTTGCGGAGTTGATTTCTGCGATTAAGAGGACGTTGGCTCGCCTTCTCGTGATCATTGTGAGCCTGGGCTATGGCATTGTGAAGTAAGTACTGGCGTGTGGGAAAAATGCTGGGTCCCAGCCCAGTGATTCAGTCCGTCTACATTATGACCTTTGTGAAAATGGAACTTCTAAGTATTGTAGTACAAATCCCTTTGGGAAAAATCTACAAGAACACATTTTTAAAAGATTTCCACATACTTGCTATTTTATGTTATCTTCCAATAAAGACCCTGAATTTTTATTTCAATAACTTTATATAGTTAGATGAATAAATAATCAACTTTAAGGATAATGGAAAATCTAAAATAATTCAAACCATTTTCAAACCCTTTTCTGTTATTTAGACAGTATCATTAAGCTTTTATGGTCCTATCTGAGTGTTGGAAGAGAGAGTGGATTAAACACCAAGTCAGCAAAACTTCTGACTGAAACCTGTCTGTCCCTCAAGGACTCTGCTTCTGGACCTTCTCCGGCGGGTCTTTTCCTCCTCTCACCTGTGAATCACTGGGCATAACTATGGGAGAACTTGATTTCTATCCTTGTTGTGTTTTTTCAGACCTTTCTTCCTGCTTCTTTCCTAAAACCCTGATTCCCAGAAGCTCACTCTTCAGGCTGGGTCACCTGCTGCATCTTGTTGTGGTCACTGTGAGCTTCCAGACCCTCCCTCATTCCTCAGCTCTGTGGGCACTGGCTTCACAGGTGTCGTCCTCAGCATTTCATCTGTCAGAAGGCCATGGGGTCTCAGGAGCCATGTGCATGACCCTTTAAGTAACCTGACCTCACCTCCCCACCTCTCCTGCTCTTGCCCATCACCATGTTTCAGCTACTGATTCCCAGTATCATTTTCTAGACTTTATTATATATATAACTGCACCCTCTTCAAAATCTCAATTTTAAGCAATCCACTTTTCAACTGTCAACCTCCTCTGTTTCCTGTTACTTTCTTTAACATGTCGGTGTCAGTCTTTTTCGACTATACTTTGGCCTCCAGCCTTTTGACCCTGGCACCTTCCGTTGTCCCTCCCCATCTTATATCCTTACCTTCTTCCTTTTGCTTGGATTCCCTGGTCCAGCAGGACATTGACACCCAAAGACCCCTGCCTTTCTCTTTGTCAACCTTCTTGACAAAACCCCAGCCTTGCTAAGTCCAGCTTTCCTTCTGCCTCAGGCTCCCACCCGAGCAGGGGAATTTGCCCAAAAAGAGCCCTGGACCACACTGAGGGGGCCTACTTGCCATTCATGACCCTAAACTTCACGTGCACCCTCAGTGCTGCTGGCAGTTGTACTCAATCCCCTTGCCACTATTTTCTCACTCTCCTGTCTGCAGAAGACCATTTTACCCCTTTCTCTCAGACTCTACCCTGACCTTCGGTTTTTTTTTCACTGAGGAAGTAGAAGCCATCAGAGGGGAATTCCACTGCATCTGTGCCCCCAGACCCTGTCATTTCCCCCACATCTGGACCGCATGAACCACTTTCCTCTTCTTGATAGTCACGGGCCACCCCTGCCTTTGTGCCCACTCAACTGTGAGGGAAACTGTCCTAGTGCTCGGTTTTGTTTTTTCTTGCATCGTCAGCTTTCCTCTCTGGTGGGTCACCCCCATCAGCATCTCGTTATTTCTACCATTTTTTAAAGTGAAGCCCTCCCTCCACCCCACATGGCCCTCTCCTCCACTTCTGCCTCATTCACCTTTCCCCTGTGCAGCATAACTTCTCACATGAGTAGTCTGTACCTCAGCCTCCCCAGTATTGCTCTATTGAGACTGCTCTTGTCAAGGCCACCATGACCTCACCTGCCATATCACATGGCCCTGCTCAGCCCTCGTCCAGTTGTCCCGTGAGCAGCTTTAAGGAGTGCCAGCTTTGCCTGGTTTCTGGGAGCTCGTCTTCCATCCTCTCACATCACTGGCTACTCCTCCCCAGCCTCCTCTGCTGCACCCTCCTGTGTTCCTGAGCTCCGGCCCCCGGGGGCCCAGGCTCAGGCCTCTGCTCTGTGACTCGCACCCCTAGGCTCTCCTCCTGTGTGCGTGCCCGTTTGCTTGTGAGCTGGGGATTGGGGAGTTAGCAGGATTTTATCCTGGAAGCCTTTATCCCCCTGGACTTTTATTGGAGATTCTTTCTCAAATGCCTTTTGTGTTCTTAGTACAGTGTAGGAAATGAAGGCCTCTTGTTGAGGAATCTTGCAGTACCTTTCACAGCTCTGGTTATGAACATCAGATACCAACAGGTGCAGTGTTGTTACTGTGAAAGGAATAGAAGATTAAATGAATGGGTACAGATACAAACCCTTTTTAAATGAATCCCTTCACTGTTAGCTTGCTCGGCTCAACTCATAAAGTGAGAGCAGTAACAGTTCTGGTTATTTGGAGGTTCTGGTTAGTTGATTATAATGAATCAGAATTTAGATTCCTTAGATTAGGTAAATAGTCTTAATTAAATATGAGCTATGACCACTAACTTAATTTTTTACTTATATTTTGTTTTGAATTGACTATCTTAAATATTTTTTTAAACCAGTTTTTTTCTTCTAATTACTCTGAGAGGAGGGTTTTTGAGCAGCCTTAAATGTATGTGCAATAAATTCTGATTTGCAAATATCATGAAATTATTCTATTTTAAATTATTAATTGCAAAAACCACCATCTTTGTATTTTCCCAACTCAATTATATTTTGAAAGAGCCAAAAAAAATTTTTTTTGTTGTTTTTGTTTTTTTGGAGACAAAAGTCTCACTCTCGCTCAGGCTAGAGTGCAGTGGTGCGATCTTGGCTCACTGCAACCTCTGCCTCCTAAGTTCAAGCGATTCTCGTGCCTCAACCTCCCAAGTAGCTGGCACTACAGGCACGAGCCACCACCCCCGGCTAATTGTTTGCTTTTTTTGGTAGAGACCGGGTTTCACCACGTTGGCCAGTTTGGTCTCGAACTCCTGAGCTCAAGTAATGTGCGTACCTTGGCCTCCCAAGATGCTAGGATTACAGGCATGAGCCACTGCGCCTCGCCCAAAAATGTTATTTTAACTCTTTCAGTTTAAAGAATGAAAATGAAATTCTGTTAGCACTCCTGTTCTGGTTAAGAGCTGGTGATCAGAAAGGAGGTCATGGACTTCCATCTCCTCATGTCCTGCTCTTCCTCTGCCCAAGTCATGAGACAAGTGAATTATCTCTGAAAAGACAGACCTCAGGAAGAATTAAGTTAGACTTCTCAGTGGCACTTAGAAGTTGGCATTTACCTTCCTAGATTTCATCAACCTACTCTTCCATTCTATAGAAACAGTACCTGAATTATATTCATTCTGTTGCTTGAATTTCAGCAGCAAAATCCTCTGGCACCTTTGTGGCCTCCAAATATTGCTTCAAAGGCATCAGTATAGCTTCAGGTCCTAGAGAAAGAGACCCTTTGTTCCTGGGCCTGTTTCCTAAAACAAAGTACCTCAGAGCCGGGAACAGACTGATGTGATTAGATAGTGACTTCCTGGTATTGGAAATGGTGCCAGTTACTGTATTCAGGTGCATTTTACTCACCCATGCTTTTTCTTCTTTCTCTGTTTCCTCTTCCTGATTCCAGGCCTCGTTTAGGAACAGTCATGCACCGGGTGATCGGACTGGGGCTTCTATACTTAATCTTTGCAGCTGTTGAAGGCGTGATGAGAGTCATTGGGGTAAAAACTACATTATTCTACCACCCCTTTTTGTTATTGCTGTGAAATGTGGTTTTACTTTGTATCTCCTGAGATGAATTTTTAGATAGAAACTTGTGAAAAAGGCCCAATTTGAACTTTTCTTCTATGGGATGTTTCCCTTTTAAAATACTTCCTGAAAGGCAAAGGCTAGACAGAGTGCTTCTTAAAATGATATGACTGATTGCGAAGGCACCGCTTGATATCATCCCAGGTATCAGTCCCATCCCAGAAAGGTTCATGGTTGTTCTTCATAGAGAACATTTGTCTTTATCATTATGCAGCTGGTATACCTTAATATCATTCTTAACCCTGGATTTTAAAATGTATCAAGTGAACAGAAAGTTAATTACACCCTTCAGGTATACATACAGTACATTCCATCACTCTTTTAAGTCTCATTTGTTTATTCATTTTCTCTGACTCTTGGGGACTAGCTATTTTGAGGATTCAGTAGACCCCACCATTGGAAAAGCCTAGAGGAAGTGATGTTCAAGGGGAAGATGACTCTGGATGTGGGCAGCAGCACTTTATTCTCTAGAGAAGTATCAGTATTTATGTCTGCAAAGACCCCTAGATTTCTAGCTTCAGTTTTTTTACTTTTATTTTGTGCGGTTTTTTGTTTGGTTGTCTCATTGGTTGATTGGTTGGTTGGTTGGTTGGTTGGTTGGTTGGTTGGTTGGTTGGTTTTGGAGACAGGGTCTTGCTCTGTTGCCTAGGCTGGGGTGCAGTGGTGCAGTGGCGCAGTGGCATGATCATGGCTCACTGCAGCCTCCATCTCCTAGACTTAAGCAGTCCTCCCACCTCAGCCTCCCGAGTAGCTGGGACTACAGGTGCAGGCCACCACACCAGACTAATTTTTGTATTTTTTGTAGAGACAGGGTCTCACTATGTTGCCCAAGCTGGTCTTGAGTTCCTGGCTGGCCTCAAGTGATCCTCTTACCTCAGCCTCCCTAAGTATTGGGATTACAGATATGAGCTACCACTCATGGTTGCTTCAGTTTTTTGAATAAATGGTTGAGGATTGAGTGATTAAGAAGCTTATTATATCTTACCTAATCCAAAGACCTTTGTCATTTTACCTAAAATGTCTTTGGATTAGCTGTATAAATCAGATCATAAATATTTATCCAATAGTGCTAAAAAGCCTCATTCTTCTCCCTGTTGTCTTTGATACACCTGCATTCTGTGTTAGATGCTCTTTTAGTCTTTGAGTATATTTATTTCCACGTTTGTATGATCATGAAGAACTCTGCATTCATATAATAATAATAATAAATACTTGCCAGAAGGAAATAGAAAAGATAAATATCCCACATGTAAATACACCATATATATTGTATTCCTTTAAAATTGTACATAGCTTTGTGGCACACGCCTGTAATCCTAGCTACTTGGGAGGCTGAGGCAGGAGAATGGCTTGAACCTGGGAGGCAGAGGTTGCAGTGAGCTGAGATTGCGCCATTGCACTCCAGCCTGGGCAACAAGAGCAAAACTCCATCTCAAAAAAAAAAAAAAAATTTTACATAGCCAACATCTTAGATAGTGACTTTTAAAGGTGACTAGTCAGAGTAAATGTCTAACATGGATCCCCCCCTTCACTTTTTCTGTGTCCCTTCACAACACAGTCAGGAAAGATCGGGAGTTCGTTTCATTAATAGCCCTGGCTGTCGGTTTGGTATGGAGGAGAGAGATTGAAATGGCTGGTGTTAGTGAGGTTGGGGACACGATGCTTTTTATTTGCCATTACATAATACAGTTTTATGTTGCTATCATCACATAAATTAGCACTTGTTGCTATCAAAAACAGGTCATTTCCATGTGCTTAAACACAATCCTCTTAGGAAATTAAATCTTTTATGTGGCTTTGTAAAGTAATGAGATAAGCTAAATTATTTTTCTTCATCAAATGATAATTGCTATAGTGCAATGAAAGTGTTACATTCAGGTTTCTTCCCTTATTTTTATCTTTCAGGGTTCTAACCATTTAGCTGTTGTTCTTGATGACATTATTTTAGCAGTTATTGACTCCATTTTTGTGTGGTTCATATCCTTTACTGTGTCCTTCAAAATAGTTTGTTGTATCATGAAAATCAGATTACATGTAATTTGTAATAACAATAGAAAGAAATACAGTTATGCATTTTTGTTACCTTAATACGAGGGTTCACTTGAAGGTGAAAAAGTAGCAACTACCCAAACAAGGAATATCTTTATTTTTTCTATGTAGTTTAGCAAACAGTTAGTGCTCATTCTCAGTATGTGCCCCATACTGACGAGGCATGGGTGAAAAAGATGTCCCTAAATTTAAGGGATTCACAGTCTTGTAGGGGAGACAGATACATAACTGGCATCAGTATAGCAGTAGTAGTTGCCATCTTAGAGAGGTGCTGTGCCAACAGGGGAAGAGAGAAGTTAATGCTGGCATAAAAATCAGGAAAGACTTCACAGAGATGGCAACATTTAAATTGAGACTGGGAAGACAAGTAGGGGTTTACTATTAATAAGGAGGTAATTAGGGAAGAGGTATTCTAGGAAGAACGGAGGGGAGCAAATGGTTGAAGCAGGAAAACAGAGGGGGACAGTGGCAGAATGTCCAGGGAAGCCTGCCTCTGGGTGGACATGCATGGGAGAGCCTTGGCAGGCGGTTCAGGGAAGGGTGGCAGGGCATGCTCAAGAGCTGAGTGCCTTCCAGAGGCAGGGGCTGGAGAGGAATTGAAGCTGCACAGGTGAGTAATGTGATGAAACCTGTGTCAGTGAGAACTCTGGTGACAGAAGAAGATGACGTGGGAAAGGAGAGTCTAGAGGCAGGAAGGTGAGTCAGTATTCCTTTGCCTTTGCAGTGGTCGAAAGAAGAGATGGTGAGGGTCAGAAGTAGGGTAGGGGATATGGAAAGAAGAACCCACGTGATAGACTTGCTAGAAATGGGTGGAAGAGAGCAGGTTCAGAGAAGGTTTAGGGGCTGCAGCCATATTGCAGGAGAAGTTTTAGAGGCAGTAAGTACTGGATCCTCGAGGGTCTTCTCTGATTCGATGACTCAAGTTGAGTCTGGGGAATCCCATTGCTTTTTCTTCATGGGGGCACTTGTGGAAATGGGAGGAATTCTAGAGAAAATGTGACTGACCAGAGTGGAATGCAGGGTTATGCATATCCCAGAACATTCTTTGGATCTGTTTCTATTATATTTATGTCCTCTTTGAAGTGCTTTCCTGTTAGATAGGTTTCATTTTTTGCCAAGTTCTTTGTTTCCTCTGTTTTTGATACTTATGTCTTTTAGCTTTTTGACATTAATTTTTTTAAAAAATTGTTTTTCTTGTATCTTTTTCCATTTTCTCATCTATGTGTCTCATAGGAAGGGCCAGAGGGCTTGGATCTCATCACTATGCCCTAGAAGGAAGGTCTCCCATTTTTCAGGTGTGCTGGCAAATGTAGCACTCCTCATAGGCTTTTCTGAGCCACTTGTGGGTTGTTTTCTAAGCTGGGTCTACCTATTCTTTAAATTCCCTGTTTGTGAATTCTCAATATGCTTCCAACTTAAAAAGCCTATGAAGAGTGCTACAAACCTAAAATTTGTAATTCATTGTCCTCACTCGTCAAAGCAGTGATTCTTAACCTTGTTTGGGTACTAGGATCAGACATGCCTTGGAAAATCTGCTAACAGCTGTGGAGCCTCTCTTCACAGAACACAGACACAAGGAGCTTTGCATGACAGGGCAGTTAAAGACTTACCAAATTATATCTGTGGACATCTTAGGAGTCTGAGGAGCCTACTTAGGGAATAATAACTGATCTAAAGAGTTGTTTCTGACTGAACTTGTTTAAAAAAGCATATTCTACTTTGTTCAGAGCTGCTAGTTCAGAATCCAAGTTTGTTGAATAAAATTATAGTTAAATAAATCTGATTTTCTCAGAGAGTAATATAAATATCTTCCTCTGGTGTCATTTTCATATTTTCTATGTTAAAAAAAATTAAAGACATTCATTTGCTAAAAATGTGAAGTCTGTTCCTCAGTTCTACATGTGAGCAGTGTTCCAGTGATAAGAGAGAGTACTCACCACAAAGTCTGTAGGTCCCACAGGACTGCTTGTTAAGGGGACTCTCCTGCCTTGAGAATGGGCAGGAGGTATAAACATACCTTGCACTGGGATAGGCAGAATGACAGTGGAGATGAACCTGCCTGTTGACCTCAGATTATCTTTAGATCTTACTGTCTTATTTTCTGTCATTGTGTGTTTAGAAAATGAGCTGATTATATCTATTCAATTTAGAATTGTCTTGTTTCTAAAACCGTGTATGCTTGGAACTTTAACAAGTTAGGGAGTATGGTCCTTCATTCAATTAATTAAGCTGCAGACTGCGTTTTTTAAAAAATAAACTATCTTTTCTGGTAATTTATAGATATTTATTTCAAAGATTTCTTGTTCTTTTTTTTTTTTTTTTTTTAAGACGGAGTCTCGCTCTGTCACCAGGTTGGAGTGCAGTGGCGTGATCTCAACTCACTGCAACCTCCACCTCCCAGGTTCAAGCGATTCTCCTGCCTCAGCCTCCCGAGTAGCTGGGACTACAGGCGTGCGCCACCACGCCCAGCTAATTTTTTGTATTTTTAGTAGATACGGGGTTTCACCATGTTGGCCAGGACGGTCTTGATCTCTTTATCTTGTGATCTTCCTGCCTCAGCCTCCCAAAGTGCTGGGATTACAGGCGTGAGCCACCGTGCCCTGCCGATTTCTTGTTCTTAACCATCCACAAGGTAGTTCATTGGGAAAAACACTTAGTAATGCAGCTTGGCAGAAAATTCCAAAGAAAAGCAGCTCTGATGGCTCTAATCCATCTGGATTTGAGTGGGGGTAATTTATTACCTTTATGAACAGCATTGACTTTCACACATTCCAGTATCTGATTAGTCAGATTGGGGTAGGAAAATAAGGAAAACAGATGAAAGACTTAGTTTGCTTAATTATGAATATTTATAATGAAAATGTTTCAGGGAATAGTCAAAGAAATCTAAAATGTGAAAGATCTTTAGTGTTTCATGGTGAGACAAAGGAAGTCTAGTGTCTATTTCTGCATGAGCCTGAATTTGTGAAGTTTGCTGTCAGATTGCTCTTTGGTAATTTTTATCACTAAAATGAAATGTCTGCTTTTTCTATACAGAAAGATAGCAGATTTCCTAAATGATATAAATGACAAGAAAAAAAAAAGCAGAACTAAATACGTATACAATTGAGTGCTTTGGAAAATGACCCTGCTTCCTTTGATTTTGATGAACTTAATATAACCAATCCTCTAAGAATCTAATTCTAAAGTCATAGGAAAAAAAATAGGCTGAAAAATTCAAAAGCCATAGCCTTAGCCTTTCTCCTGTGGCCCTTCCTCCCCTTTTTTTCTTCTTGTTTCTCTTTCGTTTCTCTTTTCTTTTCTTTCTTTCTTTTTTTTTTTTTTTTTTTTTTTTTTTTTTTTTTTTTTTTTTTTTTTGCTGTTTTGCTGCAGGTGAGTGATTCTGATCTTGTTCTTCTGGCCAGCCTCCCCCTCTCTCTCCTTGACTCTGGCTTGTGCTGGTGGATATCCTTTTCCTACCACAGCAGCGCGCTCTCACTTCAGGATCAGAAGGGCTATTTGTTTTCATGACTACTTTCCTTCCATGGCAGGAATGATTTACACTTTACCTAAATTTAACAGTGTCTTGGTAAGTGGAGGCTTAGGCAATTTCAAATTTACTTTTTATTCCTTAGCTTAAAAACATTTTTTTAAAATTATTAAACCAGACCAGATTTTTTTTTAATCCTAGAAATTTGGTTTTAGTCAAGAATTGTTAAAAGTATATGTTTTGATGTATTTAAGGAATAAAGTATATTTGCATTTTTAAAGTTCTCATAGTAACCTGAATTGGTTGTATTGTATTGCTTTAGAAATTGATCTTTTGTAATTTGTTGGTCATTTAGAAGATTAAAAAGCAGTTTTGTACTAAAGTACTAAAGTAGCTTTAGTACTAAAATGAAGTTTTTTATTAATGACATATTTAAAATTTTTAAAACTTGCCACATCCATTCTGTTGCTCAGCTCTGTTATTTTTAGTGTTTGGTTCATAAACAAAGCTTGTTGGTCTGCTCCAGAGGAAGGAATTCTCATTTAAGAGCAGAGAGAGCTGGCTTGAATTCTGCTTCACTGCTGAGGAGTCAGTGGAAAAGTCTTCTTTTTGCTTCTTCATCCTTGGCAATGTTGAACTTCACCTGAGCCCTGTGCTCCTGGAAAACAGCCAAGATTAAGACACCCCCCTCCAAACCCCCTTCCCTATTTGTGTTCCGAGAAAAGACTTACCTCAGAGAACCCCCTTCCCCACTGGACTTAGGTAAGACTCCTGGAGGCCCGCTTGTCTACCTATGACAAGGCCGGGCACAGACCCTCTGAGTTCCCATTCCTTGCATCACGAATAATTAGATGAACTCTTTATATCCACTGATCGATCTGAACAAAACACTGAACCAAACTGTAAGTATTCTTCTTCCTCCAGGCCATAAACGTTGACTCACCGTCAGCCTGAGCCAATACACAGCCCTCCCGAGAATCTGCAGACCTCAGGAAAAGACATTCCCTCATCGGTGTGTCTAGTCCCACCACTCACTCCCCACACCTACTGCTTTTTATCCTTGTTTGCTGTGCTCTATAAAAGAAAAACCCTTTTCTGCCTGACCTCTGAGACTCTTGCAGATCTTATAGTCGTAGTATTCTTCCTATTGCAGTAATCCTCCCCCGTTGCAGTCATCTTTCAAATAAAGCCCTTAACTAAGTCCAGATTTGTTTCATCTGATGAATTTTAGTTTTAAAATTTATAAAATGGAATTGGTAGATGACCTAACCTCTTAATTATGGTTATTCAAATAATAAAATGAGAATAGACTGGAAAGATCAAAATAAGATAGAAATAGGGCCAGAAAAGCACAAGCCAAATGGCATGTCACAATGTGATCTGTAAAGAGTGTCTCACTTAGAGGGGTTTTAGTGCGTGCACTGCTCTATCCCGTGTTGCGGGTGCATGGCATTGGTGGAACGCATCATGGGTCTTCCGTGTTTTTTCCTTGGAGTTTGTTTTCTTAGTTCAGACAATGGTAAATTGTAAAAGAAAATCTGTGATAAAGTATAATGATTGTACAATATTGGCCAAGATAACATTTTCTGTGTTTTCATTAGCTTCAAATTTTAGGAACTGTATTTAGCAGTACTGACTTTGGGAACATAGTAGAAGATTCTGTTTTTTTTTTTTAACCTCTTATTATTACTTGGAATGTTTTTCCTTAACTTTTTTCACATTTTTATTAGTTTGGCACAAACTATGAAGACCCTAAGGCTAAGAAAGAACACTGTGAAATTTTCATTATATAGACATTTTAAAAATACTCTGATCTTTGCTGTGCTGGGTAAGCTATTTAATTTTTCTTACAGTAAATTATCTTAGTATTGTTATATTCCTTCAAAGGTGACTTTTTGTGTGTTTCAGCTTCTATAGTGTTTATGGGGTGGACAACTAAGACATTTAGAATTGCAAAATGCCAATCAGTAAGTATAACCTTCCTATTTAAACAGTTATTTTTATTTATACTATTTTGTAGAATTTTGAACAATTTAGTTTATGCTTGCAAATAGAGGTGATTTTAATGGAGATTTATGTTTTTACTTTGAACTATTTTTTACAGAGTTATAAAAACTTTTGGCTGGGCGCGGTGGCTCACGCCTGTAATCTCAGCACTCTGGGAGGCCGAGGCAGGCGGATCACGAGGTCAGGAGATCGAGACCATCCTGGCTAACACAGTGAAACCCCGTCTCTACTAAAAATACAAAAAATTAGCGGGTGCCTGTAGTCCCAGCTACTGGGGAGGCTGAGGCAGGAGACTGGTGTGAACCCAGGAGGTGGAGCTTGCAGTGAGCTGAGATTGCACCACTGCACCCCAGCCTGGGCAACACAGCGAGACTCCATCTCAAAAAAAAAAAAAAAAAAAAAAAAACTTTTAACTCCTCCAAGTGAGTCTGAAAAAGTTCCTCCGAAATCTCCTTTTCCTATTATGCCCTTTTGTCAAGTTTTTTTTATATATTTTGAAAATAAATTCTCTTCCTGTATACCCTAACAGGAAATCCTTTTCTTCCTGCACACCATGAAATTGAGTGGTTTGTATCTAGATGGACTAGAAATCTTAAGACTGGCATGTTTCTAGGATCGTGTGTTCAGTATGGGCATTCGAGCGATGTTTTCTTTTTTTTTTTTGAGATGAGTCTCACTCCGTCAGCCAGTCTGGAGCGCAGTGGTGCGATCTCAGCTCACTGCAACCTCCGCCTCCCGGGTTGAAGCAATTATCTGCCTCAGCCTCCCGAGTCGAGTGATGTTTTCTATGGGTTCTCATGTTGGAAGAAGATATATTCTTAGACTTAGAATATGAAAGGTCCTCTTTTGGGGATTTGTTGAGATTTGGAGCTAGTCTCTAGTGCCATATAAATAATCACAAAAAGCCCTCTGAAAATCCAGAGCTTTTGCTGCCTTAGAGACAATTTAATAAAAGAAGAGGCTGGGCCTTCTGACCTTAGTATTTGCCATTTGAAATCCTAAGTATATGTTTTGCATCTTTTGATTTTGAAATCTTTCTGTTAACCCAAAAATTTTATGGCAGGGAATATTTGTAACATTAAACAACCCTTTAGAAACATTTTGAACAATATAGGTTTCTTGAAAAAATATGTGCTTGTTTATTTGGAAGACTTACTGGTTGGAAAGATTTCATTAGTACTTGTCATTGTACATTATTTGAATGGGAAACCTATATGCTTATCAGAAAATTAACGTTTCATGCTTGAATTGTCCTTCTTTTAGGATTGGATGGAACGCTGGGTTGACGATGCATTTTGGAGCTTCCTTTTTTCGCTTATCCTTATTGTAATCATGTTTTTGTGGAGACCATCAGCAAACAATCAGAGGTACCTAACATAGGAAATTTCAAGTCGTCAAGGATTTGTTGATCACCTTCTATAGTGTCAAGAACACGTTTATAGAAACCAGGAGAATAGTCGTTGCTTTTAAGGAGTATACAGTCAAGTAGGGAGATAAGCAAAACAAATGCAAGACAGTGAAAAAAGAGATGTATAGACTAGTCCAGGGGAAGATGGAAGAGGGTTGAGGAAGACTTCTTGAAGCGACAGCGCTTACATTACACCTTGAGGAAAGGAATAGGATAGCGAATGACTGAACTGGGAAAGAGTGTCCATTTTCTGGGGTGGTGGGAAAGGCATGAGATACTTTGGAGGCCAGTGAGACATGCAGTTTGGTTAATACCACATACTCATATTGGAGGGAGATCAAGCTGGAAGGGAGAAGTACGGCCAAAATGACAAAAGACTTGAGTGTCAAGTTCAGAAAGTTGTACTTGAGACTGCATGTGATAGGAAGCCTCAGCTTCCTTGCTTTATCCCTTTGCCCCAAGGAGAGAACTTAAGTTCTTGTCCATCCTTTAGGAAAAAATGAAAAAGTATGTACAGATTCAACATCCCAAATCCCAATCCAGAATGCTACAAAATCCAAAACTTTTTGAGCACGGACAGGATACTCAAAGGAAGTGCTCATTGGAACATTTTGAATTTCAGATTTTCAGATTTGGGATGCTCAACTGGTAGGGATAATGCAAATGTTCCAAAATCTGAAAACATCCAAAACTCAAAACACTTCTGGTCTCAGGCATTTTGCATAAAGGCTACTCAACCTGTATCAGTGTGTTTCTCCTGTCCTTTTTAAAATTATACAATAATACATATATATATATATATATATATATATATATACACACACACACGCATATACATACACATACTGTTCTGTACCTTCCTGTTTAAGGTCACGCCTATAATCCTAGCACTTTGGGAGGCCAAGGTGGGTGTATGACTTGAGCCCAGGAATTCGAGACCAGCCTGGGCAACAAGGCAAAACCCTCTTTCTACAAAAAAATACAAAAATTAGCCAGGTGCGGTGGTATGTGCCTGTACTCCCAGCTACTTGGGAGGCTGAGGTGGGAGGATGGCCTGAGCCCAGGAGGTGGAGGTTGCAGTGAACTGAGATCATGCCGCTGCTACTGCACTCCAGCTTGGGCAACAGAGCCAGACCCTGTCTCAAAAAAAAAAAAAAAAAACCACAAAAAAAACAACTATCTTTCCATATCAGCATGTATAGATCTACCACATTACTTTTAATGGTTTTATGGCATTTTATAACATGAATGTAATATAATTTATATAAGCAGTCCCTGGTTATTAGACATTTTGTTTAAAAAATAGATTTTTGCTATTATCAATAATGTTTTCAGAATGCTGTTGGACATCATCTTGGCAAACTTTTGTTAGTGTAATGTAAGGTAAATGAATTTTTACTTTAATGGCTATTGCCAAATGACCCTCCAGAAAGGTTGTCTTGATTCACACTCCATCAGCAGTATTTTGAGCTTATCACCCTAGGAAATGTGGCCCATTCAGTGGGCTTTATTTTCACCAATCAGATTAGCAACTTTTCTTTTTTTAGGAAATAAACTGACAAGTGGTGGGCAGAGAGGTAAACCTGACATGGAGAAAGAAACAGCAGAAAGTTCCCTTCCCTCAACATTAAATATTGCAAAATTGCTTTGCAGAAAGATTTTACCCACTTATGCTTTTACAAACAGGGTTTGAGAGCTCCAGTTTCACAATTTCTTAATGATAATTTTAGCTAATTTGAAAGTAAAATAATTACGTTTTCATTATTTTAAAGTATAAGAAATTTTTTAAATGTAGATTTTTTATACAATGGCTTTTAGATATAAACTGAAAATTGAACAAGTTTAAACATACTAGTAAAACTACTCCTTGTTTTTGCTATAGATATGCCTTCATGCCCTTAATAGATGATTCTGATGATGAAATTGAGGAATTCATGGTAACTTCTGAAAATTTAAGTGAGTAATATGTTTTCTTTTTAAATGACCATTGTACATATTGCAACAGAAATATTGTACCTTTACCCGTGATGCAAGGTCACATATATTGTTTTTTTCTATAAAATATTTTAAAAACTTTTATCTTCAGAAACCTTATTTTGGTAGACAGTAACAGAAAGGTCAGTGATGAAATTTTCAAGACTATTGTAGTTTGAGCTTGTTACTCATTTCGTAAAATGTTGAAATAGTTACACTGTTTTTCATAAGAATGGTTTGATGTATATTGTGCTTAGCTGCTAAATAATGTTCATCTTGATGATTGCTAAGTTTCTTTGAGTTGCATCTTCTTGCTCTTTTTAAAGTATGCACACCTGTAATTTCTGATCATGCTGAAAGCATTTCTACTTAAAGTTTTAATGATATTTTCATTCTTTCTGTTATTTTCTACATAGCATTTTATCATTTTATTAATTTTATTGTAATCTAATTAAGCATCTGTTAAGGCAACATCAATAAGTAACTCAGATGTTGAGGGTAATTTTATCTTTGTTTCATTTTTTTGTCCTCTTACTTTTGCTTCTCTTAGTAACATTCTTTTTCACCTTCTGTTTTGGTTCTCTAATACATCGATGAAATAGAAAACAGGAAAACAAATAGAAAAAAATCATCAAATCTAAAAGTAATTACTTTGAAAAGCTTAGTGAAAAGTGGCTTAACCTCTAGCTACTCTAAACCAGAAATAAAGAAAAAACTACAGTGGACCCTTGAACAATGTAGGGTTAGGGGCACCAAACTCCTGAGCAGTTGAAAATCTACTTATAACTTTTGACTCTCCCAGAACTTAACTACTGATAGTCAACTGTTGACCAGAAGCCTTACTGTTAACATAGTTATCACATATTTTGTGTATTATATGTATTTTATACTGTATTCTTACAATAAAGTAGGTGGAGCAAAGAAAATGTTATTAGGTAGAAGGAAAGGGGAGGCAGCAAAGGCAGACATATGTGGTGTAACTTTTATTGAAAAAAACTTGCATGTAGGTGGACCTGAGCAGTTCAAACCCATATTATTCAAAAGTCAACTGTAGTACAGTAAGACAAACTTCTAATGTTGGAAATGATAGAGAGGACATTACTATGGTAAAAAAGGTAAATAAGGAAATATTATGAACAATTTTATGGTAACAAATTGGGCAATCTGGATGAGGCAGACAAGTTCATTGAAAAATACAAGTTCATTGAAAAATACATATAACAACCCAATTTTAATTCTAACCCTGTGCCACTAAGTCTGAATAGCTCTGATCTATTAGAAATTTAAAAAAAATTTTTTTAATTTAAAATCTTCCTATGAAGTACCAGGCCCAAATGATTCACTAGTGAGTCCTTTCAAATACTTAAGGAAGAAATGGAAGAAATATTCTAATTTTACACAAAATCTTTAGAAGGTAAAGGAGGTGGGAGTACTTAAAAGGCCAGTACAATTGAAATGCCAAAGTCTAACAGACGTTACAAGAAAAAATTATAGACCAAAAATTATAGACCACTTATAGACCAATATATCATTAATGAGTGGGCATACAAAAATTCTTTAAAAATATTAGCAAATAAAATCTAGCAAAATATAGAAAGACAATCATGATCAAGTGGACTTTATCCCAGGGTTGCAAGGCTGTTTTAACATTCCGAAAATCACTCAGTATAATTCATCATATTAAAATAGTACAAATAAGGCTGGGTGCGGTGGCTCATGCCTGTAATCCCAGCAGTTTGGGAGACTGAGGCAGGCAGATCACCTGAGGTCAGGAGTTCGAGACCAGCCTGGCCAACATGGCAAAACCCCCTCTTGACTAAAAATACAAAAATTAGCCGGGCGTGGTGGTGTGTGCCTGTAATCCCAGCTACTTAGGAGGCAGAGACGGGAGAATTGCATGAACCCAGGAGGCAGAGTTTGCAGTGAGCCAAGCCACTGCACGCCAGCCTGGACAACAGAACAAGACTCTGTCTCAAAAACATAAATAAATAAATAAAAATAAAAATAAAATAGTACAAATAAAAGAAGAAAGAAGAAAAAAATGACAAAAGTATCTCAGTGGGTACAAATAACAAAAGCCTCAGCAAACTAATTCTAAAATGGTATGAAAACACTCCACAGTTAAAATTCTATTTAATGGTGAAATAGTGAACACTTTCTTCTCAAGATTAGGGATAAAGTGCAAGGGTATGTACATACCACTTTGATTCTGCATTGTATGGGAGGTCCTACCTAGTGCAGAGAAGCAAAACAAAACTCCAAAGAATGTGAAAGAAAGAACATGTGGAAAGGAGGAAGTAAAACTGTGTTTATTCGCAGGCAACATGGTTATGTATGGAAAAATCCCAAGGAGTCTAAAGAAAAGAAAAAGTACGGTAGAACTAAGTGACTGTGACAGTCATAGGGTATATGTCCAATGTACAGAAGTCAGTTGTTTTTCTACATATTAACTGAAAACAATTGAAGGTGAAGTTTAAAATGTTATTTACCATACCTTCAAAAATAAAATACTTGGAATAAGTTTAATGAAAAATACGTAAAACCTCTGCAATGAAGACTATAAAACAATGCAGAGATAAATTTTAGAATAAGTAAATGTAGAGATAGAACCTGTGTCTGAATTGGAACTCTCAGTATTAAGCTCTCAGTTTCCCAGTCTGATAAATAGATTCAGTGCAATCCCAATTATAATTCTAGCTGACTTAAAAAAAAATACAGTGGTTAAGTTGATTCTAAAATGTATATGGAAAAGCAAAAGACGTAGAAGATCCTTAACATTCTTGTAGTTACAACATGGATGAACCTTGAAAACATTATGTTAAGTGAAAGAAGCCAATCACAAAAGACCACATACTGTATAATTTTGTTTATATGAAAGGTCCAGAACAGACAAGTCCGTAGAGGCGGAAAGTAGATCAGTGCTTGTCACAGGTTAGAGGAGGGGGAAAGTAAGGACTGACTGCTAATGGGTTTGGGGTTTCTTTGTGGGGTGATGAAAATTTTCCAAAATTGGAGAGTGGTGAATATCTCAAATCTCTGTGAATATCTCAAAATCTAACTGTACTTCAATATGGTATGCGAATTATCTCTCAATAAAATAAAATTAGTGGATTTATACTGATTTCAAGACATAATTATTTCAGATTACAGCAATCCAGACAGTGTGGTATTGGCATAAGGATAGAGAAATCCATCAAGGTAGTAAAATAGAGTCCAGGAATAAACCCATGCATGTGTGGTCAGTTGATTTTTGACAAAGGCACCAAGGCTTACATGAAGAGAGGATAGTCTTTTTAATAAATGGTACTGGAACAACTGGATAAATGTGTAGGAAAAAAAATCATTAGACTTTTGTTGCACATCTCACAATCAATTCAAGATGGATCACAGACCTAATGGAAAAGCTTCAACTGTTATTCTTCTAGAAGAAAAAAGGAAAATATTTTAATGACGTTGGATGGGGTAATTTCTTAGGACATGAAAAACAGTAACCATTAAATTAAAAAATGAGACTTTATCAAAATTTAAAATCTATGCTCATCAGGAAGAATTTAAGAAAATAAGAAGGCTAGCTACAGTGGGAGATAAAATATTCTCAGTACATATATATCTGACAAAGGGCTTATATCCAGAATATAAGTAGAATTCCTGTAAATCAATAAATGATAACCTATGTTGCAAAAAATGAGCAGAAGACTAGTGTAGACACTTCAAAGAAGACATAGGAATGGCCAATAAACCCGTTAAAAGGTGCTCAATATAATCAGTCATCAGGGAAATGCAAATTAAGACCATAATGAGCTGCCACCACACATCTGCTAGAATGGTTAAAATTAAAAAGTCTGATAGATAGCATGAACTATTGGAGAGGATGTGGAACAGCTGGCTCTCTCATACAGTACTTGAAGGAATGTAGAATAGCATGACCGCTTTAGAAAGCAATGTGACAGCTTCTTACAAAGTTAAGCATATACCTACCATACAGTTCAACTGTTCCACTCTAAGGTTTACCCAGAAAAATGAAGCAGATGTCTACAGAAACACAAGAATGTTTACAGCAGCTTTATTCTTAATAGTCCAAAACTGGAAGTAACACAATTATCTACAAACAGGTGAAAAGATAAATAAATTGCCATATATCCATACAATGGAATACTTTTCAGTAATAAAAAGTAACCAACACTCTATAACATAACTTAATCTCAAAAATGTTTATCTTGCATGAAAGTGTTGCATGATTTAGATGATTATCTAAATCAGAGCAGTGGTTGCTTTTGGTGAGGTGGGGATTGACCAGAAAGGAACTTAAAGAACCTTCTGTGATAATGGAAATGTTAACTGTATTGATTGGCATGGCAGTTACTCAAGTGTATATATTTGTCAGGTTTCTTCAGACTGTACACTTAAAATTTGTAATATATATATATATACACACACACACGCTTCAGTGTTCAAAAATCACTGTATTCCCCTTCTAAGAGAAATGTTGGGGTTTTGAATGTCCCAGGAAAACATTTTTGGATTGAGGAACCTCATTTTTATTTATTACATCAGCTTATGTTATAATTGTTCTAGTTTATGGAGAAGCAATATTTGCAAATTAGTGTAATAACAAAAGTGACTACTTACTGGGCATAGATTGTGTGTCAGGCATTTTATATGTGCTAACTTGTTCAATGGTCACTAGAACTCTATGAGGTAGAAATTATTATTATCCCCAGTTTATAGTCAGAAACACTAAGTCACAGGAAGTTAATTGCCTTGCCCAAGATTCCAGTGAGGCAGACACTTAGCCTTTGCTCCACTGAAACTGCAAACATGCAGAAGAGCCTTGGTCAAATATGAAAGAAATCTTGATCTTTCCTATCTTCTTTATGCCATACGCACATTTCAAAATTTGTACATCAGGGATGTAAAGCATACCCAAAGATGTGTTTTGTTCTTGAATGTACCATGAATCCTGAAGATTTTTAAATCCATAAACTTTAAAATAATTGCAATTAAGGAAATATGTATGCATGTATACTTGTTTAAACTCTAAAACTAGGATTCAAACAAGAAACTTGAAAACCTGGTGGTTCTGACAAATAGTTTCCAAAAATCTGTGAACTTTTTTCATATATTTTTCCTACATTCCCAAATGGTAAATCCAGCATCCTGCCTAAAGTTTCCATTATTAACCCTCCATTTCTAAAAAGATATAGTATTTTTTCTTATCAGATTATTAAATTTCTAAAGGAAAATATTATTTTGTGATTTTATATATATGTTTATAATGTCTCTCGTAGCCGAAGGAATAAAATTAAGAGCCTCAAAATCAGTTTCCAATGGAACAGCTAAGCCTGCCACTTCTGAGAACTTTGTGAGTATGGTATATATTTAGTACAATCTTAGTCTTCCTTAGTCTTCACTACTTTAGAGAGCTATACGAGTGTCATATTCATTGACTCTCAGAAGAACAGTTTTTACTAAGATTTTGTTGTTGTTGTTATAAAAATTAGTGTTGCCAAGTGCCAAGTAGCAATCCTGGTTGTCCATAACTGAAATACCTTCATTGTAGATCTCACTTCTCACCTGCTGTTCCTAGGCCAGCAGCATGAGCATCATCTGGGAACTTGTTAGAGATGCAGAGTCTCAGGCCTACCCCGGACGCTCCTGAATTGGAATCTGCTTTTTGAAAAGATTCCATAGCCTGTTCATCTGCACATTCGAGATGGGAAAGCTTTGTTCCAATAAAAGCTTGTGTTAACTTTTCAGCCTATGAAAGTGATTTTTGAAGCCATTTTAAAATAACATTTGTTATCTGTTGGTAAAGAACTTTATGTGTTACCTACACGGTTACCAAAATTAACAGATTTTTTTTTTTTTTGAGGTGGGAAGCTTGAATAAAATTGTAAAACATTGGGCAGAGATGAGCTAAAAAATATTTTCTGCATGTTATTTATGCATAAAAATGTTTTTGAAGACAACAATGTAAAATGGAAATGTCTATCATATAGTTTTATACTTTCCTTATAACTATATGTGCTGTGATTAATACTATGTAAAAATTTATGTATGCATATATAAGTTCTGACACGATAGATAATATGTGAAGACATTTTTTATCTGTTAGATTTGGCAGATTCTCTAATAGATTAGACAGATGGATAAATAAACAAGATGGATAACATAGACTGGAGGGATGGATAGAAAGGATAGATGGATGGATAAAATAGATAGATAGGTAGTTAGATAAGATAGACAGACATAGACAGATAGCTATCTCAGCTGACCTGCTTTCCTTTTCTTGCCTCCTGTAGGGAGATGAGCATAAATGAGTGATACAAATAAATAGGCTTTTCTAAAGTTAGAATATTTGAGATCAGGCCCGGTGGCTAATGCCTGTAATCCCAGCACTTTGGGAGGCTGAGGCAGGCAGATCGCTTGAGCTCAGGAGTTCGAGACCAGCCTGGGCAACATGGTGAAACCCCATCTCTACTAAAATTACAAAAAGTAGGCGGATGTGGTGGCATGTGCCTGTCATCCCAGCTACTCGGGAGGCTGAAACAGGAGAATTGCTTGAACCTGGGAGGCAGAGGTTGCAGTGAGCCAAGATCACACCGCTGCACTCCAGCCTGGGCGACAGAGTCAGACTCTGTCTCAAAAAAAAAAAAAAAAAAAGAATGTTTGTATTATCATCATTTTTTTTAAAGTTATAAACTCATTATATAAGAACTAGAACAAATTAGGAGGCATAATGAGTGTGGCAAAGCAAAAATTCAATATCCTTGCTATTTTCTATCTTACAAATGAACTTTGTGTTTTTACTGTGATTTCTCAGGACAAAAAAAATAATATTTCATACATCCAACTAAAACCAAGAAGTGTAGAAATCTGAAATCTAATTTTTGCGTGTGTAAGAAAACAGTGGCATAATTTCTGTATGGCATGAGTGCCAACTTAGGACATATGTAGAAACTAAAAGAATGTCAAATATTTACATTTAAACACTTAAGTTATATATATATTCTGTTTTAAAAATTCTGCTGTCAGGTGATATTAAGCAAATGCTAAGTATAAATATTTCTACAGGATGAAGATTTGAAGTGGGTAGAAGAAAATATTCCCTCTTCATTCACAGATGTGTAAGTTATCTTCTGTTACAGTTTGATTGTAAATTTTAGGCTGTAGTTTAAAAGGGATCGTTCTCATCCTTTGTCATGTGCTTTTCAAACCTCGTACTTGCATGTACTTGGGTAAGCCCCTATCACCAGTACATGGCCCTTACAGAACTGCAAAGAAAACAAAACCCTGGCTTGTTTTGTTTTTCACGATACAGCAACCATTTTAAAACTAGTGGCCTCTAACCAACTCTAGCTTTTTCTGATCTGCCATTATCAGGATCATTTCATTTTTTATCTATTATGGAAAACGTCAAATGTATGTAAACTTTTTTTTTTTAAAGGTAACCACAGCACCATGTATTGTGAGGAGGCTTTTGGAGGAAAAACATGAGTATAGGAATCCCCTCTGGAAACTTTGAGCTATTCAGGATCCTCTTTATCTATGTTCTGTTTGACACAAGAATTCCAGATAGCTGTTTCCATAGTGAAAAATAGAATAGCCAAGTATGATAAAATTTTTTTACATATTGGTCTTTCCCTCCCTAGCCCCCATCTGGTTTCTGTTTAGATAGCTTCTGTGTACTATGATATTCCTTTTGCCTGAAGAATTGCCTTTACATTTCTTTCTTGTAGTGCAGGTATGCTGGTAGTGAATCTGTCAGATTTTTGTTTGTCTGAAAAAGTCTTTGTTTCACCTTTATTGAAGAAATTTTTGTGGGAATAGAATTCTTTGTTGACCTTTTTTTTCTTTCAACACTTAAAAGGTTGGTCACTTGAATGTCTTCTGGCTTTCATAGTTTCAGAAAGATGTCTGCTTTAGTTCTTATCTGTGTTCCTCCACATGTTATATGGGTTTTGTTTGTGTGGGTTGAGGTTTTTTTGGGTGAGAAGGGCTGGGGAATTGTCTGCCTTCAGGATTTTAACTTTATCTTTAGTTTTCGTCATTATGAATATGATAATTCTAGGTTTGTGTGGGCATATATTTTCATTTCTCTTGGCTGTATACCTAAAGTGGAATTGCTAGATCATATGGTAACTCTATGTTTAACATTTTGAGGAAGTGCCAAGCTGTTTTTCAAAGCAGCTGCATTATTTTATAATCCTATCAGCAATATATGAGGGTTCCAACTTCTCCAAACTTTTTGTTAACACTTATTATTGTCCACCTTTTTGATTTTAGCTCTTAGTGACTATGAAGTGATATGTCATCGCATTTATGAGTTACTGGAATGCAAACTGCCTTGCTGGGGACTAGTGTTAAATATATTTAACTATGGAATTCAAACTGTCTTGTTGGGGGACTAGTGTTATTTAACTAAACTGTGATAACTGAAATTAATGTATAAATAGTCTGTGCAAAGTAAGAACTGCCTATTCATTATGAAACTAACAATACACTGTTATACTTTTTTATTTTAGCAGTCAGAAAAGGAAAATATGGGTGTATATATTCTTTTATATTTCCCATGTATTTACTTTTTCTTCTTTCTTTCCTCTATATATGAGCTAAGACCTTCCTCCTATAGGTCTTTCTTTAATATTTCTTATAGGATAGGTCTGCTGACAACAAATTCTCTCAATTTTATTTATGTGAAAATGTATTTACTTTTCCTTCCTTTTTAAAGGATAGTTTTGCTGGATATAGAAATCTTGATTGACTTTTGTTTGAGCACTTCCAACATGTCTTTCCAATATCTTCTGGCTTTTGTTGTTTTTGAGGAGAAAGTAGTCATTAATTGTATTGTTCTCATGTGTGTGATGTGACATTTATCTTTTGCTGTTTTTCTGATTTTTCCTTTATATTTGGCTTTCTGCATTGTGTTTATGATATGCCTAAGTATGGTCTTTTTTTTTTTTTTTTTTTTTTGTCTATCCTCCTTGGAATTTGTTGAGCTTCTCAGATCCATGTCCCATGGTCATTTTCCAGTGCCTTCAGCTACTTTTTTTTTTTTTTTTTTTTGAGACGGAGTCTTGCTCTTTCACCCAGGGTGGAGTGCAGTGCAGTGGCGTAATCTCAGCTCACTGCAGCCTCTGCCTCCCAAGTTCCAGTGATTCTTCTGCCTCAGCCTCCTGGGTAGCTGGGATTACAGGCAGGCGCCACCACACCCAGCTAATTTTGTATTTTTAGTAGAGACGGGGTTTCACCATGTTGGCCAGGCTGGCCTCGAACTCCTGACCTCAGGTGATCCATCTGCCTCGGCCTTCCAAAGTGCTAGGATTACAGGCATGAGCCACTGTACCCGGCTAGCTACTTATTTTTGACATTTTGGTCCAGGTTTTGTCAGTGTTTTTTGTGGAAGGGATCATCTGACCTTTTCTGTCCAGCTTTACTTGCTCTCTTGTATTGCAATCACATTCTCTGTGATCCTTTTTTCCTTCTTTGTTTCATTTTCTATGTTGTTTTCCTACCACACATTAAGATTTCTGTTGAATTTATTCTCCCTTGGGTGCCTTGTACTTTTCTGCATCACTGCACTGGAATCATTTTTGTCTTTTTCTTTAATTTTTTTTCTGATTATGATTGATTCTTTGAATTTCTTCATGCTTTGTTTTTATCTACTTCTGCTCTTGGTTTTTAGATTTCTTACTGTAGAATGTTTTTAATATTGCCAAATGTTCTTTTTAAGTTATTGTATTTAATTTGGAGTATTGTGTGTTATAACTATAGTTTTCTTCTACTGTAAAATGTTTTGATTTTCATTTTCCTTCTTTTTTCTTTCCTGCACTGTTATATGGAATTGATTTTGTTTTCCCATTCTGAGAGCTTTTATGATGAAGGTTCCTGGTTTGAGTGCCTTTTTCCATCAGTGCGCATGAATTGTAGTTTCTTTTATGGATGACGTTGATGGTATGGAGTAGGAGAGGTTGGTGTTGTTTTATTTTTCTTTTATTTCTGCAGACCTTCTCCCACCGCCCCCCCCAACTTTTTACTGTCTTCTTTTTATTTACTACACGATCACATCTCCAAGGAATATTCTTCTTTTTTATATATCATCCTTTCCTGAAAACAATGATCGTTCAAGGGTGCTGCTTTTTGTCCCACTCGATTTGAGCCCCTTCCGTGTAGCAGGTGCTGTGAACTTCTTCCAAGTCACTGGTTTTATTCAGTCTGTTGGCACTAAGTGTTGGGCTTTTTTGGAGGGGTTGAATTTTGTCTACGGTTGTCTGAGTCCTCCCACCCCTCTACTATTTTTCCTAAAGTCTCTCAACCCTCTGTTTCCCTACTCTGTGTACCCATGAGCTTGCAGTCACAGCAGGGAATCTGTTGGAATTTGACATTTATTTCTCTATTTACATATAATTTCAAGTTTGTGGTGTTTTTTTGGTAATGCTGAAGGCATGTGTCTTTTGTGGTTTTGTTTGTGATCCTTAGTAATTTTATGGTTTTTTGAGCAAGACTATATGGAGAGATTCAAATTAGGTGGCCACCATTATTTTCCAGATTTGGAAACTCATAACTAAGCATTTTAGAAGGAAATTATTTAAGCAGGCTTACCTCCTACTGTGCCATCACTTCTTGCTGGAAACCAATAAGGCTCCTAGGTAGTTCTCTTTGCATGTGAGGAAGTCACCATTCTCTACTATTTTTTTCTGTAGATAGAAATATATTCTTGGTTACAAAAAATCCTTTGAAATATAGAAGACTGAACTTCTTATTTGATGTCTTCATGAACCATTTATGTGAAATGAGTAGAGCTCTATAATCTAAGATGATTTCCAAAATTTTAGGTTCTTGGGAACCTTTGCTTCTTCACTTACGAAAACTTTAACACAAGAAATGTAGCCCAATACTATCCAAAATTAATGTACAATTTACATAGCAAGTTTAGTATTTAGACTTTAAACACAGAGAAAAGCCTTCCCCTTATACATCTGTGGAAATGGAACAAAAATTTTATAAGTCATGGGACATTTTAAACAGATCATGAATAACCACATGATATGTATTATGAGATATTGGTATGATATTCACTGTGAATTTCCTCATCTTCGATAACCCATGAAGGTGACATTAGCATAGCTTATCTCCCTCTTTAATGCACTGAATCGTTCTTAATAAGTTTTAAGTAGTCATTAACGTCATAGCAGGGACCGTTGTTGATATTGCTAGTGTTTAGCTCTAAACAAGGTGCCAAGCGTGTAGCAGACTGCCTTCTGGTTCACCTTTCCTCTAACGCCGTCTTCTCCCCCATATTTTCCTTAATCGTATTATTCCAAACAGTCTGCCTTGCCTCCTTCCTCACACCTAGTCAGTCTCCTGGCCCTCCTGGCTTCACCATGGACCGCACTGTAGGTAGCATCCTCTGGCGTTGTGCGTGGCTCTTTCATGGCAAAACTTTGGAACTTGGACATTTCCTTCAGGCTCTCCTCCCTCAGACCTCTGTCACACATTGAGGCTAGATTAAACTTACTTAACATTTGTTACATTCGTCTTTTCTTTATATCTATATTATCTTTGTTGAGCAAAAGTTCTGTTATATAACACTTCTCTCTGGTACCCTTTGCTGGCAGACATCCAGGCAGTGGTCATAATGACACAGAAGTTAAGCAAATGCTGGATTCTGTAAATACCGCCTTTCATAATGTGTTTACTCATAAATGGGTTAGGTCCGCAATAAAATTTTTGGATGAGCACATTTGTGTAATCGTCACCCAGATCAAAAAACAGAATAACACTAAGTGCTCTAAAAAGCCCATTTCCTATTTCCCTTTCACATCAGGAGCCCACTTTCCCAAAGGTCCTGCTGTCCTGAAGTCTACAACTGTAGATTATTTGTGTCAGGTTTTAAAATGTTATCCCTCAATAGATCATCCATTTGCTTTGCTGTATAGTATTCCATTGTCTGAATAACCCGCAATTTACCCATTGGGGTTATTTTCAGTTGAGTGCTATTGAGAACAGCACTGCTGCGAAAACTCCTGCATGTCTGTCTGCGAGCCTAGATGCTCCCTTCTGTCACCTGTGGATACCCAGGAGTGAGAATTAGTGGGCCATGGCATGTGCCTGTATTCGGCTTTCGTGGATACACTGGCCTTACTGTTAACAACATTATCACCTTTTTTTCCCTTTTATTTCAGAGCTCTTCCAGTGTTAGTGGATTCAGATGAGGTAAAATATATTTTTGCATATTTCCTTGGAGCTGATATTTTCACAAAGTAGAGATGTATTTCAGAAAGAAGTTCTGAAAGCTACTTTTTAAGATTATTATAAATTGAACAGACAGAAAGATGCTATGAATTGATTTGTGGGTAAAGTTGAAAGGATTTATGAATAAAGTCCCCATTTCAAACAAGAACAAGATAAATACTTACTGGTATGAAGGAAATGAAGGGTTATTTTATGAAATCTTGAGTTTAAACGATTTTAAGATGGCAGTTTGTCTAAATTAATCTCTGATACTTGTAGACATTTTGCTGAGATATTAAAGTTTCAATCTCATTTTCATTTACTAAGCAGGAAATTTGGATAGAGGATGTGGATTTAGGAAAGTTTTTGGGAAAAAAATTAGCTGTGGATCACTTGGACATTAAGTTGTGTGGCACAAGGCGGGAAGAAATCTGAAGTGTAAGAATTAAAGACTGGATGCACGGAACATTAACTTTCAAAAAGGACGAGTGGAGGGAAGTTAGTGGTAGCTAAGTTGTAACTTGTATGGTGGCTGTAGCACATAAGAGGGGCCAGAGCTGTATACGTTGAAAGAGAAGGAAATGATTTTGGCATCAGTCTGTTATTTGACTGTACTGGGATGGGAAGGTTTGAGAAGGCCTTGCTGCAAAACAGTTAAACTTCAAGATTCATAACTCTACAGAAAGATGTAGCATTACAGAAAGATTCATAACTCTACAGAAAGATGTAGCATTACAGAAAGATTCATAACTCTACAGAAAGATGTAGCATTACAGAAAGATTCATAACTCTACAGAAAGAGGTAGCATTACAGAAAGATTCATAACTCTACAGAAAGATGTAGCATTACAGAAAGATTCATAACTCTACAGAAAGATGTAGCATTACAGAAAGATTCATAACTCTACAGAAAGAGGTAGCATTACAGAAAGATTCATAACTCTACAGAAAGAGGTAGCATTACAGAAAGATTCATAACTCTACAGAAAGATGTAGCATTACAGAAAGATTCATAACTCTACAGAAAGAGGTAGCATTACAGAAAGATTCATAACTCTACAGAAAGATGTAGCATTACAGAAAGATTCATAACTCTACAGAAAGATGTAGCATTACAGAAAGATTCATAACTCTACAGAAAGATGTAGCATTACAGAAAGATTCATAACTCTACAGAAAGATGTAGCATTACAGAAAGATTCATAACTCTACAGAAAGATGTAGCATTACAGAAAGATTCATAACTCTACAGAAAGATGTAGCATTACAGAAAGATTCATAACTCTACAGAAAGATGTAGCATTACAGAAAGATTCATAACTCTACAGAAAGAGGTAGCATTACAGAAAGATTCATAACTCTACAGAAAGAGGTAGCATTACAGAAAGATTCATAACTCTACAGAAAGATGTAGCATTACAGAAAGATTCATAACTCTACAGAAAGACGTAGCATTACAGAAAGATTCATAACTCTACAGAAAGACGTAGCATTACAGAAAGATTCATAACTCTACAGAAAGATGTAGCATTACAGAAAGATTCATAACTCTACAGAAAGATGTAGCATTACAGAAAGATTCATAACTCTACAGAAAGATGTAGCATTACAGAAAGATTCATAACTCTACAGAAAGAGGTAGCATTACAGAAAGATTCATAACTCTACAGAAAGAGGTAGCATTACAGAAAGATTCATAACTCTACAGAAAGATGTAGCATTACAGAAAGATTCATAACTCTACAGAAAGAGGTAGCATTACAGAAAGATTCATAACTCTACAGAAAGAGGTAGCATTACAGAAAGATTCATAACTCTACAGAAAGAGGTAGCATTACAGAAAGATTCATAACTCTACAGAAAGATGTAGCATTACAGAAAGATTCATAACTCTACAGAAAGATGTAGCATTACAGAAAGATTCATAACTCTACAGAAAGAGGTAGCATTACAGAAAGATTCATAACTCTACAGAAAGAGGTAGCATTACAGAAAGATTCATAACTCTACAGAAAGATGTAGCATTACAGGAAGATTCATAACTCTACAGAAAGAGGTAGCATTACAGAAAGATTCATAACTCTACAGAAAGAGGTAGCATTACAGAAAGATTCATAACTCTACAGAAAGAGGTAGCATTACAGAAAGATTCATAACTCTACAGAAAGAGGTAGCATTACAGAAAGATTCATAACTCTACAGAAAGAGGTAGCATTACAGAAAGATTCATAACTCTACAGAAAGAGGTAGCATTACAGAAAGATTCATAACTCTACAGAAAGAGGTAGCATTACAGAAAGATTCATAACTCTACAGAAAGATGTAGCATTACAGAAAGATTCATAACTCTACAGAAAGATGTAGCATTACAGAAAGATTCATAACTCTACAGAAAGATGTAGCATTACAGAAAGATTCATAACTACAGAAAGATGTAGCATTACAGAAAGATTCATAACTCTACAGAAAGATGTAGCATTACAGAAAGATTCATAACTCTACAGAAAGAGGTAGCATTACAGAAAGATTCATAACTCTACAGAAAGATGTAGCATGTAGATTAAAAGTACTTTAAATGCCCCTTTAAAAGGAATTTTATGCTACATCTTTCTGTATTTAAAGTTTTAGTAAATAATTCATTTGTAATTTCAATAATACATTAATTTAGTAAAGTGAGGCAAATCTCTAGATGAGCTAGGCCTAAGAAATCCATTTTAGCTCTATTCCTGCCTCTCATTGGAGATTCTGAACTTGACATGTTTTCTAGCTAGCAGGAAGTTGAAGTTTTCTGAACTTCTCAGCAGATAACTGACTATACATTATTGGAGAGTATGGATTATATGGTTATTTTTTAATTTTTAAATTTTTTATAAGGATGAGGTCTCTCTATGTTGCCCAGGCCGGTCTCGAACTCCTAGCGTCAAGCAGCCTTCCCGCCTCGGCCTCCCAAAGTGCTGAGATTACAGGCATGAGTCACTGTACTTGGCCTTTTATTTTCTGTATGTAATATTTCCATGTATATTATGGAATATATTTAGTTTCCCTAAATGTGGCTGTTGAAAGATTAGAAAATTTTTGTTAGGGTTCTGGAAGTAGTATCAACATGTTGATACATATCTTCTTTTTTTTTCTTCAGGAAATCATGACCAGATCTGAAATGGCTGAAAAAATGTTCTCTTCAGAAAAGATAATGTGATTGGAACCCGTATAAGAAATGTAGTTAAGCCTGAAGGACTATCCTTCATCAAGACTGAAAGTGAGCTTTGATTTGATATTGCCTAAAAATTTTTATTGTGTTATCTTGGAAGTCTGTGTATCAAAATGAAGAATTCAGATGGTAGGAGGTTCTATAGTCCTTTTAAAGCTGACTCTTGAGTGTCAGTTGAATATCCATTAAATTGGATTTGGAAATAACCTGAGGAAAGTATTATGATAAAGATCTGCACAGATGCCTCTTAGCTGATAGGTGGCAGGCCTGTGGGTTTGGGTTCTCCCTCTTTTCTCTGGAACATATGACAATTCCAGATTAAAGAAAAATGTTTTTTAATAAATACCCTTGGTCTTTCTTCTAGTCACCTTTGAGGTAGATATTGTGATTTTCTGGAGTATAGTATATCCGTGTCTCTGTGTCTTAGGTTTACTAGATGCAATAATACTTCTCTTTGACATTTGTACTGAAGTGATTTGATATTAAGTAAAACAGTTAATGTTTGAATATAGGCATATTTATAGGTTTTTTCCGCTCCCCCCCAACCCACCCTTTTTAAAAAATCTATACAAAGCCCTTGTTTGAGTCTCATCATGCACATCAAATCATGGAGTTAGGTCTTCTCTGAGCTCAGGGGAACACAAGTGCACAGAGAGAGATGTCTTGAGGGTCACTACCAAAGAATTACCCTCATTGTCCCTCACTCAGGCCATGTGTACATGCGATGCTGCTGAGTGTGCTGGGGTGGGTGGTGGCCACGTGGCTCCCCCAGAGCACTTCCTAACTGGCAAGCTGGGAGACCCATTACTGGTGAACTTTGTGGAAATTAGAACTGTATCTTTTACATAATCTTGGCATATTACATTTCATAATAAAAACATACATTTAGTTGCATGCTACATCACTATTGATTTTATAATTAATTTCTTAAGCTTCAACCATGTTTTATACCTTATTTCGTTACATCATATATTTGTAATGTGTAATATGAAATCTTTTGCTTTAATGTCTTTTTTTAAAATGTAGAATGTTCTAAACTTGAAAGGCAATTGAATGTAGTATGATGAAAATGTGAATGTTTTGCTGCTTTCATGACCAAAGATACAGGGCTAGTGGACATTTAGAATAATAATTAAAGCTAGAGTCTTGTATGTCTTTTCTTTGAAGGAGTTCTAACCTTGTAAATTGAGAATGACTTCAGAGAATTTTGATTAAGAAAACATTAAAATCTTAACCGGCACAAACACTCCAATTTTTTTCACTGTGAAGCCGCAAGCAATTTTTTTTCTTTTTCTTTCAAAAGCCTACCTTCTGAATTTATTTCTTGTTTACTCATTTCAGAGAGGGTAGTAAAGAAGATCTATTTCTGGTAGTCATATCGCTTGAAAGGTATTGGTAAATGTGTTTTCAGTCGTGACCATGTGGAAAGTGAACAGTGTTGGCAAACATTACCGAGAAAATCATGCTTTTCAAGATGCCCTTGCTTTGGGATATCCTTCCTAGGGAGAAAAAAAAAAAGTAGTTTAACAATTGTGAATTCCATTTCTTATTTCAGTTTCTGCTGCAGTAATGGGTTCCCACCCACTATAATTCCCAGCATTTATGTTCTGTTGTATTCTCCCCTTAGCCCAGTAACATTTTTATCTAATACCCCATTCCCCAAGTTTTGAGACAGATTGACCCCCTACTCATTATGTGGCTCTAGTTGAATTTTAAAATGTGGAATATTGGGCTTGCAGGCAGTAGGAGCTGCAAATCTGGTAGAGTGGGAGTGTGGAGTTAATGGTGAGTATGTTAATAAAGGGAAACTGTCTCTGACAGAATCTCAGTAATGTTTACCAAAACATGTCTTTCTACAGCTGGTAGGATAAATGATGCTACCCTGTAGCTCAGCTACAGGCTGCAGTGCAAACTTTTCTTCCATCCAGAGAAAGCAGAATTCCCTCCTAGTAACCTCATTACAAATACTGTTACTAGAAGGGCATGTGCTGTCTGTCACCTTCAGTAATATTTGTGCCATCTCTTGATGACTGATGACCTGGATCGAGTATTTCTATGAAGGGTCTTCTTAGGCCCCTTACATACGCAAGAGGGGTGCTCTAGTGCCATAGCTGTAGTTCACAGGAAGGACACCAGGAGAAGTTATACCTAGGGCTACTGAGCAGCTCATCATCCCTGTTTCTGCACAGTTTCCTGAAACTGGCCATCAGGGCCTCTGAGGCACTCAAATCAGTTTACTTTTAGCATGCCCCCATCAGGGTGGGTCTCACTGTTAGTGAGGATACGGGTCTGGTTTGATGTTTTTCTAGGCAAAATGCTTAAGTGTTCTGGTTATGCCATTCATTCATACGATGTGTGAAATTTGCTTAAAAGGGAATTTTCATGATTTGATTTAGATTAGTATTTAAATATCTGCTTTAGATAGCAATTAATTTTATTGTAAAAATAAGGAAAAATATGTGAATATGTGAATTTTTTAAGCCTGAGAGATGATAGAATGTTCCCATATTTTTCTTGTAAAGAAAATAATATTTTAACTTACACATCCTGTAGAAAATACCACCTTTTCCCCTTGTATTACAGTACAATGTTTACATTACTATACTGTCAAGCTGAAAGTATAAAAAATGTACATATACATTTTGAGTTATGTATCCTTTTTTTAAAAAAAAGTTCGAGTCTGTTGCACTAGGCTGTACATGACTAAAGTTGACAGATGCTATGCTAGATTTATAATCACTAGTTCTGGTACTTGTGTCTTTGTATGATCAAAGCATGCAATAAGCAATACAAAATACCAAGCCTTATACTTAAAAGAAGTTTAACATATTGGTTAATATACTGGTTAATATACTGGTTAAACATATTGAATGTATATAAGTGGCAAAACTAGATTTTTAAGGAAGTGTACATTATAATATTGGAGCTCAGTACTGCATGAAGAGACTTCATTAAAACTAAGAAAACATTTATTTGGGGAGAAATTTTAGGCATTTAAGAACTTGTATTTTTCTATTTTAAAAAGTTAAATTATTCCGTAATTTGGAAGAAGTTTCGTTGAATGTAGGACATAACCGTTTGAAGGGTTTTCATTTGAAAAATTGATGTATTTTGTGCCTTAATATTTTGTTCTTTTAATAAAAATGCTCTGAATTTGAATGATTGATTCTTGATAGTATTTATTGGTGCTAGATTATATAAATCTGTAGGACATATAGACATATATAGACTCCAATAGATGGCAGGACATAAAATTCTTAAAACAGGAGGCACAGCTAATCAAACATGGAAAAGTGCTCAACCTCAGTAGTAGTAAAGAAATGCAAAACAAAAGATAGGGGATAGTTTAAAAAATCAAATTAACATAAGTTTGTACTATGGTATATTTGTAAAATCCTTTTGCTTTCAAAGTCTGATGAAATGAGCACACTTATTAATGATGGTAATATAGTTGATTTCCTTTTTTGTGAAAAGTTCAACAATGTGTTTATAACCTTTGAATAATGTCAATTCTGGTGATATTTTAAAAAATGATTCAAAATACAGAATAAAGTTTCTCCACAAAAGTGTTTATTATAATATTAAAGTAGAAATAAAATTAGAGACAAACAATATCATAGTTAAGTGAATTATGGTTTAACCAGCTACTTTATGAGATATTGTATAGCCATTAAATTATGAAGAATTTATAATAAAAATACTTATAAGAACTGTGATGCAGTGGCACATATGTGAATGCTTATCTATGTAAAAATAAGGTAGAGCAACTTACTCTCATGGTTCAGAAAAAATGCATTCTATCTTCCAACTTTTCTGTAAAGTTACAGAATTAAGTAATTACATAATTCTTAATTACATAAATAATTACATAATTAATTATTATTTTGAAATAAAGATAATTTAAAAAAAAAAAGGCCGGGCGTAGTGGCTCACGCCTGTAATCCCAGCACTTTGGGAGGCCAAGGTGGGTGGATCACAAGGTCAGGAGATCGAGACCATCCTGGCCAACATGGTGAAACCCTGTCTCTACTAAAAAAAAAATACAAAAAATTAGCCGGGCGTGGTGGCGGGCGCCT
The DNA here is from genome assembly GCF_000001405.40 of Homo sapiens. Classification (NCBI taxonomy): domain Eukaryota; kingdom Metazoa; phylum Chordata; class Mammalia; order Primates; family Hominidae; genus Homo; species Homo sapiens. The sequence continues at coordinate 112,120,232 of NC_000002.12, forward strand.
GTAGTCCCAGCTACTCGGGAGGCTGAGGCAGGAGAATGGCGTGAACCCGGGAGGCAGAGCTTGCAGTGAGCTGAGATTGGGCCACTGCACTCCAGCCTGGGCGACAGAGCGAGACTCCGTCTCAAAAAAAAAAAAAAAAAAAAAGTAGAGAAAGGATTGAGTGGAAAAGCACTGGGGTGGCATACATGGTTAGTGTTGAGGCTCAGCCAGGCTGTGGTCACAACTTGATTTTAGCCTTTCAGAAACTTAAGACAAAAAGTTTATTTCTTGCTCATGTGACAATTCTTCAGTAGGTATAGAGGTGGGAAGGGCCACCCTCCTCCACATGTCCCTCAGACACCCGGGGTTTATTTCCATCTTGCGGACCCACCATACCCTAGGGCCTAATTTTTACCCCTAATTTTCTAAGAAACATATTCAACATAAATATGTAAAAATAATAGTGCCTTGGCCAGGCGCAGTGGCTCACACCTGTAATCCCAGCACTTTGGGAGGCCGAGATGGGTGGGTCACGAGGTCAGGAGATCGATACCATTCTGGCTAACACAGTGAAACCGCATCTCTACTAAAGATAGAAAAAAATTAGCTGGGCATGGTGGCAGGCACCTGTAGTCCCAGCTACTCGGGAGGCTAAGGCAGGAGAATGGCGTGAATCTGGGAGGCGGAGCTTGCAGTGAGCCGAGATTGTGCCACTGCACTCCAGCCTGGGCGACAGAGCGAGACTCTCAATAATAATAATAATAATAATAATAATAATAATAATAATAGTGCCTTAGACTATGTATCAGAAAATCTAGAAAAGTGTGTCTTGGTTCACAGCTTAATCTTAATTAATTTAAAAAATCCATCTTGCTGTAAGTAGATGGGACATGGAGAATTTTCTTCATGGACATTCTCCCACCTTTGACATGTGAGGAGTGAGAGGGACAAGATGGATAGTCCCAGAGGGAAAGGAAGGGCTGTTGTCATAAGACTGATGACCATTTTGGCAGACTTGGGAGCACTTGCAGAGTGCCAGGCTTTGGTAACCACTGTATTCTCACAGTAGCCAATGAAGTATTAGTTCCCTTGGTTCATAGATTAGAAAACTGAGAGAGAGGTTAAATAATTTGATAGTTTACCATCCTGGCAGGTGGCAAGGCTGGTATAATACTGGTGGGAATCATCCTAGAAGGGTTGTCCTCGAAGTCCTGAGGAGAGAGGAGTTTCGGTTAACAAAGTGCTGTTTGCTTGTTAGAGAAGGTTAAGTAAGACAATGTATCTAAAGTGCCTGGTGCATAGCCTTCAGGAGGCAGCTAAGGTTAATGTGAAAGGTACAGCAATGATTGAGGGGTGACTGAGACTCAATTGAAACAAATGGCATATGAAATTCAAACACATTCCAGGATTGATTCACTTGTATTAAGATGAAGTTACCCAGAGCAAGTTTTATGCCCCTTAAGTGATAGGGAATGTACAGCTACATTAACAGAGGTGACCTGATATTTACATCTGGTCAGAGGCTGACCTGATTTATATCTGATTTCAGATGTAAATAATTTTGACAGTATTTCCTTAAAATCATTTTGAAAAAACAAGAAGCTGCAATGGAAGTTTATGCACAGGAAAAAATGTGAAAGCTATCCAGCAGGTGGTGCCAAAGTAATGTCTCTTGAAGAGTTCTAATCTTTTTTTCTTTTCTCTAATTCTTCCCTTTACAGATTTTATAAATTTACTTACCAAATGCCACTAAACAAATTTGGGGATGAAGAAAAAAACTTAAAAATAATTCACACAGCACTGCCCTGGAAAAACAGTTATTTTGGTATATTTTAAAACTTTAAAGCTGGAAAGAGCCTCTAAGATCATCTTACAAATGAGGAAATGGAGGACCAGGAAAGTGTCACTGGCTACAGTTCCCTCAGACCAGGGTTGAAGACTGCCTCCTAGTTTGTTTTTCTCACCTCTGGTCCTTATTGTCAGGGGGAAAGAGATGCCACAGAAGGGTTGGACTGGGCATCAAAACTTGAAATACATTTTATATACTTTGGTGACCACTTGCTACGTCATTTCATATGACTTCATTGTCTTTTCAGCTTCCAAATTCTTGTTTCTACATGGTCATAATTCCAGTTCTCTGTTTCTTCATTTGATAAGTGGAGATTTTCTTGGGGTTCAGTGGAGTCTGCTGGAAAGGCTTGTCTTTATTTGACCTGAGTCACAGCTTTCCCAGTGCTAAATGCCTCTTTCCAGGGGATACTTATTAAAAATATTCACAGGCATGTTTTTTAATGTCACAGCTGCCTAAAGCAAAAAATAACATTCAAAGCAAACAACAGACTGACCAAAAACCTTAAAAGGAAAGTCTAAAGAATGAGATGACCATAAGGCCTTTGAAAAACCTTCAACATACTTACAGGAATCTAAAAGGTCACATGCATGCATAGGGCTCTGCATGCTCAGCAAAGACCACAAACAAGAAGTGAAGGCTAAGGCAGAGTTAGTTGTAAACTGCCTGAATGAGTGCTGAAGGTGTGCCCCACCATACACACAAGCACCTCGGCAAAGACTGGGAGATTTACTGGTTCCGAGAGGTTAAGAAAGTCTCTGTCCAATAATTGTCTAACCATTACATAACTGAGTAGAGACTTCAGTGACCACATATCACAAAATATACAGACTTTACGGAATTAGTTTAGAGAACTCACTAAACAACTACTACAACAAGTAGTAACAACAGCAAACCATTGAAGGGGAAGGAACTGGTTTTCAGAGTTACCACATTATATTATTTAAAATGTCTAGTATTTACCAAAAAATTATGACATAAGCAAAGAAATGACAGTGTATCTCTCACAAGAAAAAAAAGAGCATCAAAACAAAATGTTCCTGAGAAAGACCAGATGTTTGACTTACTAGACAAAAACTGTAAGCTGTTTTGTAAGTATTCAATGAGCTAAAAAAGTATAAATGCAAAAGTATGAGAATGATGTTTGACCAAATAATGTCAATAGAGATAGCAATGATAAAAATGAACCAAATGAAAATTCTTATATTGAAAAGTACAATAACTGAGACAAAACATTTATTAGAGGGTGCTCAAGAGCAGATCTGAGCAGGTAGAAGAAAATCAGTGAATCTGAATATAGGTCAATTGAGATTATTCAGTGTGAGGAACAAAAAGAAGATAGAATGAAGAAAAATTAACAGAATCTCAGAGACCTGTGGAACAACCTCAAGCATACAGACACACACGGTGAGAGTACGAGAAGAAGAAGAGAGAGGAAGAAAAATACTTGAATAAATAGTGGTTGAAAACTTTTCAAACTTGACAAAAAACAGTCTACCTAAGCAGAAAGATTAGCAAACTCCAAATAAGATAAACTCAAAGAGATCTGTACTGAAACATCATAATCAAATGATGGAAAACCAGAACCAAAGATGGAGTTTTGAAAGAGAGAAGTGACTCATTGCCTAGTAAAAATCCTCTGTAACATTAACAACTAATTTTTCCCCCTCAGAAACTATGGTGGTAAGAAGGCAATGGGATGATATATTTAAAGTACTGAAAGAAAAACCGTCAGTCAAGAATTCTATATCCAAGCAAACTATCCATTCAACATGAATAGAAATACAGACAGTTGAGATAAAAACTGAATTTGTTGTTAGTAGTTTTGCCATGCAAGAAATACTAAAGTAGGCCAGGTGCGGTGGCTCACGTCTGTAATCCCAGTACTTTGGGAGGCTGAGGCGGGTAGATCACCTGAGGTCAGGAGTTCGAGACCAGCCTGGGCAACATGGTGAAACCCCGTCGCCACTACAAATACAAAAAGTAGCCAGGCGTGGTGGTGAGCAACTGTGATCCCAGCTACTCAGGAGGTTGAGGCAGAAGAATCGCTTGAACTGAGGAGGCAGAAGTTGCAATGAGCTGAGACAGTGCTATTGCACTCCAGCTGGCAACAAGAGCAAAACTCCATCTCAAAAACAAACAAACAAACAAAAAAAACAAAACTAAAGTAAGTACTTTGGGCTGAAATTAAAGAACACTAAACAGTAATTTGAATACATTTGAAGAAATAAAACAGTACCAGTAAAGATAACTAGCCAAATATAAAAGACAGTATAAATGTATTTTTGTTTGTAACTCTTTTTTTCTCCTAGTATATTTAAAAGAAACATGTATTATTGATAAATCTAAGTTGATGGGCATATAATGTGTAAAAATACAACTCGTGACAATAGCAGCATAAAGGAGAGGAGGAGAGAAGCCATACAGGAGCAAGTGTTTTGCATACTATTAAAATTGGTTTTACTCAGAACTAAAATCTTATAAATTAAGGTATTATTGGCCAGGTGCGGTGGCTCACGCCTGTAATCCCAGCACTTTGGGAGGCCGAGGTGGGTGGATCACGAGGTCAGGAGTTTGAGGCCAGCCTGACCAACATGGTGAAACCCCGTCTCTACTAAAAATACAAAAATTAGCCGGGCGTGGTGGCACGCGCCTGTAACCCCAGCTACTCAGGAAGCTGAGGCAGGAGAATTGCTTGAATCCAGGAGGCAGAGGTTGCAGTGAGCCGCCATTGTGCCATGGCACTCCAGCCTGGGCAACAGAGTGAGACTCTGTCTCAAAAAAATAAATAAATAAATAAATAAAATAAGGCATTATTGGTAGACCCCAAGGCAACACTAAGAAAATAACTTTTAAAAAATGTACTAAAAGAAATGGGAAAGGAATTAAAATGGTAAACTACTAAATTTTTTGAACAAAACAGGAGACAGCAGTGGAGGAACAAAGAAGATAAGACATACAGAAAACAAAGAGCAAAAAAGGAGAGGGAATATGTGAATATAATGAATAACATTTTGTCAGTAAATCAACTTACATGAAATGGACAAATTCCTGGAAGATAAAAACTACCAAAACTGACTCAAGAATAAATAGGCAATCTGAATAGACTCATAGTAAGTGATAAGATTCAATTAGTAATTTGTAAAAACTACCTACACAGAAAAGTCCAGGCCCAGATGACTTCACCATTGAACTCTACTAAACATTTAAAGAAGAATTAGCCTGGGTGCAGTGGCTTATGCCTGCAATCCTAGCACTTTGGGAGGCCAAGGCAAGTGCATCACTTGAGCTCAGGAGTTCGAGACCAGCCTGGGCAACATGGCGAAATCCCTTCTCTACAAAAAAAAAAATTAAAAAATTAGCCAGGCATGGTGGTGTACACCTGTAGTCCCAGCTACTGAGGAGGCTGAGACAGGAAGATTGCTTGAGCCCAGGAGGTCAAGGCTGCAGTGAGCCATGATCACACTACTGCACTCCTGCCTGGGCAACAGAGTGAGACCCTGTCTCAAAAAGAAGGAGAAGGGAGGAGAAGGAGAAGGGAGAAAGAGGGAGAAGAAGAAGAGGAGAAGGAGGAGGAAGAGGAAGGAGGGAGGAGGAGGGAGGGTGGAGGAGGGAGACGGAAAAGACGGAAGAGAAGGAGGAGAAGGAAAGGAAGGAAGGAAGGAAGGAAGAGAAAGAGAAGAAAAAGAAGAATGATTAGTGCCAATTCTTCATGAATTCTTCCCAAAAATAGAAGAAGGCACTTCCCATCACATTTTATGAGGTCAGAATTACCCTGATGCTCAAACTGACCAAAGACAACATGAGAAAACTACAGACCAATATCTTTCATGAATATGGAAGCAAATGTTCTCAACAAAATACTAGCAAACCAAATCCAGCAACATATGAAAAGAATTATACACCAGGACCAAGCAGGATTTATCCTGGGAATGCAAAGATGGTTTAACACCTGAAAATTAATGTAATACATCATATGAATAGGACAGAAACTCAAAAATGCTATGAGTATCTCAATAGTTGTAGAAAAAGCATTTGCCAAAATGAAATACCCTTTCATAATAAAAAAAAAAACCAACAAACTAGAGGCAGAGTGAAATCTCAACATGACAAAGGGTACCTACAGAAAAAAACCCATAGTTAACGTCATACTAAATGGCAAAAGACTAGAAGCTTTCCCCCAGTTATGGTCTGAATGTTTGTGTCCCCCACAAGTTCGTATGTTGAAACCTAATCCCCAGTGGAATAGTATTAAGAGGTGCGACCTACCTATGTAACAAACCTGCACGTTCTGCACATGTATCCAAGAACTTAAAGTATAATTAAAAATAAAAAGAGGTGCAACCTATAGAAAGTGATTATGTCATGATGGCATCATCCTCATGAATTTGATTACTGCCCTTATCAAAGAGGCCCAAGAGAGCTTGTTTGCCCCTTCTGCCATGTGAGGATTCAATAAGAAGTTGCCATCTATGAGGCACAGACCAAACTCTTACCAGACATTGAATCTACTGGCACCTTGATCTTGGACTTCCTAGCCCCCAGAGCTGTGAGCAATAAATTTGTGTTGTTAATAAGTTACCCAGTCCAAGATATTTTGTTATAACAGGCCGAACAGACTAAGACACCCCCTAAGATCTGGAAAAGACAGGAATGTCCTCTCTCACCACTTCTGTTCAACATTGTATTGGAGCTTCTAGCCAGGGAAATCAGAAAAGAAAGAAAGAAAGAGAGAGAGAAAGGGAAATAAAAGTTATTGAAATGGAAAAATAAAAATATCTCTATTTGCAGATTTAATGATCTTGTATATAAAAATCTCTAAGGAATCCACTAAAAAACTATTAGAACAACAATGAGTTCTGTAAGGTTTCAGGATACAAGATTGACATATGAAAATCAATCATATTTCTTAAGCTTGCAATGAATAATCCAAAAATGAAAGTACGAAACCCATTTACAATAGCATCAAAAAGAACAAAATACAGTGGCTCATGCCTGTAATCCTAACACTTTGGGAGGCTGAGGCAGAAGGATCGCTTGAGGCCAGGAGTTCAGAATCAGCCTGGACAATATAGGGAGACCCTACTAAAGATTAAAAGAATTACTCGGCATTTTGGGAAGCCAAGGCGGGCAGATCACTTGAGGTAAGGAGTTTGAGACCAGCCTGGCCAACATGGCGAAAACCTGTCTCTACTAAAAATATAAAAAATAGCTGGGCATGGTGGTGGGCGCCTGTAATCCCAGCTACTCAGGAGGCTGAGGCAGGAGAATCACTTGAATGCTGGAAGCAGAGGCTGCAGTGAGCCAAGATCATGTCACTGCACTCCAGCTTGGGTGACAAAGACTGTGTCTCAAAAAAAAAAAAAAAAGATTAACCAGGCATGATGATGGACATTTTTGGTCCTACCTATTCAGGAGGCTAGGGCAGGAGGACCACTTCAGCCCAGGAGTTGGAGGTTGCAGTGAGCTGTGATCACACCAGTGCACTCCAGCCTGGGCAACAGAGTGAGACCCTATCTCTAAAATACATAAAATAAAATAAAATACTTAGGAATGAATCTGACAAAGGAAGTGCAAAACTTATACACTAAAAACCGTAAAATATTGTTGAAAAAATTAAATAAGCTATAAATGAATTGAACAAATTCCATGTTCACAGAAGACTTAACATTGTTAAGATAGCAGTCTTCCCCAAATTGACCTAGATTCTGATAATGCAATCCTTACCAGAATCCCTGCCAACTTCTTTGTAGAAATTGAGAAGCTGATTTTAAAATTCATATGCAATTTCAAGGGACCCAGAATAGCCAAAATAATGTTGAATAAGAACTAAGAGGAGGACTCACACATCTCAAAACTTACTTTAAAGCAACTATAATCAAGACAGTTAAGTAACTGCAAAAGGATAGTATATAGATCAATGGAATAGAATTCAGAGTCTAGAAATAAACCCATACATCTATGGTCAGATGACTTTCAGCAAGAGTGCCAAGACCATTCAATGGAGAAAGAACAGTCTCTTTAACAAATAGTGCTGGGACAACTGCATAGCCACATGCAAAAGAATGAAGTTGGACTCCTACCTGAGAATATATACAAAAATTAACTCAAAATGGACCAAAGACATAAATTTAAGAGCTAGATCCATAAATCTCTAAGAAGAAAACATACGGCTAAATCTTCATGACCTTATATTTGACAAACTATTTTTAGAGTTCACGCCAAAAGCGTAAGCAACAAAAGAAAGAAACAGATAGATTGGACTTCATCAAAATTAAGAACTTTTGTGCTTCAGAGGACACTATCAAAAAATGAAAATCAACCCACAGAATGGGAGAAACTATTTGCAAGTCATATATCTGATCAGGGACTTGTATCTAGACTGTATAAAGAACTCCTTCAACTCAATAATAAAAGGACAAATAATCCAACCAAAACATGGCAAAGGTTCTGAATACACATTTTAGGAAGATATACGACAGGCCAATAAGCACATAAAAAGATGCTCTAATCATTACTAATCAAGAAAATGAAAATCACAACCTTAATAAGATACCACTTTACACCCACTAAGATCGCTGTCATAATAGAAACAACAAAAAAGGAAAATAACAGTGTTCATGAGAATATGGAGAAACTGGAACTCTTCTAAACTGCTGGTGGGAAGTAAAATGGTACAGCCCCTTTGGAAAACAACCTGGCAGTTAATCAAATGATTAAAGAGTTACCATATGACCCAGCAATACCACTCCTAGGTATATACCTAACAGAAATGAAAACATGTCTACATAAAAATTTGTACACAAATGCTCATTGTAGGATTCGCCATAATAGCCACAAATTGTAAACAAACCAAATTTTCATCAGTTGATGAATGGATAACCCAAATATGATATATCCATACAACTGAATATTATTCAGCCATAAAAGTCAATGAAGTACTGTTAAATGTGACAACATAGATGATTCTTGAAGCATGTTAAGTGAAAGAAAAGCACTCACAAAAGCCCCATATTTTATTATTCTGTTTTTACAAAATGCCCAGAATAGGCAAATTCATAAAGACAGAAAGTAGATTAGTGGTTTCCTAGTGCCAAAGGGATAAAAGAATGAGGAATGACTGCTAATGGGCATAGGATACCTTTTTTGAATGATGAAAATGTTCTTAAATTAGATACTTGTGATGATTGCACAACTTTGTGAACATACTAAAAAGCCACTCTGTCATACTCTATAACGTGGTGAATTTTGTGGTAAATGAATTATACCTCAATTTTAAAAAGTTATATTCAGGGTAACACAACAGAATAAGGAACATCTACAACATATCATTAACAATCCCTGGATACAATCCCAAATAACTAGGCATACTAGTAAACCAGAAAAAGTGACCTTTACTCAGAAGACAAGCAATAGCTGTTGAGCCTCAGAGCATACCAGATGGTAAATGACCAAAAAAAGGATTTTAAAACTGCAGTTATAACTATGCCCAAAGAGCTAAAGGGGAAGACAAAGTTTATAATAAATAACCAAATAGAAAATCTCAATAGAAAACAATATTTAAAAAAAAACAAAAACAATAACAAAAAATGGAAATATGAGACCAACTTATATAATAAAAAATTCACTGGATGTGTTTAGTGACGGATTGAGGTGACAGAAGAGTCAATGAACTTGAAGTTCATAGAATAGAAAATATTCAACCTTAAATACACGAAGAAAAAGAAAAAAGAGCCGGGTGCGGTGGCTCACGCCTGTAATCCCAGCACTTTGGGAGGCCGAGGCAGGTGGATCACAAGGTAAGGAGATGGAGACCATCCCGGCTAACACGGTGAAACCCCGTCTCTACTAAAATTACAAAAAAATTAGCCGGGCGTGGTGGTGGGCGCCTGTAGTCCCAGCTACTCCGGAGGCTGAGGCAGGAGAATGGCGTGAACTTGGGAGGCGGAGCTTGCAGTGAGCCGAGATGAGCGAGACTCCATCTCAAAAAAAAAAAAAAAAAGAAAGAAAAAAGAAAGAACAGTGCCTTGTGGACTTGTGGGACAATCATTAAGAGTTCTAACGCTAAACTAATTCTAAAGGGACAGGAAAGAGAGAATAAAGGAGAAAAATTACTGGGTTAAATAATGGCCCAAACTCCCTAAATTTGGTAAAAGACACAAATTTATAGATTCAAGAAGCTAAGTGCACTCCAACCAGAATATGCAGAAAAGTACATGTAGGCATGTTTTACCTGCAGAAATCCAAAGACACAAATATAATATTGAAACCACAATGAAGGGGAAGAAATGGCACACCACATAGAGAGGAACAATGACAGAAATGAATCTGACCTCTCATCAGAAAGAATGGATGCTAGAGAACAGGTCAGTGATATTGTTAAAGTGCCGAATGTAAAAAAAGTCAACCCAGAATTCTATATCTACCAAAAATAGTCTTCAAGGACAAAGTCAAAATAAAGACATTTTCAGATAAATCATATTTTTAAAAATTTGTTGCTAGTGACCCTACAATACAAAGTATGCTAATGAATGTTTTTCCTGCTGAAGGAAAATGATATCAGAAGGGAACTTGGGTCTTCAAAACAAAATGAAGAGCACCAGAAATTGTAAATCTATCTATAAATATAAGAATATTCTTGCTAAAAATTTGTTAAAAACACATATGACTATTTAAAGCAAAAATTATAATATTACACCACGGGGTTTTTAACATATATGGACATAATATGCATATGACCACCATAGCATAAATGACAGGACTTGGTAATTGGCCCATTTCATTGAAAGCTTTTTACATTTTATTTAATTTAGTTATTTACTTTTTTTTTTTTTTTTTTTTTTGAGACAGGGTCTTGTTCTGTTCTGTTGCCCAGACTGGAGTGTAGTGGCTCTATCATGGCTCACTGCACTCTCAACCGTTCAGGTTCAAGTGATCCTCCTGCCTCAGCCTTCTAAGTAGCTGGGACTATAGGCACACGCCACCATGCCTGGCTAATGTTTTTCATTTTATTTTCGTAGAGACAGGGTCTCACTATCTTGCCCAGGCTGGTCTAGAACTCCTGGCCTCAAGCGATCCACCTGCCTCGGCCTCCCAAAGTGCTGGGATTACAGACATGAGTCACCACATCTGGCAATCTTACATTTTATATGCTGTATACACTGTTAACACTAAAAAACACTGTGATAAATTAAGAATGTATATTGTGATCCAGTGGCAGACATTAAACAATTATAACAATAATGCAGAGGTATACGTTAAAAGTCAATAAAAGAATTGAAGTGAAATTTTAAACATTCAATCAATTAATCTAAAAGAAGGCAGAAAAGGAAAACAGAGTAATAAAAAAACAGAGGGAACTGGCTGAGTACAGTGGCTCATGCCTGTAATCCCAGCACTTTGGGAGGCCGAGGTGGGCGGATCACCTGAGGTCAGGAGTTTGAGACCAGCCTGGCCAACATGGTGAAACCCCGTCTCTACTAAAGATACAAAAATTAGCCAGGTGTGGTGGCAGGTGCCTGAAATCCCAGCTACTCAGGAGGCTGAGGCAGGAGAATCACTTGAACCCAGGAGGCGGAGGTTGCAGTGAGCCAAAATTGCAAAAATTGCAATTTTGCCAAAATTGCAAAATTTTGCAGTGAGCCAAAATTGCACTGCAACCTGGAAGACAGAGCAAGATTCTGTCTCAATAAATAAACAAACAAACAGAGGAAACAAATAGAAAACAAATGATAAAATGGTAGGCCTAAATTCAGACATATCAATAATTACATTAAATTTAAATAAACCACTCAGCTTAAAAGGCAAAGATTTTTCACATTGGATAAAAAGGTGAGACTCAATTATATGCTATCTAAAAAAGGCACACTCAGTGACAGAGTGAGACTCTGTCTCAAAAAGAAAGAAAAAGAAAAGGAAGGAAGGAAGGAAGGACTGAAAACATATAGTGGAGAGAGAGAGAGAGAGAGAGAGAGAGAGAGAGAAAGAGAAGGAAAGAAAGAAAGAAAAAGAAAGAAAGAGAAAGAAAGAAAAAGAAAACATACAATGTCTTCTCTGACCACAGTGGAATTAAATTATAAATAAATAATAAGATATCTGAAAGAAACCAAATATGTGGAAATTAAACCACACAGTTCTAAGTAACCCATGGATCAAAGAAAAAATTATGAGAAAAATTAGAAAGCATTCTGAACTACATGAAAATAAAAACACCATATATCAAAATTTATGGTATGCAGCTAAAGTAGTACTTAGAGGGAATGCTGTAACTTTAAGCACTTATATTAGGAAAGAAGAAAGGTATAAAGTCAATTACCTATATTTCAGTTTTGATAATCTAGGAAAAAAAGAGCTGAGTGAGTAAACCCAAAGAAAGAGAAAGCAATAAAATAATAATAAAGCTGTATTTTCTTATTTTCTGTATTTTCAATATTCTTGCATCTGGGGCCTTACTGACCTGAAAGGACTGCTCCTCTGGAGTTTGCAAATTCTGAAAGATAGTAAATGACTTGCTCTAGAGCATGCATTTTATATGCAAACCAAATAACCCCAAGTTCATACTCCTGCTTGTTTCCTTTTATCTGCTACGATATCCTTTTGCCCTAAACACCGCAAAGCTGGGTGCTGGACAACTAGGGACTACCCCTAGAGCCTAGAGCCCATCCAAACTCTTCAAACTATCCAATCCTAAACCTGCTTAGCTTGCTTACCTTGTTTCAATTGTTCCTTCCTGCAAAAACCACAATAAAGTCACTTGTCCACAGTTCCTCTCTCTCTCTCTCTCTTTCTCTCTTTTCCTCTCTCTCTGCCTGCTCATCTCACCTGGGCATTTTCCTGTGTGATCCTGCATGACATACCATCCCTCTTGTTCTTAGGAGACTGTGAGTATAATAAAAACTTCTTTCTTCATGGAAATTATTTTCATGTCTATGTATCTTACCACATCTGATTAAAACAAATCCTAGGTGCTATTGAAACAAATAAAGATATGAGCAGAAACCAATGAAATTTTAAACAAACACTTGAGAAAATTAACAAAGCAAAAAGTTGTCTCTTTGAGAAGAAAAACAAAATTTATAAATGTTTAGCTATAATAATTAAGAAGAAAGGGAAAGAGCACAAATCATCAATATTAGGAACAAAAGAAGGGCTACCACTACAGATCCTACAGCCATTAAAAAGATAAGTGAATAATACCATTTTATGCCACTACATTTGGCAAATTAGATAAAATTAAAGAATTCCTTGAAAACTATAATGTATAACTGACATAAGGTGAAATAAAATATTAAATTATACACACATTTATTTAAAGATAATTTTAGACTTAAAAGTTGCAAAATTAGCACTTACACCTTTTATCCAGGTTTTCTTTTTGCTTAGCATTTACTCAATTTCAGTTTGATCTTGGGCAACCTACTGAAGCATTCTAAGCCTCAGTTTCACAATCTGTAAAATGAGATTAATAATGGGACCCATTTCACTGGGTTGTCATGAGAACAAATGAGAGCATTTGTGACTGGTTTACAGTAGGTGCTCAAGACATGTTTGTTTCCTTCTTATGTTGTCCCTGTATGAAGGACCATCAGTATAAGCAATGTCCCTTTAACTGAGCACTTACTTTATGCTCAGCATTGTGTTAGGCACTTTATTATTTTGAAATCTCATAATCTCTTTGATAAATACTTGTATTCTCATATATAAATCAAGAAGCTGAGGCCTGTAAAGATTAAGAGGTTACAAGTTCACACTGGCAGCAAGAAGGGGGTAAGATTTGGCCGAGGCACGTCTGACTTCAAAGGCTGTGTGTGCCTGACTGCATCCACCATCTCTGCTGCTTCCAAAGGCATGTGGAATGGCATTCGTGGATGTTCAATGTCTTGCTCCTTTTGGCAGATGTTAACTGGTGTTTGGTCTTTAATCACAGCACAGTGAAATCTGCTTTTCTACAGGCTTTCATCTTGTAAAATTGGAAATGCTTTTCTAGGGGGAACGGTTTCTACTGGCAGTCCTGATATCATACATAAGTAGACAGTCTCTTCACCTTTCAGCACAGGACTGCACAGTTCTGTTGGCTAAAGCTCTAGATATAATGTGAGAATGTAGTGCCTGGTACAGGGCCATGCCCGGAGTTGGCACTTGATAGATATTTTTGTAGTGAATGAATTGGATGAAGTCACTGCACCTCTGCTAGACCGTTCTCCCTACACGGTTTCTACCCTATTATCCTGTCAGGCTAACATGCTGGACTTTGTTCCTGGGACCTCTGTAGGTGCTTCGTAGGGGTTGATGACATTTAGAACCACAGAGAAATGTGGGGTAAAGGATGAAAAGGGAGAGAAGCAGCTGCAAATGAGCTGACAGTAAGACTCAGCCATAGCTGAATCAGTAAGTCCATGAACCCAAAATGGTATGCAACATGGTATGGGGCACCACTGGGGACCCAGAGGAGCCCCCAGGACAGCTCTGGAAGGATAATTTCAGACTGGATCTTGCTTCTGCTAGCATCTGTTTATTTATTTAATTTATTTTTGTCTTTCTGAGACAGAGTCTCACTCTGTCGCCCAGGCTAGAGTGCAGTAGCAATCTTGGCTCACTGCAAGCTCTGCCTCCCGGGTTCATGCCATTCTCCTGCCTCAGCCTCCCGAGTAGCTGGGACTACAGGTGCCCACCACCATGCCCAGCTAATTTGTTGTATTTTTAGTACAGATGGGGTTTCACCATAATAGCTAGGATGGTCTCGATCTCCTGACCTCGCAATCCGCCCACCTCAGCCTCCCAAATGCTGGGATTATAGGTGTGAGCCACCACACCCAGCTTTTTTTTTTCTTTTTTTTTTAGATGGAGTCTCACTCTGTTGCCCAGGCCAGAGTGCAGTGGCACAATCTTAGGTCATTGCAACCTCCGCCTCCTATGTTCAAGTGAGTCTCCTGCCTCAGCCTCCCAGGTAGCTGGGATTACAGGTGCCTGCTACCACACTCGGCTAATTTTTGTACTTTTAGTAGAGACAGGGTTTCATCATCTTGGCCAGGCTGGTCTCAAACTCCTGACCTCAAGTGATCCGCCTGTTTCAGCTCCCAAAGTGCTGAGATTACAGGCATGAACCACCGCACCTGGCCTCTGTTGGGGTCTTAAAGACAAATTTCTGCAACAAATCTTCCCATTTTGTGTTGCATGCCTATGTTACACAGAGAACCTGAATGTATCAGAGCACTAATCCAAGGAGATGGCAACTGATCTTACCAAAAGATGTTTAAAATACTTTCTGTAGACATGTTGAACCCCACCAAACCAATCCCCCGACACTCAGGAATATTCTCTTGAAAACTAAATAGAGGGGAAATAGAGGAATAAACTAGCTGATAAGGGCCAGGCATGGTGGCTCATGGCTGTAATCCCAGCACTTTGGGAGGCTGAGACGGGTGGATCACGAGGTCAGGAGTTCAAGACCAGCCTGGCCAAGATGGTGAAACCCCGTCTCTACTAAAAATACAAAAATCAGCTGGGCATGGTGGCAGGTGCCTGTAATCCCAGCTACTTGAGAGGCTGAGGCAGGAGAATAGATTGCCTCTGTGAGGCAGCAGAGGTTACAGTGAGCTGAGATCATGCCACTGCACTCCAGCCTGGGCAATAGAGTGAGACTGTCTCAAAAAAAAAAAAAAAAAAGGCTGATAGGCCCATTGTATTCAGTTAAAGGTGAGGGTTGGGGGCTTAAAGGTAGAGCACCCAGCTGATTTTCATGGGCTGTCTGCTTGTAGACAGCCTTGGTAGGTTCTGGACTTGATAGGCTCTGCCTTGATTACTGCAGATCCAGGGCAGCTGAGGACAAAGACAGAGAAAGGACAGTGCTGCTGGGGCAGTCAGATCTTAGAAGGTTCATTCAGACCAGATGCCAGAACACTTAGAGGGAAGGCAGCCATAGGGAAAGGGTTACAAATATAAATAATTACATAGGAAAAAAAATCCTGTTGAAACTTAGAAATATTTGAAAAGTAAAAACAAAAGCAAAAACCCAAGAAAACAAAAAACAACAACAACAAAAAAACAGAAAACCCCCCATTACTGTAAATAAAATTCCTGAAATGCTATGATCATGTATTTAATATAAGCAACATAGTAGCCCTAAAATGAGAGGTGGGATAAAGTCAAAGGTAGTCTGTCCTAGAAACAGCACCGCTCTGGGAGGGGGATCTTGAGACCAGAGTTTGCATTCCTTGGGCAAGTCAGTCAACCATGCCCCGATTCAGCTTCTTCATCTGTGAAATCAAGAATCTCTTCCAGCTTTATGACTCCACAGAAAGGGCAGGAGAAGAGAAAAGAAGGCTTGCTTACATCTGCCCGATGTCTGGTTACCAGCGCATAGCCAGAACAAGGCTGAGAGCCAGAACAGCTGGCCTTCCAGAGAAGGTCGCCATGTAAACACAAGGTGGGATAGGACACAAAATATTAATAAATGCAGCCACACTGACCAGGAGGAAGCTTTTCAAGGATAGGGCAGAGGACAGAGAGACAGAGAGGGAGCAGGGCACTGGCTTTTGGTACAGACAGCAAACACATGAGAGATCGAGGCAGAAAACCACCATCTCCACAGGCTGCCCTGGATCGGGCCATGCTGTCCCGTCCTCTCCACCTGGATAGGGAGAAGCAGGGGTATGACCATGTCTCTCTTCAGGATGTTCAACCAGGAATGCAAAATAAAATTACATGGATCCCTTGCAGGCTGCAGTGGCTCACACCTATAATCCCAGCACTTTGGGAGGCTGAGGCGGGTGGGTCATTTGAGGTCAGGAGTTCAAGACAAGCCTGGCCAACATGGTGAAAACCTGTCTCTACTAAAAATACAAAAATTAGCTAGGCGTGGTGGTGCATGCCTGTAGCCCCAGCTGCTTGGGAGGCTGAGGCAGGAGAATTACTTGAACCAGGGAGGCAAGGCTGCAGTGAGCTGAGATCAGGCCACTGCACTCCAGCCTAGGCAACAGAGCAAGACGCCGTCTCAAAGAAAAAAAAGATTTACATGGGTCCCGTTCCACCTCCTTTGCATGGGAAGGTTGGGGGAGCAGCACTGTAGGATTTCCTGGGCAACCAATGCCCAGGAGGCCAGCCTAAACCATGTCCCCTGCTTTTTGGGGCACTGGCTAGGTTCTGAATGTTGGTGTCTCCCCTAAATTTATATGTTGGAAACCTCATTCCCAAGATGATGGCATTAGGAGGTGGGACCTTTGGGAGGTGACTAGGTCATGAGTGCAGAGCCCTCAAAATTGGGATTAGTGCCCTCAGAAAAGAGGCCCCAGAGAGCTGCCTTTCCCCTGTGAGGACACGGGAACCAGAACTCTGGCCCTCGCCAAACACCTAATCTATTGACACCTTGATCTTGGACCTCCCAGTCTCCAGAACTGTGAGAAACACGTTCTATTGTTTATAAGCCACTCAGTTTATGGTATTTTGCTATAGCAGTTTGAAGGGACTAAGCCAGGACTCCAGCTTTCCTTTCTGGCCTCTGCTGGGAAACAGCTCCTGCTCTGTGGTCACAGTCTTGTGGGCTCCCCGTTCCCTGAGCTCTGAGTGGGCTCAACAAAGTGAAATGTGGAAGAGGAAAAAGAGATCTGGGGCTTGACCAGACTTGTGTGTCCCAGGACATCTGCAGTGACTGCCTTCAGAAAACCTTCCAGGAAGAACGTCAGTCATGCCTTCCGGGAGCTCAGGTCTGAGGCATCTGGTTGTACCACAGCCCTGATGGCAGGGGACTTCAGACTGCTCATGCCGGCCTGGCACTTCCTGATTCGACTTCAGCAAGGCAGGCAATGTTCTAGAACCTGACCTCCGATTTAAACTGAGTTTCTCCTTCCCTTGAGCAAGGAGGACAGTGAATCAGAAGGACGTAGATCCCCTCACTGTATCACTGTGTGTGTATCTACTCACTGTGCGTGCGTGTTCTCACGGCCCCATTGCATTATTTAAAGGGACACTAGTTTATTCGGATGGAGAGCTCAGTCCACCCCACGTCAAGCTTATGAAGCCCATTTCCTGGCCCCCTTCTAGGAATGTCGGGAGGAGGGTGTCGCGTGGGCTTTGAAGTAGGACAGACCTGGGTTTGGGTTTCTGTTCTGCCACTTGTCCTTGGTGACTGAGCCTCAGTCTACTTGGTTGGGAAATAGGACGGTCGGGAGTGAACCCGCCCAGGGTGGGCTTCCAGTCACCCGCACATATGCGGGGCACTGGCCGCCCATCCCTGCCAGGCCCCGAGGATGCCCGCGCTCGTCCTCGGCGTCGCGGGTTGGGCGCGCTCCCGGGCGCATTCCCGGCCGGGCAGCCCCTCCTCCCTCGTCCTTAGCCCAGGGGCCGGCGCCTCCCCGCCTCGCGCGGACTGTCTCGTGCGGGCAGCTGCGGGCGCACCTGGACCCTCGCAAGGCCCGGGCGGCGCCGATCCCCGCGGGACGCGCTGCGCTCGGGGCCTCCCGCCTCCCCCCCTGCCCCAGCCGCCCCCCGGCCGCGCGGCGCCCCGCACCCTGCAGGGACGGCTGCCGCATCGCTGGGACAAACTCGGCAGCGGAGGCAAAGTTATTTCCCCTCCCAGGCAGCGGGATTCCGACTGGCAAGATGGTGCCCAGCTCTCCGCGCGCGCTCTTCCTTCTGCTCCTGATCCTCGCCTGCCCCGAGCCGCGGGCTTCCCAGGTCAGTGTCCCTCCCGCCTCTCTCCAGGCCAGTGTCCCTCCCGCCTCTCTCCAGGCCAGTGTCCCTCCCGCCTCTCTCCAGGCCAGCGTCCCTCCCGCCTCTCTCCCCTGTCCCTCCCGCCTCTCTCCCCTGTCCCTCCCGCCTCTCTCCAGGTCAGTGTCCCTCCCGCCTCTGTCCCCTGTCCCGCGCGCCTCTCTCCACGCCAGTGTCCCTCCCGCCTCTCTCCAGGCCAGCGTCCCTCCCGCCTCTCTCCAGGCCAGCGTCCCTCCCGCCTCTCTCCAGGTCAGCGTCCCTCCCGCCTCTCTCCAGGCCAGCGTCCCTCCCGCCTCTCTCCAGGTCAGCGTCCCTCCCGCCTCTCTCCAGGCCAGTGTCCCTCCCGCCTCTCTCCAGGCCAGCCAGTGTCCCTCCCGCCTCTCTCCACGCCAGTGTCCCTCCCGCCTCTCTCCAGGCCAGTGTCCCTCCCGCCTCTCTCCAGGCCAGTGTCCTTCACGCCTCTCTCCAGGTCAGTGTCCCTCCCGCCTCTCTCCAGGCCAGCGTCCCTCCCGCCTCTCTCCAGGTCAGCGTCCCTCCCGCCTCTCTCCAGGCCAGCGTCCCTCCCGCCTCTCTCCACGCCAGTGTCCCTCCCGCCTCTCTCCAGGTCAGTGTCCCTCCCGCCTCTCTCCAGGCCAGTGTCCCTCCCGCCTCTCTCCAGGCCAGTGTCCCTCACGCCTCTCTCCAGGTCAGTGTCCCTCCCGCCTCTCTCCAGGCTAGTGTCCCTCCCGCCTCTCTCCAGGCCAGCGTCCCTCCCGCCTCTCTCCAGGTCAGCGTCCCTCCCGCCTCTCTCCAGGCCAGCGTCCCTCCCGCCTCTCTCCACGCCAGTGTCCCTCCCGCCTCTCTCCAGGCTAGTGTCCCTCCCGCCTCTCTCCAGGCCAGCGTCCCTCCCGCCTCTCTCCAGGTCAGCGTCCCTCCCGCCTCTCTCCAGGCCAGCGTCCCTCCCGCCTCTCTCCACGCCAGTGTCCCTCCCGCCTCTCTCCAGGTCAGTGTCCCTCCCGCCTCTCTCCACGCCAGTGTCCCTCCCGCCTCTCTCCAGGCCAGTGTCCCTCCCGCCTCTCTCCAGGCCAGTGTCCCTCCCGCCTCTCTCCACGCCAGTGTCCCTCCCGCCTCTCTCCAGGCCAGTGTCCCTCCCGCCTCTCTCCCCTGTCCCGCGCGCCTCTCTCCATGCCAGTGTCCCTCCCGCCTCTCTCCACGCCAGTGTCCCTCCCGCCTCTCTCCAGGCCAGCGTCCCTCCCGCCTCTCTCCAGGTCAGCGTCCCTCCCGCCTCTCTCCAGGCCAGCGTCCCTCCCGCCTCTCTCCACGCCAGCGTCCCTCCCGCCTCTCTCCACGCCAGCGTCCCTCCCGCCTCTCTCCACGCCAGTGTCCCTCCCGCCTCTCTCCACGCCAGTGTCCCTCCCGCCTCTCTCCAGGCCAGCGTCCCTCCCGCCTCTCTCCAGGCCAGTGTCCCTCCCGCCTCTCTCCCCTGTCCCGCGCGCCTCTCTCCACGCCAGTGTCCCTCCCGCCTCTCTCCAGGTCAGTGTCCCTCCCGCCTCTCTCCAGGTCAGTGTCCCTCCTGCCTCTCTCCAGGCCAGCATCCCTCCTTCCTCTCTCCCCTGTCCCGCGCGCAGGGGAGGCAGCACCAAGGCTGGGGGACCCGGGCTTGCCACTTTCCACTCGGATGCCTGGGTTGAGAGCTCGGAGCGATGCCTGGGCTGGGGTTCAGTTTTCAGAGAGAGGTGCAGGGTCCCCCACCTGTCACCTCAGATGCATCGCTGGCCGGGCCCCTGGGAGGACCCGGGCTGGGCTGCGAAAGCGTCGGTCCATTGTGGGCGAGGACTCCACGTGAGCACCGCCGGGAGGAAGAAGATTTCTCAGGGAGCTATGAGACATTGGTCTTTCCTGGGTCTCCATGAGAGCTCCAGGTCACCTAATTAGCTTAGAGAACGTCCCCGCCCTCCAAACTCCGACATTTAAATTTCCAACCGAAGTATCAGAACACTCACGGGACTTTCTCAGCAGTTTGTGGCATTTCCCAGGCAGAGGTGGCCCGGGAGGTTTCCGAAGCGGTCCCTTCCCGAGCCGGCGAGGCCCTGGATGTGCGACTACATTTTCTTAAACACATATACAGGCGGCTTGCTGTTTAATTTTTCTGTTCTTGCCGTTGGCATTTGTTCGAATCTCACCGGATTTATTTGTTTAATACTTGACCAGATTCGCTTTTATGTTAACCATTAGCAACTGATTTTTAAAATTAAGGCGAGAACTTGAATTGCCGAGTCCGGGACCCACATCCAGCAGAGTAGCCCTGGCAAGCCAGGGTGAGGGGCCCGGCCATGGACTGCCGACCCCGCTACCTGCACAATACCAACAGCGGTGGGCAGCGGAGAGCCTGCACACGGAGTGCCTGGTGCGCCTCAGGCTCCCTGCAGGGCATCTTCCAGTCACTTCATTCCCGGAGCTACCCTGTGAAGTGGGGACTGTTACCCCCATTTTGCAGATGATGAAAGTGAGGCCCAGGGAGGATGAGATGTATTCAAGGTCACACAACCAGAAATGAGCGGAATAAACCCAGTCTCTCTTGTTGGGCTCCAAGATTTCTTCCTTGCCTGCAGACACTTGCCCATACTCCCTGGCCAGAGACTGACTTCCTGGGCCAGGCAGGCATGCCCATGGCCACCTAGAGGCCCCTACGGTGCAGGAAGGGATTCCAGGCAGGCAGAATTTGGCTCAGACGAGACGTGGTGATGTTAGTGCAGAAGGTAGTGAGGGGGCACCACAGGGAGATACTCAGTGACCAGGCAGCAGAGGCCCAGTTTGGGGCCACGCTAAACCCACCCAACAGAGCAATGGGGTCTCCTATCAACTTTGCAGGTTACAGAACAAAGTAAAACCCCACCTCAGACCTTGAGCCCAATGCCAGAAGCATAGGTGGGTACATCCCTAAGGCGGCTCCCCAGCCTAGGCTCCAAGGAGGCAGCGTGGACAGGATGTGTGATGAGATGCGTGAGAACCAGGCCCTGCCATTGTGTGACTTTTGCTGCTCGGGGAATGAGGTAAACACCTGTCTCCTGAGGTTACCTAGAAACCAGGTGAGACCGAAGCACTTGTCATATGTTTGCAGCTGCTGCAGAGGCAAAGTGAGCTCACCCAGACTCTGTACCCGGAACTTCTGGGTCCAATCCCTGTCCCGCCACATCCAGTCTTTCTCAAGTTTCTTATCCTCTAAACCTTACTGTCTTGAGCTGCAAAACACCTGTCTTAGGTGCTTTGTGAGGGGAAAGGGAACAAAAGAGATTGCCCATAGATGGTCATTTAAAAATTCTAGTGAGACTCTCTTTCACCCACAGTCCTATGTGGCCAGGGGTCTCCCCTTCTCCACCCTCAACCCTGTCCGGGCAAGCGTAAAGGGTGAATTGTAAAGGAGGCCCCAGGGCCTGGTGCATGCTGGAACAAGCATTACCTGACTCCTTCCACGTTTTGGGTCTCTGCTCAAATAAGTAATCCTCTGCAGAGGCCTTCCAGAACTCTCTCTACTCTAAACAAGTCCTCTCTCTGCCCCTGTATTTCCTGTTTGGGTCCCCTGAAGGGCTCTGGCGTAGTACCGATCATCATTTGTAATGATATATTTTGGTAGGTTTCAAGTTTATTGTCTGTATTCCCACTATAGGGCTCCAGGGGCAGGGACCCACCTGGCCTTAAAGCAGTGTGAGCCCTGGGACTCCTGAACCCACCAGTAAGAGCCATTGGTTGGTGGAGACTCAGCAAGTTTGGAGAATGAGCTGTGCCCACAGGATCATATCTTGCCATGGAGGAGATGAGATGGGTCAGGTGGGAGGCACTGAGGACAGGCTTCCTCGACCAAGGCCCATTGACACAGCAACTCCAAGGAGCTCTAGATGGAGACTGCGGTGCTCCTCATGGGGGTGGGCCACAACCCTGTCTGGGGTTCCCGTTTGCTGGCAAATGTGCTTGCTTTGCGTTTTAGGAGACAGCGCAAGAGTAATATCATGAGCGTATGTGTGTGTTTGTGTGTGTGTGTGTCAATAGATGTATGTGTCTCTGTGTGTGGTTGTGTGTACACACCTTTTTTGCATTGGTACCTGTGGTTGTGTGTGCATCTGTCTGCGTGAGTGATTGTATGTGTGATGGTAAGTGTATGTGTGTGTGCATATCTGTGCTGTGTGTGTGATTGGGTATGCACATGTCTTTGTGTGTTGGTGATTGTGTCTCTGTGATTGTGTATGTGTTACAGGGGAGGGGAGGCTGTGTGCTGCAGGGTCCAGAGCAGTGGTCCTGCGGGGATGGAGTCTCATCTCTCTCCTGCTCTCCTCTGTGGCTATCCACTGTGTCCCTCTTGTCAGCGCATCTGTCCCAAGTCACTTTGCAGGTTTTTGTCACTGGCTGATGAAGAGCAGGTGGTCATGGGGAAGGAAGGGAGGCTGAGAAGTATGGGGTGTGCAGAGAGCAGGAGCCCTTTCTGGACACTGTGCCCACCCTGTGGCCTTCCCACTGGAAGAGAAACACCTCATTGGGGAGATCAGAACAAATATCTAACCATCATCTCGCACTTCACCTTCAGCCCACAGTGGCTCTGGGCGGGCAGGGGATGCGGGCTCCCGGCCACCTCCTCGCCTGTGTGGGGAGCTGCTATGGTGTTTAAGCAGGCTTCCCTCCCTGACCCTCTCCCTGTGATCAGATGTCACAGGTCTCCAAATTCCACCATGAGAGGTTCATTCTTTTAGTTGCCTCCTCCCATTTGATACATTGCTTTTTATAATTAAATAAAAATAAATGTTGTTCATGTATAATTTCATGATTTTAACCATGGAACTATATTCTATGTGTGGCAACCACCACCACAATCAGGGTACAGAACAGTTCCACCGCCCCCAAAACTACATCATGCTGCTCTTTGAAGTCACACCTACTACCCACCCCAGCCTTGGCAGCCCTTATCTATTCTTTATCGTTACAATTTTGTCTTCTCCATCATGTCATACAATTTTTTATTTTATTTTGTTTTAGAGACAGGGTTTTGCCATGTTGCCTAGGCTGGTCTCGAACTCCTGGGCTCAAGCAATCCTCCCATCTCAGCCTCGTAAAGTGCTGGGATTATAGCTGTGAGTCACTGCACCCGGCCTCCACAATGTCATATAAATGGAAAAGAGTACATGGCCTTTTGGGTTTAGTTTCTTTAATCTCATTTGCTCTGAGAATATGTGTTGGGCAGTGCTTGTGGCTGCAGCATTTACCCCGAGATAACTTTGTCACAAAATATCTTTTATTATTTTCACATTGCTTAGTATATCAACTTTGGAAATAACAGACATCATTCTATTTATAGCATTCTGTTCTTAGTAGTGGTATTTCCATTTACAAAATATAGTAATTCTTGATCGCTGAAAATGTCAAATCCTAGAAATATAGCTCTCCTACGCGTGATATTAACATCGCTCTGGAACAGTTGTTGGCCGAAGATTCAATTGATGCATCCGATTTTTCCCAAATAGACGATTTTAATGATTCAGACAATTCTGATGTTAGTTCTGCTTTGAAATAACTACAAGAACAGTTTTTATATTTTATTTTCACATTGAAAATCATTCAGATTTGCTTCAGCTTCAAAAAGCATGTTTCTGTAAAATTAAATGAGCACTGGCAGCAAGCTGCACTTTTTTGATTCTAAATAAGAAAATTAACTTCGTATAATGCATCTAAGAATCACCCAAGCTACAGGTTCCTTTTTGTTTTTGCTTTTGTTTTTGTTTTTGTTTTCTTTTCTTTTTTTTTTTTTTTTTTTGAGACGGAGTCTTGCTCTGTCACTCAGGCTGGAGTGCAGTGGCGTGATCTTGGCTCACTGCCACCTCCGCCTCCCGGGTTCAAGCGATTCTCCTGCCTCAGCCTTCCGTGAGTAGCTGGGATTACAGGCTCCCGCCACCACGCCCAGCTAATTTTTGTATTTTTAGTAGAGACGGGGTTTCACCTTGTTAGCCAGGATGGTCTCTATCTCTTGACCTTGTGATCCACCCGCCTCGGCCTCCCAAAGTGTTGGGATTACAGGCGTGAGCCACCGTGCCTGGCCTCTACTGTTTATCGGTTCACCCACTGAACAACAACCACCGTGGTGTCATTCCAGTTTTGGGCAATTGTGAATACAGCTGGTATAAGCATTCAAAATATGCTTTTCATGTGAATGTATTTTCATTTCTTATGGGCAAATACCTGGGAGTGGGATTGTTGGGTCATATGGTAAATGTGTGTTTAACTTCGTAAGAAACTGCCCAACTATATTCTGTATTAGTTTTACCGCTTTACATTTATGAAAGACCTCACTACACTGCATCCTTACCAGAACTTAGAGTTCTCGGGTTGATTTGTTTTTCTCCAAGTCATTCTAGTAAGCATGCAGTGGTATCTCATTGCGGTTTTAATTTCCATTTCCCTAATGACTAATGACATTGGACATCTCTTCATGTGATTATTTGCCAAATAGTCTATTGGGCAAAACGTCTGTTCGAGCCTTCTGCCCATTTAAAAAATTGATTGTTTGTTTCTTTTTCTTTCTTTTTATTTTTTTGAGATGGGGTCTTTCTATGTTGCCCAGGCCAGCCATGGAATTACTGGGCTCGAGTGACCCTCCTGCCTCAGCCTCTGGAGTATTTGGGATTACAGGCAAATCCTGATTGTTTTTAATAAATTTTGAGCGCTCTTTATATATTCTAAATACAAAGCCTTTTTTGGATATGTGAGTTATAAATATTTTCTCTCAGTTTGTAGCTTAACAATGACTTTTGCAGATCAAAATTTTAAATTTTAATGAACTTTAGTTTATCAATTTTTTATTTTAATGGATTGTGTTTTGGGTGTCAAGTCTAAGCACTCTTGGCCTAACCTCAGGTCATGAAAATTTTCTTCTAAAATTTTTATAGTTTTACATTTTTATTATGACCCATGTTGAGTTACTTTTTAAAAATGAGGTGTGAGATTCATCTTGAGGGCCAATTTTTCATGTGGATATCCAATTGTTCCAATACCATTTGTTGTTGAAAGACTGCTGATTCACACACTTGCCTTAGCAACTTTGTCAAAAATCGTTCATCATACATGTATGGAGAAATTTCTGCCAATAACACACTTATCTTGATTACCGTAGCTTTACAGTAAGTGTTAAAATTGAGTAAAGTGGGTCCTCCAACTTTATTATTCCTTTTCAAAATCCCTTTGGCTATTCTAGTTTCTTTGCCTTTTCATTAACATTTCAGAATCAGTTGTCTATGCCTATAAGAAATTCTACTGGGCCGGGCACTGTGGCTCACGCCTGTAATCCCAGCACTTTGGGAGGGCAAGGTGGGCAGACCACCTGAGGTCAGGAGTCCGAGACCAGCCTGGCAAACATGGTGAAACCCCGTCTGTACTAAAAATGCATAATTAACCAGGCGTGGTGGCACATGCCTGTAATCCCAGCTACTCAGGAGGCTGAGGCAGGAGAATTGCTTGAACCCGGGAGGCAGAGATTGCAGTGAGCCACAAGCTGAGATCACACCATGGCACTCCAGCCTGGGCAACAAGAGCAAAACTCTGTCTCAAAAACAACAACAGCAACCAGAAACTACTGGAATTTGTATTGGGATTGCATTAAATCTATAGATCAATTAGAGGAGAATTGGCATCTTAAATGTACTGAGTCTTCCAATCTGTGAACACAAAATGTCTTTCTACTTATTTAGATATTCTTTGGTTTCTTTCATCAGTATATATATATTTTTAGTTTTCAACACAAACATGCTGTGTGTTAGACTTATACCTAATTATTTCATTTTTGAAGCTTTTTTTTTTTTTTTTTTAAATTCATTTCCAAGTGGATATCCCTAGTATGGAGAAATCCAATGGGCTTTTCTGCGTTGACCTTGTATCTTGTGACCCTGTGGAACTCGATCATTATTTATAGGGAATTTTAAAAAATACATTTCCAGGGGTTTTTTTACATGGACAATCATGTCATCTATGTATTAGAGCAGTTTTACTTCTTCCTTTTTAATGTATGTGTCATTTATTTATGTATTTAGCCTTATTACATGGACTAAAATTTCAAGTACAGTTTTTAACAGGAGAGCGAACATTCTTGCCTTGTTCTAGAACTTAGGAAGAAAGGATTCGTTTTTTCAACATTGAGTATGGTTCTGGCTGTAGGTTTTTTGTAGGTGTTATTTGTCTGGCTAAGATTTCCTTCTTGTCCTAGTTTGATACAATACTTATTATGAATGGACATTGAATTTTTTCACATGCTTTTTTTCTACTTCACTTGATATGGTCCTGTGTTTTTTCTTTAGTCTGTTAATAAGGTGGATTTTCTGTCTTCTGGAAGAGATGGTGTAGAATTGGTGCCAGTTCCTGAAATGTCTGGTAGAATTTACCAATGAAACCATGTGGGCCTGGAGACTTCTGGAAAGTTTTAACTATGAATTCAATTTCTTAGATACAGAGCTATTTAGGTTGGCAATTTTTCTTCCCTGGGGTGAGTTTTGGTAGTTTGTATCTTTCAAGAAATTGGTCCATAGCACCTCTCTCTTGAGGCACCTACTTCTAAATACTCTGGGGACCACTCCGCATTTCTACACAATTGATCTCCTATAATGACAGATAAGTGCTTTGTTCCATAATCCACTACAGAGCCAAGTAGTCCCCTATGATTAATTTCCTTTCTTGTGTAACTTTTTAATTTTCCTAGAGTTTATTCCCTTTTGCCTCAGTCTGCCGTCTACACAAGCACAATTGTTTCCAGGATCTCCTTCCCAGTCAGTGTTCTGCCAGGGCTGCTTGTCCCTGGAGCCCAGACTCCCCCGGCCTCTCTGCATTTGGCTCCCGCCTTGCTGCTGCCCTCCCTGGGCTCGTGGCCCTGCGGCTACACAGGGGCTTTGGGAGAGAGTCTCTCTGCTATCCTGAGCTGGAGTCTACATTTTCGAGATCACATGTCTTCCTCTTTCTTTGGCTTACTCCCTTATTTTTTTGAACCCATCCTTAGGAAAATGATTTTTAACTCATTATTGCTGGACTTGTCAAATCACTTGCCTACAGTAGATATCACACTTTTTCTACACGGAAACTTTTAAGCAGCCAACAGTAGCATCATGATCCCGGGTCGTAGGTGGGGGGTCTGCTGTGGCCAAAAAGAGTGGTGGCTGAATCCTACAGTTGGGAGCAAGGCCAGAGGAGGAAGTGAGAGGAGGAAAGCTGACCCGCGCTCTCTCCGACTCACTGCCCGCCAGCTCTCCTCCCCACTGACTTCCCAGCGAAAATCAAGACCTCGCGCTGGAGCAGGACTTGAGACTTATTTCTTGGTCTGAGAAAAAAAAAATGAGCTGAAGGGTGGAAAAATGAAAACAAAAGCTTGCTCCTTTCCGGCCTAGTATGGCCTGGGAAGTCAGCCCATCAGTGTCAATTTAGCTGCCGATTCGGATTGATTGCCTGGGACTGCCTAGAGTCCAGGTTGAGATGGCTCCTCAGTCACTCTAGAGCTTGGCATGAAAGGACACCATGATTGACAGGGGTATCTGCCCTCATCCTAGCACCAGGAGTGTTCACTAACCCTGAAGTAGAGATTTTAATACTAATGCATGAAGATGAGCTGAAACAGCAGGGGCTTGTGAATCATTCAGATCTATTGATCTGAGATAAATACCGCTATCTAAAATGAGGTATTTCATAAAACAGATATTTGGTGCCTACAATGGCCCAGGCACTGGGAACAAAACAGACAGTGATCTTGCTTTGATTTTAAGAGAGAAGCTCTGGATCTGAAGTTGGCAGGCCAGGGTAGCAATTTGAGCCAAGCTCAGCTGGTCTGCTGTGCTAGTCAGGGCCAGACTCAGCTCATCTGGACTGGCCTTGCTCGTTTGTCTGTAGTCAGCTGCCAAGCTAGCTGGGGCTGGTTGGTCTAGGGCAGTTCATCTGGTGCATGCAGGCTCTGCTCCGTGAGGCCTCTCATCCTCCAGGAGGCTAGCTGGGGCTTTTCTCATGGTGGTTGTGGTGGTGGTGATGGTGGTTGTAGAGCACCAAGACTGAGCAGAAGCTCACAGACTTCTTGAGACCCAGGCTTGGAACTGGAGCATGACTTCCACTGCATCCTGTTGGCCAAAGCAAGCCACAAGTCCAGCCCAGATATGAAAGGTGGGAAAACAGACTTCCTTTTTGATGAAAAGAGAGCAGAGTCTCCTTGCATATGGCGTTGGCACAGGGAGGAAGACCTGGGGTGATTTTTGCAAATCCTCCATCATAGTGACGCAAAGACTTACTCCCACAGGCACCTGTGTTTAGACAAATGGGTGGAATCAGGGCAGGGTGGTGATGGGGAGGTTCTCCTGGCATCTTCTGCTTTCTCTAGCAGCCTCCACTTCTCCCTGGCACATTCAAGAATGAGATCTACATCCTGTCAAGGGCAGCCCTGATTGCAGAGGAGAATGGAAGTCCCCTTGCTCCCTTGGGGTCATTTCTGGCCCTGGGGGCATTGGGCAGTGAGTGTAAAGGGCCTGATCCACACCATGGCCCGCTGGGAAAGGAGACGTGGCCAGCCAGTTCAGTGGTTTCTTGGGCTAGCCTGGAGTCTTTCAATCAGGAACGGATGTCCTCCCAGGTCTGCTCACCCTGGGGAATCCTATTTGGCACTAGACTTGATTGCAGGCAGATCGAGCCAGATGCCTTTGAAGCTGCTCCCCTTCCCTTTGGGTACCAGCCCTCCCTCCATATGCTGGCTCAGACCTGCCTCTCAGCCAGCGGTGCCAGGATCAGGGTCCATTGTTTGGGCACAGCTGTTGACAAAGGCCTGACTGTGCTGGCCACTCTCCCCTGACCCATAGGGGCAAGGGTTTGTGCAGCCCTGGGGCTCCAGAGAAGACTCCCAGGGTGGGTTGAACTTTCTTTATCCTTTCAAACTCCCTGCCAGGACTTTCCATGCTCTTCAGTAACTGCCTGAAACCTAAAATAAGGACACGACACACATTTTTGTTAAAGAAAAAATAAGCACCCATAATTTGACTGGACCCAAACCCATCCATTTGCACAAGTCTCAAGTACAATTTGTAACTCAAGTAAGTAAAATGTGTATCTCAAGGAAGTAATCATCTCTCCTCCTGTATATAGGAAAATGTGTTCCTCTCTGGACACCAGAATCTCTCAAAGGAGGCAGCCTCGATGGGAAGTGAGACCCAAGGAACTCAGCGTGGGGCTGGGTGCCTAAGTACTAAGATTGAGACATGACAGTTGTTCACATCAAAGACCAGAGGCATGGGGGATATTGGTGGTGACTGGGAGGGAACTGGAAAGTCCCCGAGCCACCCTTGGCCCCGTTCTTGCCATCTGGTTGGCCACTATCTGAGACGTTTCCCCGTCTGCTGGAGATTAGTTCCCTCTGGACCTTAGATGGAAGGGGAGGGGGTTATGAGCTCTGGAGCAGCCCTTTCCCATGCTCACCCCATCTCTGAAGGAGGGGCTGGGGTCAGAGAGCAAGACCAGCAACTGGTTGCATTGTCCAGAAAGCCTCAAC
Source organism: Homo sapiens (assembly GCF_000001405.40). NCBI lineage: Eukaryota > Metazoa > Chordata > Mammalia > Primates > Hominidae > Homo > Homo sapiens. The sequence continues at coordinate 112,150,282 of NC_000002.12, forward strand.
TGCCCCTGGGGAGCTGAGAGCATCAGATGACTCCCGGGCTGATTTGAACAAAAACAGAGGACCACTGAGCTCCAAGACAGGGGTCTCTGCTGTACCAGAAGAAAAAAAAAATGCATCCAGAGAAGCATCAGACTGTAGTGTAAAAACATACAAACATGTTAGTATCTCCTGAACGGGTCAGTATCACCTCAGTCCTCCTGCAATTTAGGCCTTTTCTCTGATTGCATGACAAAAAGAATCTAACTAGTAAGATAATGTGCTCATTCCACAACTATGTCCTGAGAGGCTAGCACAGGAAAAATGCTGTTCTGGGAGGCCTGAGGCAGCGTAGCACGTGGTGAAGACTCCCAGGCCTGGCTTGATCTTGGCTCGGATCCTTCCTGGTTGACTGATCTGGGGCAAGTTCCTGCCCCTTGTGAATCAGTTTCTTCCTCTGAACAGTGGAGATAATAGACATTCCCATCTCATGGGGTCATAGTTGAAGAAAATGAATAATATTCAAAGACCAGGTCCATAACAAATGCTAAATACGTGACAGGAGAGAGAAAGATGCAGCTGACACAGTCCCCACTGCCACTTAGCTCACCAAGCAGGAAGAGAAAAACCAGACAAATTAGAAAAGTATCAGAGGGCCAACGATTGCCTAAGCGGGGTGCTGCATTGGAGGGTGGCCACGAGCTACTCCAGGTTAAGCAAGCAGGTAGGGAACTCTCTAAGGAGGGGACTTCTAAGTCGAAGTGGAAAGACAACTCTAGAGGACTCCACTCTAGAGGACCTGGGGGCAGATTCTCCAGGCAGAGGGCCCAGCCGGTGCAAAGGCCCCAAGGTGGGTGTAGCCTGGGGAGGTTCATGGTAAGAGGGCCTGGATTCCACTGGCAGAACGGATTCCGCTGGATTCCGTGGGCAAACGGGAAGGGAAGGGTCAAATGATGGCGGTGTGCCTGAGTACATTGTCAGGGTCCGGGGTCTTGGAGTCTTTATTCTTGGAATAACTAACATGAATGGTGATGATGGCTAAATAAAAAGTGGGGTGTGTTTTCTGATTTTCCTACTCTCTCTAGGGGAAAATCCCAAGTGTTTCTGAGTGGGTTGGCAGTGGTGCAACAGAAATTATCCTCTCCTGTACCACGGCAGTCCTGTCACATCTCCCCTCCCTGCATCCTCACTTGCTTTCGTAAAATCTGTATTTCCCAAAGACAGAGGTCAGAGGCCAGGCTGCATCACGCCCCTGCCTACATCCCACAAGTCTCCTCGCCGCTGAGAATAAAGGGAAACTCCTCACCATGGAGCTGACAGAATGTATTAGTTTTTCATTGCTGCCTTCTTTGATTCCTTTTTATCTACTAAACTTTCTCTCCCTTCTATATTCATATTGTGTTAAATCCCAAAAGGAAATAGACAAAATGTGCTGCCATTTTTGCTGGTAGGAGGCTCTCAGGTTGTGAGATGTGAGGAGAAGGCTCATATACCCGGCTTGTGTACCTAGGAGGGGATTGCAGCTGCTGGATGCCATGTGTGTGGACCCCAAGCTCCTTGCTTGGCTTGGGCATTGGGGACCTCAGAGACTTGCTGAAGATAATACCGAGGCTGTGAAAGGCACAACCCAATCCACAGGTGCAGATGGCCTCTGGACAAAGGTTAGCTGGGCAGCAAGCAGGTGAAATGGGGAAAGTGAGTTTGGTGGTAAGATGAGCAAGAGATTGTCTTTGGCTCATACTGACGCCATTCCTTCACTCCTCATTCACTCGTTCACTCGTTTGTTCATTCAAATGGGCATCTAGTGTACTTTCAAGGGGATGCTGTGAAGTGAGAGGATGAATGAGGCAGGACTCACGAAGGTTCTCTGTGCACCCCTCTCTAAGGTGAGTCCGGCCATCTTGTCACACCAGCGGCTGGAGAAGGCACACTGGGTTTTAAATCCTGGATAGGCCACCGTGGCTCAGAGACCTATGCGGCTTCCGCCCCTGCCAAGTGGGTGTTGTAATGGTGCCACGTCCTGCGCTGTCATGGGTTCCTGTGTGAAGTGTGGCCGCAGTGCCGGCTCTGGGCACCCGCTGTTTTTGTCATCGCTCCTGTGGCTGTTTTAAAAACCAGACTGGAATTGCGCATGGAGTGTAAATGTAGAGTTACAGGCAGCCAGCAGGGTTCAAACTCAAAGTACCCTGAGCATCCTGGGGTGCAGAGCCCCAAAGGGAGGCTCCAGCTGGAGGGCTGGGGTGGTTAATTTTATGTGTCAATTTAGTTAAGACATGGTTTCCAGATATTTGCTCAAACACCAGTCCAGATGTTGCTGAGAAGCGATTGTTTAGATACGACTAGCATTTAAATCAGCAGCCTTTGAGAAAAGCCGATTCGCCTCCTAGTGTGGGTGGCCCTCATGCAAAAGACTGAGGTCCCCTGAGGAGGGAGTTGGGCCTCCACACTGCCTTCTGCCTTTGACCTTGAGCTGCAGCATCACCTGCAACTGGCCCTGGGTCTCCAGCCTGCTCCTGCCCTGCGGAGGTTGGACTTGCCAGCCCCCATAACTGCTCGACAGTTCCTTAAAATTCCTTAAAATTGGACTTGCCAGCCCCCACAACTGCGTGACAATCCCTTAAAATCTCTCTTTCTCTCTCCATATATTAATAAGTATGTTATATATTACAATATTACATATGTATACGTATGCATGTGTGTGTATATATAATATATATCTCTTTCTTATTGCTTCTGTTTCTGTAGAGAGTTCTGACTAATCCAAAGGCCTCAGGCAACTCCCCAAGTGAAATTCTCTCACTTCCTCCAGAAGCACCCACTTTCTCTCCTCATATATGTGGGTGCTGAGCAGAGGTCTCTGGCATGAAGAGTAGTCGAGGATTTATAACCCGCCTCTGGCTCAGTTGAAAAATAAAAATAAGTTCTGTAGAGAGCACATTCACGAATTCGACATGACTCAGACGCTGAAGACTCCGAGCCTTGGCCAGCAGGCTCACATTTGGTAAGTTGCTCGGTCCTTTCAGAGACCTAAGGCATCAAAACATCTGTGTTCCCATTAACAAAATGCTGACGTGACGCATAGCTGTGGCTTGGGAGAAACCAGCGTGGGAGACGGCCCCTCCAAGTCTAGGGGTCATCCGTGGCCATCGGAGGTCTTGGAGCTCTATTGTCACCAAAGAGGCTCTCAAAAGGTGTCACTGTACCAAGACTGTCACTGTGAGGAAGACCATCGAGCCAGGTTACAGGAGAACAGAAGCCCCAGGGACCAGTCCCCATGTTTCCGTACATACTCCTGAAGCTTCTCTGTACCCTCTGTTGCCTTCAGAGCAGGTTCGGAGTGAGCCCAAACAGCATGGGGGCCTGGATGGGATGAGAGGGGTCAGGCCTGCTGGCAGGGGACCGGGTGAGCCGGGGGACACACACCCATCTTTGGCTGTGTCCACCCTTGGACCAGGAGGTAGGGTCTGGGGGTACGAAATGTCTCTGGAGGCCCAGCCATCCTGCAAGTGGTAGTTGGTTCTCAGAGGAAGGGAGCCTGGTGATCTCTGAGGAATCTTCCGTGGACCCGCCGGAGTAAACACTGTGCGAGAAGGGGCTGGAGGGGAGATGGACAAGAATTCCCGGAGAAGGGCAGGGGTGGATGGAGCGTTCCATGGGCCTTCTTGCTTCCAAGAGCCTTAAAACCAGCTCCTCCCCTCGCCCAGCTCTCAGCACTGGTCTGCGTCTTCCAGAACCATCCATGCCACCTCTACTCCAGCTTGGAAAAACCTGGATGGGGTGACATCTGTTGTTCCTTCTCTAACTGGTTCTCTGCAAACATTGCCATTGGTGTCAAGTTAGATGAAGTACTCACCCCTTTAAAGAGTTTCATAACAGAAACGGTAAACCTTGATATTTTTCTACTCAAAGATGGAAGGTTTCACTGCATGTCTCCTCTTAGTTCCATTTCAAAGAAGTTATTAATTCAAAGAAATGGAAACTATTCGTCATTATTTATTGTCAATGACATAAGTTGGGCCACGACTGGTTTTGAAGGGATGAAAATTTATACCATTTGAGGGGATCTCTCTAAGAAAAAGATTTAAAACGGGGCGCCTCAAGAGCCCTGGAAGAGGCCTGGGAAAGTGAGGACCCAGACATGGCAGCTTCCTCAGCTTCGAGGGGACGGCCTCTGGAACACGCTCTGTCCTTCCTGGTGTGCAGGGGCCTCCCCTTGCTGCCCTGTCTGGATCTGACCTTCACCCACTCCCACCTTGGAGAGTGGGAGGTCAGCTTCGAGGGCTGTGCGGAGCCTGGGGTTGCTTTTCACTGTTGGGACCTGGAACCCTGAGATGGGAAAGCCTCACCCAAAAGCCAGCCCTTCACTGAGCAGCAGGTGGACAGCCCTTGAGGGTCCGGCCGGCTTCCTGTCCATCCCATAGCCCCTCACAGCACCCTTGGCCTGACCTCAGCAAGGACCACATGTGCATGGAAGGAAATGGCCTGCTTCCATGCATGGCTCAGAGCAGGGGAGGGTGGTGGGTTTGGGAGGGGAATGGCAGACAACTGTGGCTGTGGGCAAGGAGCCCCCTGCCCAGACTGAAAAGAGTGCATTGAGGAATGAGAATTGAGACTCAGAGACAGGCCGGTTGCTCTGCTCGTTAACATGAAAATGATGCCACAGCCAGTGTTGAGGGGAAAGAGCTGACATAGAGCCTGCATCCTGTGGGGCTGCATGGTGACGTCTGTGCAAGGGAGCACCTGTGTCTAACCCAAGACTTGAAACCCAACGAAAAGTTAACAGTGGTTGTCTCTGGTTGTGGGACTTGTTCTTTGTTTGAATGCATTTTTCTGTATTTTGAATTGTTTTGCAGAGATTATGCTTTCTTTTTATGATCAAGCAAAATGATAAAGCTTTCTCAGCTTGGAAAAAGGGGGCACTGGGGTCTCAGGCCCCTCACATGACCTCATTTGTCCCCATAATGTGGGTCTCATGGGTGCATGTCTTGGTATGTAAGGATTCCAGCTTCATCATCTAGCTTTGCAAAGGAGCTCGGTGATGCCTGTGCCTATACCAACTCAGGTGACAGATGAGCATGGCATCCAGGACCTGCCCTGTTAGGAGCAGCTGCAGCTCAGACCCTCAAACCTCATGTCAAAGGCACGGATACTCTCTGCTTCTCGGGCTCCCTGGCCCCAGCCCCGGCATGCTGGCTTGCCGAGAGCAGCAAGATGCTTCCTTGTACCACGCTCTGTTTCATCAGCCTCACCCCAGAGAGGTTGGAGGCTGGGATGGGCCACAGCCTCCTCACCTTCCCTCGGCAAGTCAGCCTGGAGCCTTCCTGTCTCCCTCCCCGCCTGGGACGGAGATGCAGCCTTGGTTTGCTTGGTCTTGAAGATGTTTAAGGTTTTTCCGTGGTAACTGGCAAGCTGGGCACATCTCACCCTCAATGAGCACCGGGGAGAAAGCAGCTGGCGCCTGTTGCCCACGGAGCAGGAAGTGGCACCGGAAGCAGAGGGCAGTTGTGCCTGGAGCCAGCAGCACTGGGGTTAGAAATACTTGGCTGCCCAGCGGCCAAGTAGAAGACAAGACCCTGTCCCTCCACACACACTCCCCTGCTTCCTTTACTTCCTGGAGCCCCAGGCCATCACCCCAGGTTCCTGGCAGTATGCTTGCCCTTCCCAGCGCAGCCTTTGGCACAGATTTCTCCCGGCTTCAAAACTGAGCCCTCCATGTACCCGGGGCAGCTGCGGCTCCGCGAACCCACTTTCAGCTGTCAGGGCCTGGCCAGCTCGTAGCGCAGGAGGCAGCTGTTCGCCTGGCTGGATGTGGGCAAGGACGTCTCCTCCACCTTCCCTTCACGCTTCCTGCCCCCGCTGCCCAGGTGCCCAACCTGAACTTTGCACGGGAGTGAGAAATCTACTGTGGGGCATTTGGGCTCAGTCCTATCAATCCCTAGTGCAAATTCATCAATAAGATCATTCACCACACAGGAGCCTGTGAGAACAAAGGAGGCAGTCCATTGGGGTGGCCGGCGGGGCTGGGTGGGAGTCAGACTTCCTGGCCTGGCTCTACTGCTCCTAAGCCCCATGATTTGGGGGAAGGTGTTTGACTTTCAGCCTCCATATCTTTCTCTATGAAATGGAGACAAGCCCCGTTTCTCCACGGGGTTGCTGCCGGCCAGTAGCTGAACTATTCTTTGTTACAGCGAAGAAGCTCTTTGTAGACTGAAGTACACAAATGCAATTGACATATAAACCATGAAGTCATCTATAAAAGCAGAGCCCCCCTTTTTTAAGGAAGGGGACGTGGGTGTGGGAAATCAGGTTTGGGTGGCAGGGCTGCACGGTGCTGGGCAGGTACGGGGTTGCAGGAGGTCGCTCCTGAGTGCCCCAGGACCTGCGTGGGAGGGACCACAACGTGGGAGGAGGAAGGAAAACAAACCAAACTTCTCTTCCGAGCAATTGCGTTTGGGGCTGTGCCTGGTCAGGCCCTGGGTATGGTGGAGGCCCAGGAGCCCCCGGGATTAACGAATTCCAGGGGCAACTGGGGATTCAACTGTGTCAAAAGCATCCATTCAGTCTGGCCAGTGAGTCATCTGTTTGGTGAAATCTCCACGGTGCAGAGGCCTGGCAGCCTCCCTGGGAGAGCGGCAGTGGCTCCATTCCCACCGCGGTGGTGGTGGTGGTTGTGGTTGTGGTGCTTCGTTGGTGAGGCTGGAAGCCACCCTGGCTGTGGGGGCCACACACCTCCCTGCCACTTTACTGTTCCACTGTATTTTAGAGAGTTTTTTTGAATTATAAAACCAATACTCAGTAGAAAAAAAATTAAGTAGAAAAAATAAAATTAAGACTGGGTGCGGTGGCTCACACCTGTAATCCCAGCGCTTTGGGAGGCCAAGGCAGGCAGATCACCTGAAGTCAGGAGTTCGAGACCAGCCTGGGCAACATGGCGAAGCCCCGTCTCTACTAAAAATACAAAAATTAGCGGGGCATGGCGGTGGGCACCTGTAATCCCAGCTACTAGGGAGGCTGAGGCATGAGAATCACTTGAACCCGGGAGGTGGAGGTTGCAGCGAGTTGAGATTGTGCCATTGCACTCCAGCCTGGGTGATAGAGTGAGACTCTATCTCATTAAAAAAAAATTAAATTAAATTAAAACATAATCCATAAGCCTATCCCTAAAGATAACCATCATCGTCTTGATGTGTCTCCTGTCTCCTGTGCAGGCAGCAGAGTCCAGGCTGTGCTGTTGTAACACACAGCCCCCAGTGAATGTGAATGGCCTTAGTAGAGACCTGCTTGCTCCACAAGGCCGAGGTCCCATCCCTCCCCACTTGATTCACCCCTCCTTTACTATTTTTCATGTCCTGGCTCTTTTTCTTAATTAGGTAATTAATTTTTTTGAGGCAGGGTCTCACTCTGTCACCAAAGCTGAGTACAGTTGTGCAATCATGACTCACTGCAGCCTCAACCTCCCAGGCTCAAGTGATCTTCCTGCCTACAGGCGAGCACCACCATGCCCAGCTAATTTTTTATTTTTTGTAGAGACAGGGTCTCAGTCTGTTGCCCAGGGTGGTCTTGAACTCCTGGATGCAAGTGATCCCAAAGTGCTAGGATTACAGGCGTGAGCCACCGCACCCAGCCTGTCCTGGTTCTTTGGTTCTTTTTTTTTTTTTTGAGACGGAGTCTCGCTGTCGCCCAGGTTGGAGTGCAGTGGCGCGATCTCGGCTCACTGCAGGCTCTGCCCCCCGGGGTTCACGCCATTCTCCTGCCTCAGCCTCCTGAGTAGGTGGGACTACAGGCACCCGCCACCTCACCCGGATAATTTTTTGTATTTTTAGTAGAGATGGGGTTTCACCGTGTTAGCCAGGATGGTCTCGATCTCCTGACCTTGTGATCCGCCCGCCTCGGCCTCCCAAAGTGCTGGGATTACAGGCGTGAGCCACCGTGCCCAGCCTGTCCTGGTTCTTAAAGGCAGTTGAGATTGGAAATATTTAGTTTGGTTTTGTTGTTGTTGTTGTTTTTGAGATAGGGTTTCAATGTTATCCAGGCTGGAGTGCAGTGATGTGATTGCAGCTCACTGCAACCTCCCTCCCAGGCTCAGGCAATCATCCCACCTCAGCCTTCCAAGTAGCTGGCACTACAGGCATACATCACCGGGCTCGGCTAATTTTTTTGTTTTTAATTATTTTATTTTATTTTATTTATTATTTTGAGACAGAGTCTTGCTCTGTTGCCCAGCCTGGAGTGCAGTGGTGCAGTCTCGGCTCACTGCAACCTCTGCCTCCCAGGTTCAAGCGATTCTCCTGCCTCAGCCTCCCGAGTAGCTGGGATTACAGGCACCTGCCACCATGCCCGGCTAATTTTAAAAATATTTGTAGTTGAGACTGGGTTTCACCATGTTGGCCACGCTGGTTTCGAACTTCTGACCTCACATGATCCGCTCGGCTCAGCCTCCCAAAGTGCTAGGATTACAGGCATGAACCACCGAGCCTGGCTGAATTTTTAAATTTTTTGTAAAGATGAGGTCTCACTATATTGCACAGGCTGGTCTCGAACTTCTGGCCTCAAGCAATCCACCCACCTTGACCACCCAAAGTGCTGGGATTACAGGCATGAGCCACCGTACCCGGCCAGGAAACCTTGAGAATTTTAGCATTAAGTAGAATGCTGGCACCTCCGGGGAGTGGCCATCTGCCATCTAGAAGACATCACCAGAAACTAACACTGCCGATGCCTTGATCTTGGACTTCTAGCCCCGGAACTGTGAGGAAATAAGTTTCTGTTGTTTGAACAAGCAAACAAAAAGTATGATGCTTGATGCTGCTTTAAGTTAGGTAGCCTTTATCATGATAAGCATGATCCTCCATTTTCTGCCTTTCTATGGCTTAAAAAAAAAATCATCAGAACTGAACATTGACTTTTATTGAATGCCTCTTTAACTCTAGTGAGTTTTTTTTTTTCTTATTTCCCATGTTATATGTCTTTAAAGAATAGGAACCATTGGGCATTCCTGTTTTGCCTGTTTTACATGTATTATTGGCCCTTTGCTTTTAAAAATGTCTAAGAGTGACAGAAAGAAAATGTTTGCCAAGGCCCAGGGTTTTCAGAGCATTAACTTAGAGTGAAGAATTAGAGAGAATCTCTCAGAGTGGCAGCGTGGTGATTATAAGGCTCTTTGGGTTCAAATAACTGTTCATCCACCCGGTCATTTAGAGTCATCCGTCCTGCCTGCATTTTGTTTTTGTCAAGGGGTGAACTGGGGCTACCATGCATGTACTTGGGGCTGTCCAGCGGCAGGTCACTTTTACGTTGCGTTGAGTGAGCTTCAAACGCGGTTTGGACCCCGTGGCTTCGGCGATTTCGGAAGCTCAGACAAGCATGTGGGACTGAGTCAGTCTCAATGGGTGGTGGCGGCGATGTCTTCTCTCCGCAGAACTGTCTCAGCAAACAGCAGCTCCTCTCGGCCATCCGCCAGCTGCAGCAGCTGCTGAAGGGCCAGGAGACACGCTTCGCCGAGGGCATCCGCCACATGAAGAGCCGGCTGGCCGCGCTGCAGAACTCTGTGGGCAGGGTGGGCCCAGATGCCCTTCCAGGTGGGTCCCCACGTCGGCACCGCTGGGGCGGCAGCGCAGCACTCGAGCACTCTCCCCGAGACGCTCCCAGCTGGAGGCCCCTCGTCACCCCTCACCCTTCCCCCATCACCTTCCATCTTCCAACTGTGGCCCCCCCTTTTTTATTTATTATTTATTTATTTATTTATTTTTTTGAGACGGAGTCTCGCTCTGTCGCCCAGGCTGGAGTGCAGTGGCGCGATCTCGGCTCACTGCAAGCTCCGCCTCCCGGGTTCACGCCATTCTCCTGCCTCAGCCTCCCGCGTAGCTGGGACTACAGGCGCCCGCCACCACGCCCGGCTAATTTTTTGTATTTTTAGTAGAGACGGGGTTTCACCTTGTTAGCCAGGATGGTCTCGATCTCCTGACCTCGTGATCCGCCCGCCTCGGCCTCCCAAAGTGCTGGGATGACAGGCGTGGGCCACCGCGCCGGGCCAATCTGTGGCCCATTTGTAAGCCTGGTTGGTGGCAGTGGGGGTGGGGGGAGCACATTAGAAAGGCAGCTGCCCCCTTTCTTCTCCCTCAGCCTCAATGTCACCCCTTTTCTTCTTCAGCCTTTTCATTCTGGCCTTAACAACTATCACGTCTTCATACGGACCAAACTGTTGCAAGGCGCCACTTTTAGATCACGCACTGCTTTTCCCTTCCCCGTCCACAAGTTGGATCCAGTTTTGGTTTTGTTTTCATTTTTGATTTTACTTTAAGATAATTTTTTAGAGCAGTTTTAAGTTCATAGCAGAGTTGAGTGGAAAGCACTGCGTTCCTCCACACCCTCTGTGCGTGCACACACACGCGCACGCACACGCGCACGCACACGCACACGCAGACGCACGCACACGCACACACGCACGCACACACACAAGCACGCGCACACGCACGCACACGCACACACGCGCACGCACACACGCACGCACACGCAGACGCACACGCACGCACACGCACACACGCACGCACACACACGCACACACAAGCACGCATACACGCACGCACACGCGCACACACACACACACACACTCAGCCCGAGCCAGTGCAATACACTGGTTCCAGTCCATGACCAAGGTTGGCTCCAGTGCTTCAGGCGTGAAAGTGCACCCTCCAGGGAGTCCCCGTTAGTACCAGGACGGTTGGGAGGGAAGGGCTGCTGAGGACAAGTTCCACTTGTCTGATGAGGCTACAGCCGACACCCCAGACTCCCTCCCATGAGGGCAGGACTCTGACAGACACAAGGGCACTTTTTCATGCTTGCCCTGTAACAGCTTTCACACCGCCAAGACCCAGAGATGGGCGGCTGGTTTTCCTCCGGTGTCTTAGGGTGCTGGGGGACAGGGGCCAGTCATCATGTTCATTCAAAGTCAGGAGCCTGTGGAATATCTGACATCATTTACTCACTGCAGACACATTTATCAAGGGCTGTCTTTGTTGAGTGAGTTGAAGTTTCCTGGGGAAGGCGTTGGATTTCCTACCTTCTCGGAGATGATGGTGGCAAATCCAGCTCTCAACGGCACTGAGTCCGTTCCTGTTTTCCTTGGCTCCACAGCTGCAGAAATAACCACCAGCCAAGCCTCACACTTTCCAAGGCACTGTGAGGCCCAAGCCCTCACTGGGGCTCCACACACCCCAACTCCATGGTGCAGGCAGGGTGTCTTTCCTTCCTGCCTCAGATGGGGAAACTGAGGCCAAGACAAGTAAGTTAGCGGTCAAGGCCTGACTCCACAAAGCCTTCCTTGTTTTCATGGGGTCAGAGCTGCCTGCGGTCCCTGGGAGTTTCAGTGGAGCCCACAGGGAATGTTATACAATTCCCCTGCCCATGTGAGAGGGCCCTGCCCATGTGAGAGGGCCCTGCCCGCTAGACAGATAGAAAGGCAGTTATTATTACATTATTCATCCTCCTTCCCAAGATTCAGGGGCTTTCATCTCTGAAATGTACAACATTTTTTAAAGTGCCAAATTCTCTTTTTAAAAAATCGCCATCATGTATTGTATTTCTAAGTGTGTGGGGGACCCCGTGCTGGGTACTTTATGCGTGCAGAGGCTGATCCTGTGACAGCCCTGCAGAGGACAGGCAGCTGTCAGGATCCCTTTTCAGGGTGTGGTGGGGGTTGGGCCCGCACCTGGAGGAAAGCCAGACACCTGCCCAGATCAAATGGCACATAGTGGGAAAACTACCTTATTGCTTTTTAAAAGAGAGACAAGGTCTCGCTCTGTCACCCAGGCTGGAGAGCAGTGGAGTGATCCTAGTTCACTGCAGCCTCCCAGGCTCAAGCGATCCTCTCACCTCAGCCTCCTAGGTAGCTAGGATTACAGGTGCACACCACTGCACCTGATTTTGAAAATTTTGTAAAGATGGGGTCTCACTATGTTGCCCAAGCTGATCTTGAACTCCCAGGCTCAAGCGATCCTCCAGCCTCAGCTTCGCAAAGTGCTGGGATTACAGGCGGGTGCTCCTGTGCCAGGCCTGTTTTGCCTTTTTTTTTTTTTTTTAAGGGAATTTGCTGGGAGTCAGGAAGAATAATTTCCAGTTCTGGAGAATTCTTGGTCTTCCTCTCTGGCTTCCATATGAAGTACCTCCCTCCTGTTTCCTGGGTGCATCATCACAACCCATCAGCTTCAGGGTTCATCCAGAGCAGCCTCAGCGGATTCATGTCCCCATGTTGCTGAGACTGCTTAACTGTGGGTCTCACTCCTTACATGCTAACTTCACCTCGGAAGGCGCAGGGAGCTTCGCTGTGGCTCTGCACACTCAGTAGGATGTGCTTCTCGCCAACAGAATCAACCAAAGGACACGTTCCCCTTCTGTCACTAGAGAAGGGCCTTCAGCTCCCATTTGGGATGTGACTACAAATTGATTTTTAATTAATTTGTATCCATTAATCCACTCCATTCACATTTATTAAGCATCTATTAAGTGCCAGATACTGTTCAATCTATTCAGGTATGGTGTATTTGTGAGTTGCAGGTAGTTTTCTTTTGTCGAGGTTTTTAAAGATTTTTCATCCCCAAAGAGACCCTACTATTTTCCCCCAATGCATTTTAAAACTCTTTAACGCAATAAAGTACTAGATGTAAAAAAAAAGAACTATAAAGTAATTTATTTCAGAGGCTGAGGCAGAACCCCGGGAGCAGCCGAGTCCTGGGATGTGAGCTCTCACTCGCTTGCTACTCACAAGGTTATTACCACTGGGGGCCAACTTGGAGCTTTACTCAAGGAAGGCGATGCAGCAATGGGCAGATATTCCCCAATCACCAAAGGCCACCGAGCATCCTCGGAGGGTCCGGCACCTCCCTCCGCCCCAGCTCAGGCTGCCACGGCTGCTCCTCAAAGAACCCTAGGTTGTGTCCGGCCCAGGTGGGATTTTGGGCAGGGCTACACCATCCTGCCAGCTGCACTCCTGGACAGGGAGGCCCATCACGCTCCTTAATGGCCTCTGGTCCAGGACACCCCTGATCAGTGCATCCTCATGGGGGATGCTCAGTGACTCTGTCACTTGCTTTGACCTGCACAGTTGAAGCAACAGTTCTGTTTGTGCCTGTTTAAAATATGAACATGGCAAATGACACTTGGAATTTACCTTAAATGCATTTTAGAAGTGGCTCTGAATTTCCATCTAAACTGAATCCAAATCCAAGCCATCCTAACTTTGGGCATTCCCTCGTCGCCCATGCGTGATGCTCTGTTGCAAAAAGAAGAGGAACAGGCTAGCTTCACCCCGTCTCTCTCCAACCACATCAGTCCTTCGGGAAATCTTCACAGAGCAGCCAGGATTCGAACCATGTCCCTCATGCTCAGCTACTACCCTGGCCTGAGCTTCCCTCCCCTTCCTCTTGTACGGGCACTTCACAATCAAACCGCAGCAGGAGTGCTGCTGAGAGAGACCTCCAGAGGCCCGGTCTCACACGGAGAACAAGTTGCATGGCCTTTTTGTTTTCTTTCCAATGCCCCGTGTAACTCTGAGCTGTCTTGATCCTGTTGCCTGACTCATGTCTAACTACTTTCCACCTCGTCCACTCTATTCCAGTCCTGTTGCCTCCTTGACATTCCTCAGACCTGCCAGGCACATCCCCACCTCAGGATGTTTGACCAGCTGTCCCTCTGCCCTCCCCAGACATCTGTCTGGCTGTGCCTTCACCTTCAACTCGTTCTGGTGAGGCCTGCCCTGACCACTGTATTCAAAATGATGCCCTCTCTCCAGCATCTCCAGCATCATTCCCTGCTTTCATTTTCTACATGGCCCCACACTTCGCCATTGCTTATTATCTCCCCTGCTAGATGGTGGGCTTCCTGAGGGTTGGGTTTTGTCTATTTTGTTCATGGATATAGCCCAAGTCCCTAATATAGTGCCTGCCTAAGTCCCTAATATAGTGCCTGGCACATAGTAAAGATGCAATAAATAAGGCTCCATTCATTCATTTGTTCAAGAATGATTTATGATTTATCCAGTATTCACTATGTGCCAGGCAGTGGGCTGGTGCTGGGGATACACAGGAACATAGGCCAGATGCATTCTGATGGAGAGGACTGACCGCATATCTAGAAAGAGGCAAGTCAATAAGAAAGTTCGGATGGTTACAGATACTGAGAAGACAGCAGAGTGAGCACCTGGGGAAGAGTGTCTGGGGAGGTCTGGGTTAGGCACGGTGGCCAGGGAACACGCGGGGAGGTGGTGGCATATGAGTGGAAACCTGGAGAGTGAGAAGGAGCCAGTTGTGGAAGCTCTGAGGAAAGAACATTCCAGGCAGAGAGAAGAGCAAAATCCCAGGCCTGGAGCTGGGGCTGAGCCCGGCCTGTTCAGGAGACCTAAAGAAACCCAGGGGGGCTGGAGCCCCAGAAAATCAGAGTGAGTAGGTGGCAGTGATGAAGCGGATCATTGCAGGGTGGGCCTCCCACGCTTCGAGGCCTTGCACACAGCACTTAGTGTCTCTGAGCCCCAGTCTCATCACCTTTTGCTAAGCAGGCATCGTACCACCCATCCCCAAGAGAGCTTTGAGGACTTGATGAGACGCAGCATGCAGAATGACCAGCACAGTGCACAGCCTGCAGCAGGCATGCAACAGAGGGCACTTCGAGATGGGAAGTCCTGTAATTCAGTAATGTCTAAGGGCTGTGGTCCAGGATGAGGAGCTCGTAATCCTTCCATCTCTCCTTACAGTTTCCTGCCCGGCTCTGAACACCCCCGCAGACGGCAGAAAGTTTGGAAGCAAGTACTTAGTGGATCACGAAGTCCATTTTACCTGCAACCCTGGGTTCCGGCTGGTCGGGCCCAGCAGCGTGGTGTGTCTTCCCAATGGCACCTGGACAGGGGAGCAGCCCCACTGTAGAGGTATCGTCTCTCCTTCCCATCCCACTGCGCTGGACCCATCACAGTATAGCAAGGGTTTCTTGCATAGAAAGGGTCATTCCTTGGAACATTTTCTGCTTGGTTCTTTAATCATTCCTCAACCACAGAACAGCAGCCAATGTGCCTGATCACTCACCTCCATGCCAGGTTGGCGCTGGTCTCTATCTGTATGAGCTCACTATATCTTCACAATAATTTAGTCTTGTTTTGCATATGGGGAAACTGAGGCACACAGAGGTTCAAGAACTTGCCTAAGGTTACACAGCTAGGGGGTGGGCGGCACAGTTAAGATGCTTGGCACCTGGACACTCTGACCCCAGAGTCTGCGCTCCTTCACACCACTCTCTGCTCTGGACACCAGTGACTTGTTCTTATCAATGTGAGGGCAAGAAGCTGCTCATGGGTTGGGGAAAGGGACCAGAGGAAGGTACTGCAGGATGATGCTGCTGTGGCTGCTCCGTTCTGGGCCTGCAGTCTGTCTGTGAGGCTGCTGGTAACCTCTGGGGCTGAGGAAACTCCTCAGGTGTCCTTTCTGTCTGCATTGGGACTTGGTATCAAGAGGCTCCAGGAGAGTCCACTGTGTCGGGGAGGCATGAGAAGGCTTCTCTCTGTGCTAGGTTTAAAAACAGCACTTTTTTGATATAGAGGAAAATCAGCCTTGGCACAAAAATCTGTTGGCTTTTCAAAAACCCATGGTCAAAAAAATCTTGGCTACCATTCACCAGTCATTTTCAGAGCAAGGTTCGTGGGACATCTGCTGAGGCAGAATGTCCATGATTCTAGCCAAAGAGTTGAAGGAGAAACACGGACATTATATAAACAAGAAGATTGCAAAAGCAGAGTAGAGAGAGGACTTTGTTTTTGTTTTTGTTTTTGTTTGAGACGGAGTCTCGCTCCGTTGCCCAGTCTGGAGTGCAGTGGCATAATCTCAGCTCACTGCAACCTCTGCCTCCCGGGTTCCAGCGATTCTCCTGCCTCAGCCTCCTGAGTAGCTGGGACTACAGGTGCCCACCACCACGTTCAGCTAACTTTCGTATGTTTAGTAGAAAAGGGATTTCACCATGTTGGCCAGACTGGTCTCCAACTCCTGGCTTCAAGTTATCTGCCTGCCTCGGCCTCCCAAAGTGCTGGGATTACAGGTGTGATCCACCACACCTGGCCAAGAGAGGACTTTGGATGCTTAAATTACTTGAAAACATAGAGGAACTCCAGAAAGTATGCCATCCCTAAAGATGAGTATGGATTGCCATGAGAAGCTCAGGGAAACCAGAATCACATTTACAATTTAGGCTTCTCTTTCCTGACCCCTGGAAAGAGTGATGATGGTTCAAAGGTTGATGACTGGCTCTCAGACCCACCTAGGAACCAGTCAGGAAGTAAAAGTCATGTAACATGCGAACAAAACAGGGGAAATGCCAATATCTGGTATTTACTTACTTGACTCTGAAAGATCTCAAGCCAGGTTAAGCACCTCCTGGGTGATAACCCATGGCGGGGGAGATGGGTACACACAGATATTTCATTTTTATTGTTTTGGGTGTCAGTATTTTTAACTTACAGATTGAGTTACAGACCCTGGTTGGTTTCCTTCTCGGTCTACTCCGCACTTTCAGGACCCATTTGCATTGCCACGTGCAGTCTGCTCCAGTGCCTCTGATAGCTGCCTCGTCCTCTCTGGGGTGCACCCCCACATCTGATCTGTCCACCCCCTGCCATGGGCACCTGATTGCAGTCAACTCCCGGCCACCACAAACAATGTTGACAAGGCCTTCTTATCGCCCTACTTTGTCTCTGGGCTGTGTATCTGTGGCTGGAGAGGGCCTACTGGCTTCAGGCTCGCTTTGAACTGAGCACTGCCTGCCACTCAGCAGAAGGGCTGCACCTGCCCACGCACCCCCAAGCGGTGCTGCAAGCGAAAGCACATCTTACTTATGTGTGTGCTGTTTTTTCTTGCTTGCTCAGATATTATCCAAATATTCTGTCCTCAATGGCGACATACTACAATGCACATCATGTGATTAAAATGAAAAGATGAGTTCATCAGAGATGATAGCAGAAAGAATGCCTTTTTAGGGAGATAGATACAAAACACTGGAGGCCCAGGAACATAGTCGTGAGAAGTGACTCAAGCAAAGGAACATGTGGTTACTTGACAAAGGTGGAGACCCAAAGCGCTCCCCACAGTCCATCTCCATCCTAGTGGCTCGCCAAGAATGCCTTTCTAGAGGATCCTGGGTGTGTCCACGAGCTTCCTTCTTGACCTTGGTTGCTTTAGTTATGCATTTGCACCTGCCTCGCTGCAGCAGGACCCCCTCAATGGAAAAGAGGGTCCTGCCGTGTCCTAACTTGTGCCATGATCTCAAACATTCAGGTCCTCCAGAGTCACCCAGGAAGCTCATGAAAGATAGATTCTGAGGTCTCAAAAGACCGATCCAGTCGGAACTTTTATAGATGAGACCCAAAACATCTGCATTTTTAATATGTTCCCTAAGTAATACTGCTGTTAACTAAATTTTGAGAAGCACCACTTGGTTCGTTCTTGCTATTGCCAGAAGCAGAAAATATATTGAAAATTTTGAAGTGCTAATGCATTTTGGGCCCAAACCAGTCAGAATGACTGCCAGCCACAGGCAAAACAGTAGACAGATGTATGTGTGTCATCTCTGTCCAGGAAAGACACGTTATGTTATGTTATGTTATGTTATGTTATGTTATGTTATGTTATGTTATGTTCACTGCTACTTGCCCTGATGTTTTGGGAAGGCCAAGCCAACTCTTACAAAGATCAGAGCCCACAGCCCTGCTGAGCAGACTTCCCTTTCTTGAGATGTGGAGGGCGGACTTTGCCTGGAGGACCATGGTGCAGAGCAGACGGTCCCACCTGCCAGGCGTCCAGCAAGCCTACTGACCTTTCCCGTGGTCCAACGTGGTATCCTCCCGAGTCTTGCCCTTGGACGTACCAGTTCATTCCAGATGCACCTTGTGCTCGTCTCTCATCTCCCCATAGCCTCCTGCATAGCCCTTTTTCCTTCTACCCTGACTTCCACACCAAAGAGCTGCATGATGCAGCCCACCTTCGGGATGCCTACTCAGACAGCATGTGCTATCAAAAACTTGGGAAGGACTAACTCAGGGAACAAGGTGATGGCCAGTCCAGGATGAGATCTTAGATGGAGATTTTTCTTCTCTTGAAGCATAGATGGGGCCTGGGCATTGACCCCATGGTGGTGATTGAACAAAAATACTCATGTGTTACAACCAAGCTGCTCCAGCAGCTGCTGGCCACGGCCCCTCCTAAGTGAGTAGACTCTGCCTGCACCGACACTTCTGTTCTCAGCAGGAATTGATGTGATTCATGGTTGTTGTCTCCAGCAAGAGCCTCAAAGCGGTGTCAGCCAAACTTGCCAGGAGGGAGAAATAGTGCTCCTGACTGCTGTTTGATGACCAATTGTGACAGTATTAAGGGTGTGGACGGGACACAGGCTGGAACTCAACAATCTAGTGACCAAACCTAGAAACTTACCAGCAACCACTGAGCACACCCACTGCATGTTCCAAACCACCAGTCGTGTGGTTGCCATGTGTTATGACCACAGAGTGGGGGTGGGGCATAATCTTCTTAATTACAGAGAATTCATTTCAAGGCCCAAAATATCAGTGCCAGTGACAAATTTGGCAGTGCTGTCATAATTGTCCCTCACTCCAACTCTAGTCAGCTGCTTGGAAAGACAGTGATGAACCCAACTTGGCAGGGAAGGAAATTGTGTGTACACAATTACGCCATTAAAAAACAGCAGGCAGGCCAGGAGCGGTGGCTCACGCCTGTAATCCCGGCACTTTGTGAGGCCAGGGCAGCAGATCACCTGAGGTCAGGAGTTCAAGACCAGCCTGGCCAACGTGGTGAAACCCCATCTCTACTAAAAAATACAAAAATTAGCTAGGCGTGGTGGTGGGCACCTGTAATCCCAGCTACTCAGGAGGCTGAGGCAGGGAGAATTGCTTGAACCTGGGAGGCAGAAGTTGCAGTGAGCCGAAATCACACCACTGCACTCCAGCCTGGGTGACACAGCAAGACTCCGTCTCGGGAGAAAAACAAACAAACAAAAACAAACAAAACAAAACAAAAAAACAGCAGGCGTAGGTGGACTCCAGAACTCCAGAGTGGAAAGCAGCCACTTGGCTTTCTCCATTTCTCCTTTATTTTCCTTTTTTCCTCCTCCTTTCTCTGAAGGCCATGTTTTTAAGACGTAAAGCTTTCTGAATTGGTAACCATAGCTGAAGATCTTGTGCCTTTGACAACGTGGGTAACCAAAGAAACGAATTTGAGAGATATAAATACCGTTGTCACTTATCGTCATGCTGGTGGAAAGGAATCTTTGTCAGTCGTCCCCACCCTTTATTTTTAACCTTCATTCTTTCATTCAGCCAATTTTTACTGAGCACCAGCCATTCACAAAGCTGGTGCCAGATGCCAGGGACTCAATGTCGAATCCCACAGACACGACCCTGGCCTCTGGGGTGCACAGGCTAAGAGGGGAGGCAAAGCAAAGCAGGCAGCCACACACCAAGGGAAGCGAGCTGACGTTTGTGGTGAGGGCCACACATGACCTAACAAGGGACAGAGTAAACAGCACGGGGCAAGGAGCAGTTGAGGGCCTCTGAGCAGGGGACAATGACACTGAGATGAAAGGAGGAATGGGATCTAGCCAGGCAAAGAGCAGGTAGTTGGGCAGCACAGGGCAGACACTGTTTTAAGAAAAGGAAGAAGGGGCCAGGCGCGGTGGTTCATGCCTGTAATCCTAGCACTTTGGGAGGCCGAGGTGGATGGATGACTTGAGGTCAGGAGTTCGAGACTAGCCTGGCCAACATGGTGAAACCCCGTCTCTAATAAAAATGTAAAAAGTTAGCTGGGTGTGGTGGCAGGCGCCTGTAATCTCAGCTACTTGGGAGGCTGAGGCAGAAGAATCGCTTGAACCCGGGAGGCGGAGATTGCAGTGAGCTGAGATCGCACCATTGCACTCCAGCCTGGGTGACAAGAGCAAAACTCCATCTCAAACAAAACAAAACAAAACAAAAACAGAAAAGAAAAGAAAAGAAAAAGAAAAGGTGAGTGGATCACTTGAGGTCAGGAGTTCGAGACCAGCCTGGCCAACTTGGCAAAACCTCATCTGTACTAAAAATACAAAAATTAGCCGGGCATGGTGGCATGCGCCTGTAATCCCAGCTACTCTGGAGGCTGAGCTGGGAGAATCACTTGAACCCGGGAGGCAGAGATTGCAGTGAGTCGAGATCATGCTACTGCACTCCAGCCTGGGTGACAGAGTGAGACCCTGTCTCGAAAGTGAAAAAAAAAAAAAAAGAAAAGAAAAGGAAGGAGAATGAGCAAAGACCCCCAGGGAAGGGAAGAATTTGGCACAATTGAAGAAATGAAAAATGAAATTATAGAACCTTGTTGCTGGAGATTATATGAGCTGAGAGTGAGCCAGGTGAGGTGGAGAGACACGCAGGCCAGCACTGTAGTCATGGGCCATGCAGGTGGTGGGATTTTAGTTCTAAGCCCAATAAACAGGGTTAAGACAAGTGTCGCTGCTGCATAGAGAATGCATTGGAGATGACAAGAATGGAAGCTGGGAAAACACATAGGTGGCTATTGCAGAAGTCCAGGGGAGAGATTGTGGCAGCGGAGATTCTAGGTATTTTTAGAGACAGAACTGATGGAATTTGCTGCCATCCCATGTGGGCTGTGAGCCAGGAGGAGAAATCAAGGCTCCCAGGCTCAGGCTTGGATGATGGTGTGCCGGGTGTCATTTACAGAGATGATGAAGACTGAGCGATGGATGTGGTTTGTTTTTAAACAGCTCGTGTGTGGGTCATTGATCAGAATTCCATTTTGGACATATTACGTTAAAATGGCTGTGCGACAGACACCCTAGTGGAGATCCATTCATTCCACCCTAGATGGGTAGACATCGTCTGGAGCTCAAGGCAGCAGAAGGGTTGGAGGTACCCAGTTGGGAGTTATTTGCATAAGATAGTACTGAAATCCATAGGCAGTGGAAGGAGGACCTGCAAGGAGAGGATGGAGACAGAAACGTGACTCAGGCAGAGACCTGCAGGGCACTGAGAAGTCAAATGGAGAAGGAGGAGGGCGAAAGGAGACAGGAGGGGCCGGGAGAGGCAGACTTCGGGGAGGCTGTGGAAAGCAGGGCCAGTGGTGCTGGATGGAGTTTTGGAAGGGCATTTTGCAGTGAGAAGGGAGCAGAGCTTCAGTCCACCTCACCTTCTGTATCATGAGGCCTTTCCCCCGAGACCTTTAAAAAAAAGATTTGAGTAGAAAGAGCTGCCTTTTAAATATATAGTAGACACTCAATAAATAGTTACTGAGTAACTGACTGGCTGGCTGATTTACCAAATGATTAAATTAATGAAAAAAAGATGAATTTCCTTCTAGTCTTTTATCTAAGCACATACACATACATCCAAGTCGCACATATTCAGTATCATCTGTGTATAGATATTAACGTGAGCAATTTTTCATTACCTCTTCTTTCTAAATGTAACTCTTTATGATTAGGAAGCACTTCCTCCTAAGGGCTATTCTAGGCTTTATTAAATGGCACAATCTTGGCTCACTGCAAGCTCTGCCTCCTGGGTTCATGCCATTCTCCTGCCTCAGCCTCCCGAGTAGCTGGGACTACAGGTGCCCGCCACCATACCCGGCTAATTTTTTTGTATTTTTAGTAAAGACAGGGTTTCACCGTGTTAGCCAGGATGGTCTCGATCTCCTGACCTCATGATCCGCCTGCCTCGGCCTCCCAAAGTGCTAGGATTACAGGCGGCGCTAGCCACCGCACCCGACCATTAAGCATCTTAAAAGATTTTTTCACTATGGAAAGTTTCAAACACACCAAACTACAGAGAATAGTAGAATGAACTTATGTACCTAAAATCCAGTGATTAACACAGCAAATTCCTTAACATCATCAATATCTAATTAGAGTAAAAATTCCCCCAATTGTCTCACACTTTTTTAACACTTTGTTTGAATCAGGGTCAAAATCAGTTTTATAACTTAGAATTGGTTGATAATGTCTCTTCTGCCTCAGCGAGTGTCACTACCATCCTTATCTGATGTCTGTTTAGTTAGAGCAATTTCCTGAGTTTTCCCACTTTCAAAAAGTGTGCAGCTTTTTTACTGGTTGTTAGTTCCATTGGATATAAAACACCTATCTCACATTTTTCTTGAGTATCTTATGTCACTCTGTGTCTTCTGTTTTAAACTGATGCTATTGTGCTACTATATTTGTCTTTTTGCCTGAATGCCCCCAAAATATATTCTTTTTCTTTAAAATTCAGTCATTTGATTAGGATCTGTCTCAGTGCCAGCCTTTCTGGGTCAGTTTTCTCAGGTATGGAATTCACCTTTTCTTTTTCTTTCTTTTTTTTTTTTTTTTTTTTTTTTGAGACAGAGTCTCACTCTGTTGCCCAGACTGGAGAGTAGTGGCGCGATCTTGGCTCATGCAACCTCTGCCTCCTGGCTTCAAGCGATTCTCCTGCCTCAGCCTCCCAAGTAGCTGGAACTACAGGTGCCCACCACCATGCCCGGCTAATTTTTTGTATTTTTAATAAAGACAAGGTTTCGCCATGTTGGCCAGGCTGGTCTTGAACTCCTGGCCTCAAGTGATCCACCCGCCTCAACCTCCCAAAGTGCTGGGATTACAGGTGTGAGCCACCACACCTGGCTGTAAGTTCGTCTTTTCAATAGGAAGTTTCAGTGGCTGGAACAGCCTGCCCCACAGGAACCTCCAAAATTTTCCAGGGCAAAGTCTTAATATTAAGGAGACTTTAACGGGAGGAGAGTCCAAACTGTGCACAACAAGGAAAATAGGTGCAAATGAAAGAGATGGTCATCCAGACAAAAGTGCAAAGGAGGCAGAGCTGAGAAAGTGTGAGGCCCTGTGTTTGCTCACGTTGGAAAAACAACAGAAGTGAAGTGAGAATTTCAGAGTCATGAAGTTAGCAAAGCTATATGGAAAACATTTCACTTAATTATGAGTAATGAAAAGGATTCTTGACAAATTCCTTAGAGGATATTATAAAAAAAGAGTAAAATTTCTATAGACAATAAAGAAATGCCGGAAAGACATGGCCATAAAACAGATAAAAACTATAACCTAGAGTATCACAAGCTGAAAGAAATGTTTAAAAGATAAAAGCAAGGAAAGAACAGTTTAGATAAAAATGAGAAAACACTCAAAAATGAGGTGATTGGAAAAATGAAAAACAGGAAATGAGTTGATAGAACCCAGGAAGGAATTAGAAATAAAAGAAAAAAGTCAGGAAGGAATTAGAAATAAAAGAAAAAAGTCAGGAAGGAATTAGAAATAAAAGAAAAAAGTTCGGTCATGCATATAAAATCCTTAGCTAGGCTTCATGAAAACAGTAAGATGAAACTTACTTACGTGAAGTTTCACCTTCACGAAACAGCAGATGAAAGCAGAATTATCATCTGGGCTTTGGCTTGCCAGCCCCTGCCATGCACTTGACTGAATGCCACAGCCTGGGACATACGTGCGTGTGATGACAACTGTACTTCAATCAGGACACAGAGTGGGTGCCGGGCTGGACATCAGGCCATTGGATGCCTCTGATTGCATATCAAGATAACAGATAAAGAGAGTCTGAATGCAGCCTGTCTAGAAATGAATACACTGGGTGGATCCAGAGAGGGAGACAGAGTGTACGGTCCTGGGACAGCTGTGCGTTTCTCTGCTGCACCGATGATCCCCAACACCCATCCACATGGTTCAGGTACAGATCAGGCTCAATGCCTTCTTTTGGCAGGCAGCAAAGGAGAGACCACAGCACTGGCCCTACTGGGGCCAAGCTACAAGATACTGGTGTTCACATTTTCTGGCTCTCTGCCCACAACTTCACGGCCTAGTGATCTGCCCACTTCCAGACTACGCTGGTGGGCAACCATGGAGCTGGACAAGGGATAACAGTAACCCCAAGCTCTAAGCAACCCCAAGCATTTGTGTACAGTCATTTCAGACACATTCCTGGAAACCGGTCTTCTGCAAACAGAATGTATGAGGGACAGTGCAACCAGGCTGAGGTTACTGAGAAACTGAAATGGCTCCTTCTCTAGGGATGAGCAGCATTCGGGTGGTCTGTCTTTTTGCAACAAATAGAAACTGTTTAAGAGTCTAATGACATCCCAATCTCCAGGAGGCTTAAGGGAAGCCTAAGTCCCTCCCATTCCACCCAAAACAAGTCTGTCGTTCTCATTAGGAGCAAAGCACCTGTTTTTCTTCCTCTTGATAGACACACAGGAAAGGCTGCTTTTATGCCAACAAGGAGGTGTTTTCAGTTTTCTTTCCGAAGATAATGTGGTCAAGTCAGTGAACTGACAAGCCTCTCTCTGATGGAAATGGCCTATTTCTGTGCACTAAAACTGGGCTTAGGGAATTCATAACAAGCACATGTGGCCTATGGGGTTTTTTTTGTTTGTTTGGTTGGTTGGTTTTTTGTTTTTGAGACGGAGTCTCATTCTGTCACCCAGGCTGGAGTGCAGTGGTGGGATCTCGGCTCACTGCAACCTCCGCCTCCCGGGTTCAAGCGATTCTCCTGCCTCAGACTCCCAAGTAGCTGGGATTACAGGCACATACCACCATGCCCAGCTAACATGTGACCTCTAGGTTTTAAAACAATCATTTTTTTTCTAATTAAAAAAAATGTATACATGATTATTATGGGAAAAGGGAAGAATACAAAAAATTATAAACTAGCAAAGAAAAATCACCTGTAAGCCTACCACTCAGAGAAAAAAAGTCTACTGAGCTTTTTAAAATAACAATCTCTCTCTACAAAGACCTTTTCCACAGAAGTGTCGTGTAGATGAGCAAGGAACGTCTCCCTTTACCAATGTTAAGGAAATGTCAAAAAACTCTTACCTGGTCAAGCACAGTAGGGCTTCTGGTTGGGAATTTGGAGAATTCATTTTCCCCAACCCTGGACATTCCAGTGGGCCATCCCTCCCCTTTATAACTGCACTGAATTTTGTTCCTGTTTAAAAATGTTTCTCCCAGGTGCTGGCTGATGGAGCAGAAGGGTTGTGGGTTACAGGGCCTGACTCAAAGGCAATGTGGGCAGATGCCCACAGGTAGCCACTTCTGTCTGGCTACAGCTGTCTACACTGCACCTTTGCAAATTAGAAAATGGTGCCTGTGGGTGGGGTATGGCCAGCTCATAGGCCAGCTCCTGCATGCAGAGCCCCAGGTGGGCAGTGTGTGCCTGGGTGCAGGGCCTGCTGAATGGAGATGCAATAGGGCTGCATATCAGCCCCATCGGCCCCCTGGCAGCTCTTGCGGGTGGAGAGGGTGGAAAGAGTGGGTGGGGTCAGGTAGAAAGTGGGAGTTCTCCTACAATGTAAAGGAAGTTAACCCTTCATCAGTTTTTTATTGTATTTGTTTTAGACCTAGAACTCACATCCGTATATTTGAAAATTATTTATCTTCCTAGGTATCAGTGAATGCTCCAGCCAGCCTTGTCAAAATGGTGGTACATGTGTAGAAGGAGTCAACCAGTACAGATGCATTTGTCCTCCAGGAAGGACTGGGAACCGCTGTCAGCATCAGGCCCAGACTGGTATGTAGCCACCATGGGGTTAGGTGAGGACATCCTGCTGTGGGGAGAGGAGGACCCTAGGCATAGGTCCCCAAATGCAGACATGTAGGGAGCTCAGTCCCCCACTCAAAGATGTAGCTTTTCCTCTCTGTTTCACATCCACCGATCCCTCTGGTTTTCTAAGGTGGTCACTTGACAGAGCTTAGCTCTTTGATGCAACCAGAGTTTTGACCCTTCTTATAGTAGAAAACACAAGCGCAAGAACTGACTCCCAACGTAAAAATCCCCTAGATTGGGAATGTGGCCCAAGAAGTTTCACTGTTGCCACCTTTGCTTGGTCAGCATTTCTTACGCCAGCAGAACCACCTTTTCTTTCCAGTGTTCCCATTACATCTTGCAAAATTAGCAGCTATTGATGCAGGCCCAAGTATTTTGAGAGCTGGATAACTATACATTTGACTGGTTTTGAGATTACTATTCACATCTTGAGTCTCAACATATCTCGACCCAGAGAGTCTAAGAAGTCACGTGGTGCCTGGTTTTGCATATGGCAAGAAAATCCAGTGATAAGGAATCTGTGGAGGATGGACAGGGGTTCCCGCACCATGATGCAACCAAGATTTCATTCAGCCCCAAAGATATCCTATTCCTTAGCCACAAAAGTCTGGTGTGTTATGCCTGTTTGTCTTTATTTCTGTATGAAATATCTGTGGGGGGAAGGGACATTGGGGCTAGTGCAGTGTCCAGTGGATAAGAGCTTTATCAATACTTATGATCCTGGCACTGGACCCAGCCCAAGCTCAGGTTTAAATAGTGCCCCAAGAGATTTGCTGCTTAATATGCCCTGATTCAGTTCAGCTGAGTCAGCTGGCTGGGCACTTTCTCAAAATGAGGCTGTCCTCCCGAGCTCAGAGGCCCCTTACAGCTCCTGTCCCTGGAACTGCTTTCTATGGAAACTGAGGCCAGAGACAGGGCTTTCTTGGAGACCTCACTGCCTCTCCCCTTGTTTACAAACAAGAGGGAAAAAGAAATGGGTTCCCTTCTGCCCTAAATATGCCAGTCCTGGTCACTGAATGTTCTAAACCCCACTCTTTAGGGTTTCCTCCCACTGTGGGATTTTTTTTTTTTTTTTAAGATGGGAGTCTCACTCTGTTGCCCAGGCTGGAGTGTGCAGTGGCACCATCTCAGCTCACTGCAACCTCCGCCTCCTGAGTTCAAGTGATTCTCCTGCCTCAGCCTCCCGAGTAGCTGGGATTACAGGTGTCTGTCACCACTCCTGCCTAATATTTGTATTTTTAGTAGAAACGGGGTTTCACCATGTTGGCCAGGCTGGTCTCCAACTCCTGACCTCAAGTGATCTGCCTGCCTTGCCCTCCAAAAGTGCTGGGATTACAGGTGTGAGCCACCATGCCCGCCCAAGGATCTTTAGACAATTGTTGCTCAGGTCCAGGGGGGCCTGTTATAAAGTGTCCCCATGGCCAGAATCTTCCCCAGGAATGGGAAGGAGGGGAAGCAAGCAGGCATATCCAAAGCCAGCTCCTATCCTCATAGTCTCCATGAACAGCCATCACGCATCTGGGCTCTTGCTCACCTTGTCCCTCAGCCTGACACCTTCCTTCCCATCAGCTGGCCCATGCCTTTCCAGTTCCCTGGAGGAGCATCCCTCCAATTCCTTTTTTAAAAATCCATTCACCCTATTTTTTATGATGATAAAACATATATATAACATAAAATTTACCAGTTTCATCCTTTTTAACTGTACAGCTCAGTGGCATTAATCACATTCACATTGTTGTGCGACCATCACCACCATCCAGCTCCAGAATTCTTTTTGTCTTGCAAAACTGAGCTTCTGTACCCATAACAGGACAACTCCCCATTGCCCTCCCCACAGCCCCTGGTAATCACCATTCATTCTTCTTTCTGTCTCTGTGAGTCTGACTGCTCTAGGGACCTCATCTAAGTAGAATCATGCAGGATTTGTCCACTTGTGTTTGATTCCCATCAATCCTTGAAAAACTTTCAGAAAAATAACATTTTTTCCTGATTAGAAATATAATTTGGCCAAGCATGATGACTCATGCCTGTAATCCCAGCACTTTGGGAGGCTGAGGTGGGTGGATCATTTGAGGTTGGGAGTTTGAGACCAGCCTGGCCAACATGGTAAAACCCTGTCTCTACTAACAATACAAAAAAAAAAAATAGCAGGGTGTGGTGACGTGCACCTGTAATTCCAGCTGTTCAGAGGCAGAGGCAGGAGAATCATTTGAATGCGGGAGACAGAGGCTGCAGTAAGCCGAGATCGTGCCACTGCACTCCAGCCTGGGTGACACAGCGAGACTCTGTCTCAAAAAGAAAGAAAGAGAGAGAGAGAAAGAGAAATTTATGTTCCTGGCAAAAACCAAAAATGTGAACACTTTAGAAAAGTACAAGAAATACAAAAAAAAAAACCAAAAGAAAACAAACAAAAAAAAACCAGGAACAAAAAATAGTGGCCCATGAACAGACCAATAATGAGCTCTGAAATTGAATTGGTCATAAATAGCCTACCAACCAAAAAAAGCCCAGGACCTGACGGATTCACAGCCAAATTCTACCAGATGTACAAAGAAGAGCTGGTACCATTCCTACAGAAACTATTCCAAAAAACTGAGGAGGATGGACCTCTCCCCAACTTATTCGATGAGGCCAGAGTCATCTCGATACCAAAACCTGGCAGAGACACAACAAAAAAAGAAAATGTCAGGCCAATATCCTTGATGAACATTGATACAAAAATCCTCAACAAAATACTTGCAAACCAAATCCAGCAGCACATGAAAAAGCGAATCCACCATGATCAAGTAGGCTTCCTCCCCGGGATACAAGGTTGATTCAACATATAAAAATCAATAAATGTGATTCATCACATAAACAGAACTAAAAGCAAAACTACATGATTATCTCAATATATGCAAAAAGGCTTTTGATGAAATTCAACATCTCTTCATGTTAAAAACTCTCAACAAACTAGGTATTGAAGGAACAGACCTCAAAATAATAAGAGCCATCTATGACAAACTCACAGCCAACATTGTACGGAATGGGCATTCTCCTTGAAAACTGGCATAAGACAGGGATGCCCTTTCTCATCACTTCTATTCAACGTAGTATTGGAAGTCCTGGCGAGAGCAACAGGCGAGAGAAAGAAATAAAGCGCATCCAAATAGGAAGAGAGGAAATCAAACTATCTCTGTTTGCAGATGACATGATTCTATATCTAGAAAATCCCAAAGTCTCGGCCCAAAAGTTCCTTCAACTGATAAACAACTTCAGCAAAGTTGCAGGATACAAAATCAATGTAGAAAAATCACTAGCATTCCTATATACCAACAACAACCAAACTGAGAGCCAAATCAGAAAGACAATCCTATTCACAATTTGCCACACACACACAAATAAAATACCTAGGAATACAGCTAACCAGGGAGGTGAAAGATCTCTATAATGAGAATTACAAAACATGGCTCAAAAAAATCAGAGAAGACACAGACAAATGAAAAAACATTCCATGCTTATGGATACAAAGAATCAATATCATTAAAATGGCTACACTGCCCAAAACAACTTACAGATTCAATGCTATTCCTATCAAACTACCAAAGACATTCTTCACAGAACTAGAAAAAAATTACTTTAACATGCATATGGAACCCAAAAAGATCCTGAATACCCAAGGCAATCCTAAGCAAAAAGAACAAAGCTAAAGGAATCACATTACCCAACTTCAAACTATACCACAAGGCTACAGTGACCAAAACAGCATGGTACTGGTACAAAAACAGGCACGTAGACCAATGGAACGGAATAGAGAGCACAGAAATAAGGCCACACATCTATGACCATCTGATCTTTGACCAAGCTGACAAAAACAAGAATGGGGAAAAGACTCCTATTCAATAAATGGTGCTGGGATAACTGGCTAGCCATATGCAGAAGACTGAAACTGAACCACTTCTTACACCACAGACAAAAATCAACTCAAGATGGATTAAAGAGTTAGATGTAAAATCCAAAACTACAAAAACCCTGGAAGACAACGTAGGCAATACCATCCTGACAGAGGAATGGACAAAGATTTCATGACAAAGATACCAAAAGCAATTACAACAAAAGCAAAAATTGACAAACGGATTCTAATTAAACTTAAGAGCTTCTGCATAGCAAAAGAAAGTATCAAAGGAGTAAACAGACAACCTACAGAATGGGAGAAAATATTTGCAAACTATGCATCTGACAAAGGTCTAATATCCAGCGTCTATAAGGAACTTAAATTTACAAGAGAAAAACAAACAACCCCATTAAAAAGTGGGCAACGTACATGAACAGAAACTTCTCAAAAGAAAACCTACAACAGGCCAACAAGCATATGGAAAAAAAAGCTCCATATCACTGATGATTAAAGAAATGCAAATCAAAACTATCTGGTATGAGATACTATCTCACACCCCTCAGAATGGCTATTATTAAAAAGCCAAAAAGTAACCGATCCTGGAGAGGTTGTGGAGAAAAGGAAACCCTTATACACTGTTGGTGGGAGTGTAAATTAGTTCAACCATTGTGGAAAGCAGTATGGTGATTCCTCAAAGAGCTAAAAGCAGAACTACCACTTGACCCAGCAATCCTATTACTGGGTATATACCCAGAGCAACACAAAACATTCTACCATAAAGACACATGCACTCGAATATTTGTTGCAGCACTGTTCACAATAGCAAAGACATGGAACCAACCTAAATGCTCGTCAATAACAGACTGGATAAAGAAAATGCGGTACATGGGGCTGGGCGTGGTGGCTCACGCCTGTAATTCCAGCACTTTGGGAGGCCGAGGTGGGCAGATCACGAAGTCAGGAGATCAAGACCATCCTGGCTAACATGGTGAAACCCCGTCTCTACTAAAAAAATACAAAAAAATTTGCCCGGTGTGGTGGCGGGCGCCTGTAGTCCCAGCTACTTAGGAGGCTGAGGCAGGAGAATGGCATGAACCCGGGAGGCAGAGCTCGCAGTGAGCGGAGATCGTGCCACTGCACTCCAGCCTGGGCGACAGAGTGAGACTCTGTCTCAAAAAAAAAAAAAAAAAAAAAAACGAAAGAAAAAAAAGAAAAGAAAATGTGGGACATATACACCATGGAATATTACGCAGCCACAAAAAAGAATGAGATCATGTCTTTTGTGGAAACATGGATGGAGCTGGAGGCTACCATCCTTGGCAAACTAACATAGGAACAGAAAACCAAATACGGCATGTTCTCACTTATAACTGGGAGTTAATTGATAACAACTTATGAACACAAAGAAGGAAACAACAGACACTGGGTCTACTTGAGGGGTTGGGGAGGAGGGAGAGGAGCAGAAAAGGTAACTATTGGGTACTGGGCTTAATACCTGGGTGATGTGTACAATAACCCCCTGTGACACGTGTTTATCTATGTAACAAACCTTCACATGTTGAAGGTCTTCAAACCTAAAATTAAAAATAATAAAATAAAGAATACACACACACACACAAAGAAACAAAAAATAGTGGCCCATGGTTTTAAACTCTAGTGATCACCGTTAGAATTTTGGGGTGTTCAAGTCTTTTTAAGTGAAGACGTGGATTTGCCCCAGCTGTCCTTCTCGGGGTGCGGCTTGGTGGCCTGCATTTTCCTGCACCATTCTATTCCAGGGCGCTTCCTTTCCCGCGCCCCCTTCGCGTAGGCCCTGGACGGGTCGTCTGGGTCTGTGGTTGATTACTTGTCTCTCCTTTCCCTACTCCAGAGTAAGCCCTTTGAGAAGGGGCCGTGCCTCCGTCTTGGTTCTGCTCCCGGCCCCTACCCAAGGTCGGGCCCACGGCAGGTGCGCCAGGGCCCGGCACTGAGCGTGTCTTCTCCCCGCAGCCGCCCCCGAGGGCAGCGTGGCCGGCGACTCCGCCTTCAGCCGCGCGCCGCGCTGTGCGCAGGTGGAGCGGGCTCAGCACTGCAGCTGCGAGGCCGGATTCCACCTGAGCGGCGCCGCCGGCGACAGCGTCTGCCAGGGTAGGCGCGGGCTCCGCCAGGACACTGGGGACAGCACGGGGAGGACATGGGGCGGGGAAGGGGCTCTCACCCACCGCCCTCCTGCCGGCACGGGTGGCTTCCTGCGCGCGGTCTCAGAAGGCCTGGCCACTTTGCATTATAGGTAAGTGTTGACCTAGTGATGGCTAGAAGGCAGCTAATTCACAGAAATCAGAGCTCGCCCCGCCTCAGAACCTGGTCCAGCCTATGCCCAAGCCACACGCGCTTGGTTCAGGAGAGCCTTGAGACCCTCCATCCCCTCCGCCCTGGCTGGAATCACGTCTACGGGTGGCAAGGAGGAGCTTAAATCGCCGTGTTGGTAGAGCGGGCCCGGAGCTGGGTAGGGGTGTGGGACTCATTCCTTGGTCCCCTCTGGGCTTAGCTTTCCTGACGGCTCAGTTTTGCTGTGCTCTCCTGATTACCAGAGTTCTCTCCCCAAACAACGCAAAGCAGGAGTTCAAAGCTGAGATCTGGTCAGTTGGTGCTAATAGCCTCATTTTACAGCACAGAAAGGAGGATTCCCAAAGATAAAGAGAGTTAACATGGGGCTGTTAACCCATCCCTACTTTCTGGGAATAGGCTTGATTTGCCAGCCTCTGCAGGGTCTCCCCAGGTGTCTTCAGCCTAAGACAGTGATGCCTTTCTAGGGCCTAGCACTTCAGCTCCCTCTCACTCCTCCTTTTAGCCCTCTGGGCCCTCGGCTTAGGAGAAAGGGAAGCACACCTGCTCCTCTTGTGAGTGCTCTGCTGGGGGTAGGGCATGGCGGCTGCCCGAGGCCCAGCCACTTAACTGCAGCTGCCACTGCCTCCAGGAATTGAAGCATGATTGTTCTGGGTCACAGCTGGCAACACTTGCTGCATGGCTCCTAAAGTCACAGTGAGCACTTCTGTCTGCAGACGTGAACGAGTGTGAGCTCTACGGGCAGGAGGGGCGCCCCCGGCTCTGCATGCACGCCTGCGTGAACACCCCGGGCTCTTACCGTTGCACCTGCCCCGGTGGATACCGAACTCTGGCTGACGGGAAGAGCTGTGAGGGTGAGTGAGGCTACAGAGTGTCGTCTGCACCCAGCCACCTGCTGCTGTGCTGAACCCCCAGGACCTCACAGTCGGGAGTGAGGTGGTTAGGAGAGTCACAGTTTCAGATACATTGGATTTTTAAAAAGCCACCAACCAAAGGGCTTCTCAAAGGTCAGGCCACATTATCATCTACATAAATAGGAAAATGAGTTCCTTAAACATCTTGGCAACTAGTCTTTTCCGACTTTATTTGAGTAAATGGGTTTTTTGTTTTCTTCAAGGTCTGGTCAATTCTACCCACTCAACAATTCCTTCAGCTAGGGCTGGGCCTAAAGGCAGAGTGGCCAGGTGGTCACCCATGTCATGTAATCTGGAGGAACCCATGAGACTCCATGACCCTGTGTCCACCTGTAAGTCCACCTCTGAAAGGGGCAGCACCTTACAGGCACTTATGTCTTAGTGAGGTCGGGCGCTACAGCACCAGCCTTGTCTGATGGTAGCTGAGGACAACAAGGGAGGCGGAGCACCCAGGGAGGGACAAGAGTCGGGGGCATCACTACCCCTGGCTTGTGAGGTACAGGAAGTGAGGGGGCTTATCAGAGCCTGAAAGATTGTGGCTCTGATCAAGGACACAGCCTCCATCAGAACCACATCCAGGCAGGTCAGGACTCCTCAGGCTGGGTCACTGTCATTTGCCAACCCCAGCTAAAAACCAGTCAGCCTCTCAGGTGCAGAGAGTGGGTTGGGGGGCAGCGGCGCAGATGGAAAATAACTGGCTCAGGTTTCACCCCAGTGCTGAATCCTGTCCATCAGCAGTGGTTTCCTGGAGGGCCGGGTTGAGGTTTCTGAGGCTGATTCCTGGCAGAGTGGGAAAGAACATCTTAAGTTGACAAGGAATGTCTGCAGCAGGGATGGGAGGCACCTAAGAGATTAGGAAGGATGTGTGCAGAGTGGGTTGGTTGTAGAACAGAGAGGCTGAGAACCCTCGCAACAGTCACCATCATCACTACAGGACAAGTCCCAGGGACACTGGGTGCCTAACAGGAAGCCTCCTGTGTTTCCCCACCTCCACTTAGGGAAAATACAGATGTCAGTTGATGTAGACATGCTGAATCTCCACATGAGCTGAGTCAGAGCACACATCTCAGGCCTGAAGCCCAAGTGGGATCATCCTGACCCTTGGCCCTTAAACCACCATGCTGCAGTGGGCCTTTCGGGGGGCTGGTTCTGCTCCTGCAGGCATACCTCACACTAGGAGGGTGGACAGGCCCACCTCCCCAGCTGGACTTCCCCCATGGAAACAGGACACAGAGGGGAGCCCCGCTGGCTCCAGATAACAGCTCTGACCCACCAAGGGAGAACGGGAGAAGAGAGGGCAGAGGGCTCCTCCATGGGCTGACGTGGGAATGTGAGGGGAGAGGTGGCTCCCCGGTGACATCCCATTGGGGCCCCGCTGCAGGGCTCTGAGGAGTGGGTGACCTGGGGCTGGAGCAGGAGAAGGCATCCAGATAGCCACCCACACTCCCTCCCTCCCACAGTGCTCACGAAGGCCCACCTGGGGTTGCTTGGGGTTGGGAGGGACGGCCTCCAGCTGGGGAGACTCTCTGGATGTCTGCAAAGGGAGCAGAGAACTCATACAAATCATGATATTGAGGTGTCTGCACTCGCATGGGGTGAGGCTGGCAGGGAAGACTTTCTAGAAGATTCTAATTTAAAAAAAGTGTGTGTATATATAGTATATATAGGTATATGGTATATATATGCTGTATATGGTGTATATATGGTATATATATGAATATGGTATATGTATATATATGTATATGGTATATATATATACACACACCATATATACCATATATACGTATATATGGTGTGTGTATATATATACCATATATACATATATATATATACCATATACATATATATACACACACACATATATATATATGAAGAATAACAGCCATGGAGGGTAATGGGGCACTTGGGCTGAGAAGCAGACAGGTCTAAGAGAAGCATTGTGACCAGTAACACTCACCTGGTGCTTTCCACCATCCTTGCCACCTGTCATACCCCAGGGAAAGAGGACAGGATCCCAGGGAGGGGCACTCCCTGGCATTTCCTCAGGGCCCTGATTCCACACAGTTAAGGAAGGCAGGCTTTCTGCTTTAAGAATAAGTGCCAGGAGCAGGGAGCACCACATTACAGGACCTGCAGGGCCTCTCATGTGGTTCTGTCTGCAATGGAGGGAAGGTCAGGGCGATTCTCACCTGTTGTATGTCCTGTATCTCAGATGTGGATGAATGTGTGGGCCTGCAGCCGGTGTGCCCCCAGGGGACCACATGCATCAACACCGGTGGAAGCTTCCAGTGTGTCAGCCCTGAGTGCCCCGAGGGCAGCGGCAATGTGAGCTACGTGAAGACGTCTCCATTGTGAGTATCTCCAGGGGAGGCACACCCTCACCCAGGCCTCCAAGTGTGGCTGGGCTGGATGCTTCCTAGAGGTTCTTGGGAGAAGGTACAGTTATACCATAGAAAGATGAGAGGCAGGAGGCTGGGAGGCTGGTGTCTCTGAATTTCCATTTCCGCTTAGTGGTTGCATTTAATGCGTTGCTGCTCTGGAGAAATAAGAACCCCATTCCCCATGGGAGTAATATACTAAGTGCACCCCCACTACATAGAGGTTGATGGGGTTGCTGCCACCCCAGGATGGCAAAGCCAGGGCAGGCACTGAAGGGAAGAAGCTGTTGGTGACATTACCCTGATAAACCCATAGCAGCCCAGGAGACAGGTATAGATCACATGGATTTGGGAGGTGACAGCATTCACATAGCCAGGAACTATAGACTCCCTTGAGTTACACTGCATATCCCGTGCACCCTGCATTATATCACTCTGCTTTTCCAATAGTACTAGAAGGTTCTACATCTAGTAACTGCAACTCTTAAACAGCAAGTAGAGCTTTTTTTTTTTTTTTTAAAGTTGGGAGATGGGCCTTTAAGGGGAATGACTACAACTATCACAAAGCACATACATTTTCCTCTCAAAAAGAGATCACAAGAGCCCTAGCGTTGTCTTTAAAATGAAGTAACAGCCATGGAGGGTAACTTAATTATTTGAATTGCTGTTGAGTTAAAGCAGATTAGAAGCAGCAAGAAACTTAGTGGCACTGAAGCATGGCAGTTTTTAGAGAGAGTGAAGACATCAGAACCTTCCTCATGAAGTCACTCGGTGAAGGGATAGGGAACGGGTCTATGACGGCCTCTGGGGCATTCGACCAACAGCTGGATGTGACAGTTGACTGCATAATCATGATGCTACAGAATCGCCAAATATACTAGATTGCATTTGTCTTTTAACAACATAGAGAAATATCGAAAGCATTTCCACAAGACCCTCTTTCCAAATGATTAAGGAAAACAGGGCTTCCTGCGTTGAGAATACACGTGATGGCCAGGCACAGTGGCTTATGCTTATAATTCGAGCACTCTGGGAGGCCGAGGAGGGCGGATCCCTTGAGATCAGGAGTTCGAGACCAGCCTGGCCAGCATGGTGAAACCCCGTCTCTACTAAAAATACAAAAATTAGCTGGGCGTGGTGGTGGGCACCTGTAATCCCAGCTACCCAGGAGGCTGAGACAGGAGAATCACTTGAGCCTGGGAGGTGGAGGTTGCAGAGAGCCTAGATCATGCCATTGCACTCCAGCCTGGGCGACAGAGTGAGACTCTGTCTAAAAATAAATAAATAAAATACATGCTGCTGTGTTTAGGAAGTTCACCGTACACCGTGTGGGAAGCACTGCATTACAGGATGTTGCTGGCTAACTGCTGAGGTCCTGCCATTACTGGGCGAGGTCGCAGCACATGGAGAAAGGGCACCTGGTTTGAATATCAGCATTGCCATTGTTATTTAATATTCCCAGGCTATATTTTTCTGTAAAAATGATAGTAATAGCATAAATAAATGTATGTGCACACACATACACACGTACACAGGTGGGCAGGGAGCACCCTTGAGCAGGAACAGAAGCAGCAGCCCTTCCTTTGCCATGCCTGACACCAGCTACATTCACTCGTCCACAGCTCCATAGCTCCTGGGTGAAGGACCCGTGGCTGGGAAAGGTCATCTAGGTGGCCTCTGCAAGAGGGCAGGTGGGCAGCCGGGTCAGAGCAGCTCTTCATGAGACTCCCCAAGGCTGACTGCCTCCATTTTGCCTCTCCGCTCCAGCCAGTGTGAGCGGAACCCCTGCCCCATGGACAGCAGGCCCTGCCGCCATCTGCCCAAGACCATCTCCTTCCATTACCTCTCTCTGCCTTCCAACCTGAAGACGCCCATCACGCTCTTCCGCATGGCCACAGCCTCTGCCCCCGGCCGAGCTGGGCCCAACAGCCTGCGGTTTGGGATCGTGGGTGGGAACAGCCGCGGCCACTTTGTGATGCAGCGTTCAGACCGGCAGACTGGGGATCTGATCCTTGTGCAGAACCTGGAGGGGCCTCAGACGCTGGAGGTGGACGTCGACATGTCGGAATACCTGGACCGCTCCTTCCAGGCCAACCACGTGTCCAAGGTCACCATCTTTGTATCCCCCTATGACTTCTGAGGGTACACAGGGGCACTGGGGTGTGGAGAGCTGACCTCATTTCTCTTCCCCGAAGGCTCAGCTTCGGGCACCGACTGCGTGGAGCCTCCCGCCTGTTCCCGCCCTCTCACCAGTGCACCCAGGCTTCTAGGGCAGCGTTGCACGGCGCCCCATGGAATAGCACGGAAGAGCAGCCACAAAACTCAACTGCTGCCATCACTCTTTTTTTTTTTCTGCTTTGAGGCCCTTCCCTTAGATTATGCACTAACTTTCTTAAAACTTTTTCATCCAGGGGATGGGTGGCTTTCCAAAATGCTGTGCAAATGGCCTTGTGAGTTTGAACTAGCTGGGGAGAGAAAAGGTGGCAATGTGTGTCAGGTGACTATCAGCCCTTCTGCCTTTTTGTAGCCAGGCTTGCTATGAATGAAACGGTTCTAGTCGTGCGGGGGGCCCTAGTCATGCCTCTGCGCATGTGGCATAGGAAGTGGAGTCTCCTCCCATGACCCAGCACGTTGTTCTTATCTGCCTTTTCCTCTGTGACATGCCTGCCTGCCTGCCTTCTCATCAGAGAGTCACAGGAGGGCCTTAAACCCCACGCAGATCCTTCTAGACCAAGGACCCATTGTTAAAAGCATGGATTCTGCCTGAGTTACTTCCCTTTTGAGAAATCATATCTCAAATACATAACCTGGTAATATAACTGAAAAAATAAAAGTGATTGCTCCTTCCTGCCCGCCTGACTTCTACCTGAGCATGAGACAGCCCACTTCCTTCTAGGAGGGGGTGGCTGACTCTCTTCCTGTCTGGGTTGGATACACTGGAATAAATGAGTCAGAGAACACAGAGGTGATGTTTGGGACTGTTCCACATTATAAATTTGTTTTGACCACATGGGAGATTGGTAAGGACAATACCTGGCCGTGGAGAGTTTAGGAAAATGCTTGAGTTGTCATAGATTCCATGGCCTTTTGTTTCTGATGAATTCACTACAGGGTGACGCCCTCCAGGTGATCAAAGAGAGAAAACACTGGCCAGAGCTGAGTGGGGTGTGGTAGGATGGGGTATGGGGTAGGGTGGGGAAGATCATTCAAGCTAAAACTTAAGAGGTAGCGAAGCTGTAAGAAAGTTTCATTATCTAATTACATGTCAAGCTGCTGGTGAGATTTCCTCACACATATTTTATTTAAATCTTTGTATTTGCCCTGGTATGAGATGGAGCCAGAAGTGTGTCACTAGTTCAATGATCAAGCCCTACATCAAGATGGTTTCTAAGATGGTTTATTCTTGTACTGTTGTTTGGACAAAGGTTGAGACACAGTCAAGAGTTGCTTTTGAAATGTTTCTTCTCCCATGGGCTCAGCTGCGATCTCTAACAACAGAAAAAGGACATGCAAACTAAAGTTACAAGACTTCATTAAAACATTATCCACAGCCTTATGTTTCTAAATGTAGCTATGCTGGGCCAGAAGCCTGCACACCACCCAGTCCCATGTGCACAACACCAGGCGGAAGAGTCTAAGGGCCTGGCCAGGTTCCTGAATGGGAGATGTCACAGCTGTGGGCTAGGGACAGCCCACACATCACACACATCATATGTGAGATATGATGACATATGATGTGGGATATATGTGGGATATATTGAGATATGATGTGTTCAGGGGGACAAGCCTCTCACATGCCAGAAGGTGGGGAGTGTTTGGGGAGTCTCCAGAGCAGGTGCCCTCTAAACTGGTATATGATAGGGCTTTGATGCCAAACAGCCCAGTTTAAAGCAACAATTTCCATCACCAAGATCTGCCGTCATCAAACCTGCTTCCCACTGATGAAATCACGCACCCAGCCCCGGTGCCCACAGCACCAAAGTACAAATGGCTGACTGCTTAGGATGTGGATGATGGCTGTGGACAATGATGGCTGGGCACTTCTTGTGGATGATGTGGATGATGGGTCTTTTGTGGATAATGGCTGGGCACTTCTCCCTGTGGAGTGTCTTGTTCTCTATATGCTCTCTCCTCACTCTCCTCTATGGAATCAACTTTTCTTTTGTCCTTTCAGAGCTCCACTCTGTACTAAGAGTAACTACTGGTTAACCAGAATTCATTTGCACCCCTTTCCAGGTAATATAGTTTCATATTATTTGAGGGAGGGGCTTTAAGACTTTTTATCATGCAAAGTTGCAAACATATGCAAAAGTAGAAAGAATAGTATAATGAACCCCATGTCTGAATCAGTAGCTTCAACAATGAACACATGGCCAACTTGTTTCATCTGCTATCACCCCACCTCATGATGATTCCCAATCCTATCATTTCATCTATAAATATTTTAGAATGTATCTCTAAAAGACAACTTTTAAAAAAAGGATAACCAAAATGCCATTCACATCTAAAACATTAATTCCTTAATACCTTTAAATATTCAGCCATCGTTGACATTTCTCTGAGTGGCTTATATTTTTTTGTTTACTTGCAGTAGGTCTATGCACTGTGATTTATTGATATGCATTTTAAGCCTTTTTTTAATCTGTAGCAGTGGGTCTCACACTTCAGCATATATTGGAATAATCTGAAGGTTTGTTGGAAGACAAAATATAGGGTCATTTATATTGTAGAATTTTTCACAGTATGAGTTTTTCTGAGTGCATCTCTGTCTTCTCTATTTCTTATAAATCTAGAGAGTTAGTCAGATTCAAGTTAGATTTATTTAGGCAAGACTACTTTATTGGTGGTGACAGATGCTTCCAGTAGGAGGAGCAAAATATCTGGTTGCCTCTCTTTTCTGATGTTAGCCCCCGCAGATTGCACAGATCCATTACTTCTGTAGGGATTGCAATTAATATTCTAGTGCTATTGATTTTTTCTTTGTTTATTAGCTGACATACTTTATAAAGAGAAACACACTCTCATCAGTTATTTGGTTACCCTGAGATTTGGTTTGTATAAGAAAAGTAGGATTGATTCTTGGCTTTCCTCCCTTTATTTTTCAGTTTTCAAAATGAGATGGTTCACAGGCATCTTTCCAACATGCCCTGTGAGAGTTGTTTTCTTCTTTGAGTACATTATGAACTCATGGTTGAAACATATCTGATGTTATCATGTGTGTTATCATCTGTATTAATAGTAATTACAGCTACTGTCTTTGTTTTTGCTCAAATTGTTCTATCTTTGGTTCTTGGGAGCTGCTTCGAGGTGGCTGATTCCTTTTGACATGACCCTAGTAGTCTTTTTCATCCTGTATATTTTCTGCCCCTGCCCTGAAATCAGCTGTTTTCTCCCAGTAATCCCTGGTTCCTTCTAGTGGGGGATGGTAATTAGACATCAAGGTCTGAGTGCTCAGAGTGCTCATTGGTAGTGGTTACATCATAGTTTCTTGGCTTTAGTGGCTAGAGCTAGGAAATATGTATTATTAGTATTTTTTAAGATAAAACACTACATGAGTTCATGCTGATACTTCCAATTTAATTCAGGACTACTGTGGGTTTTTTGTTAGTTAGAGGGGAGAACTGGCATAGGGACAGGGTCTCTCTGTGTCACTCAGAGTAGACTGCAATGGTACAACCATAGCTCACTGCAACCTCAAATTCCTGGGCTCAAGCGATCCTTCCACCTCAGCCTCTGAGTAGCTGGGACTACAGGTCCATGCCATTATGCCCAGCAAATTTTTATTTTTTTGTAGTGTTTTCGTTTTATTTTATTTTATTTTATTTTTGAGACAGAGTCCAGCTCTGTTGCCCAGGCTGGAGTGCAGTGGTGCAATCTTGGCTCACTGCAACCTCCACCTCCTGGGTTCAAGTGATTCTCATGCCTCAGCCTCCTGAGTAGCTGGGATTACAGGCATGCACCACCACACCTAGCTAATTTTTGTATTTTCAGTAGAGACAGGGTTTTGCCACGTTGGCCAAGCTGGTCTCAAACTCCTGTCCTCAAGTGGTCTGCCCGCCTCGGCCTCCCAAAGTGCTGGGATTACAGGCATAGCCACCGCGCCTGGCCTTGTTTTCATTTTTAACATAGCTTCATTGATCCTCTATCTGCTCTCTTTCTCTCATTCTGAAAACCTCCTTCTAAACATCACCAAAATAACTACACATTAAAAAAAATTCTTATAAGAACAATGCCAACCTTAACACACAAATGTGATAACTAAAAACAGCTAAAATCATTTTTTTTCTTCAATTCTTTGTGTCCTCAGCATTTATGCGATTAGGGACAGACAGTCAACTTACTGTTGTAAAGTTACTTGGAATGGTTCCCCTCTCTGTGGCATGCTCCAAACTAGAATCAGGATTTACTGATTATACCTCCTTCATTTTCCTGAAATTTTTAGAGATTGCTTTTTAATTTTAACTTTGTTTTATAATTATGTAAACTATTTACATGGTTCCAAAGTCAAATCTACAGAACAAAATGTATTCAGAGTTTATCTTCTGACCGGTTCCCTCCACCCTATTTCCTGCTTCTCTTCTGCTGTAATCAAATTTCCCCTTTTATCCTTCCATTTAAGCAATATAAACAAATGATAAATGATAGCATGCTATTTCACACTTTCCTGGACCCTTCTATTTTGCTTAAAATATTGGCTGTCACTCCATAGAACCATATAGTATGTTTTCCATTGTAATGCTTCATTATGACAGCATACCATTGTTTATTCGACCAGTCACTCCTGATTGACATTTGGGTTGTTTCTAGCCCTTTGCTATTAAAAATATTGCAGCAATATGCATATGTCTTTTTGTATTTTTGCCTTTGTATCTTTAGGGCCAACTTTTCCTCTGTAAGAATTATGTTATTTTCCACCCCCAACAGCAATGTATGAACATTCTTGTTCCTGAATCAAAGAAGGCCCCAGTGACGCCTCCAGTTCTCACATCTGCCCCACCCACCAAACCCTCCTTTGGAAGGACAGAGAGGCCTGAGTGGAGGGGTATTCTACAGCTAGCCCACCTGCCTGACTTGGGTATCTGGGTATCAGTCAGCTGCCACCAGGAAGAGACAAGAGGCAAGCCAAATAGATCCTGGGCACTTGAGCAGTAGAAAGTTAGCTAGGATTCTGGATGGGTTTTAAAAATCACTTTTTAAGAATTATTATACCTACAACACTAGCAAACGAAAAGAAAAATAAGCCAACAATGAAATACCACTGCAGAGTCACAGTCAACTTGATGGGTTTGTTGGGAGTCTGAACATGTGCTCAAGGAGAGAGGAAGTCCCTCGAATGGGTTGCTCACTTTCCACCAACCACTGCCTCAGCTTTACCAAGCTCTCACTGCAGGGATGGAAAGATAAACTTTTATGACTCTTAGCTTGTACATATGAAAATCTCTAAGTGTTTATGAGCTGCGTGAATATTCCTGAATGTCTAGTGCGTTCCAGGCACTGTTCTACTTGCTGAAGTTACAGTGGATAAGATTGCTGAAGACACTGACTTCATGGAGCTTACATTTTGGCAAGGGGACAGAAAATAGATGTGTAAATGAAAAAACGTGTAATGTCAAAGAGGGATGAGAACTACAAAAACAAAAGCAGTGAAAGGTGTTTGTCAGTATATAGTAAATGTATGTGTAATATATGTAATTACAGTCATCCCTTGGTATCTGCAGAGGATGGGCTCCAGGACCCCCCATGGATACCAAAATCCATGGATGCTCAAGTCCCTGATAGAAAAATGGCATAGGGCTGGGTGCGGTGGGTCACACCTGTAATCCCAGCTCTTTGGGTGGCCAAGGCGAGTGGATCACCTGAGGTCAGGAGTTTGAGACCAGCCTGGCCAACATGGTGAAACTCCATCTCTACTAAAAATATAAAAATTAGCTGGGTGTGGTGGCACATGCCTGTAATCCCAAGTACTTGGAGGCTGAGGCAGGAGAATCACTTGAACTCAGGAGGTGGAGGTTGCAGTGAGCCGAGATAGCGCTGCTGCACTCCAGCCTAGGTGACAGAG
This sequence comes from Homo sapiens, assembly GCF_000001405.40. NCBI lineage: Eukaryota > Metazoa > Chordata > Mammalia > Primates > Hominidae > Homo > Homo sapiens. Next base: position 112,193,426 of record NC_000002.12, read on the forward strand.
CAAGACTCTGTCTCAAAAAAAACCAGAAATGGCATAGTATATGAAGAGAGCCTATGCACATTCTCTTGCATAATTTAAGTAATCTATAGATTATTTATAATATCTGATACAAAGTGAATGCTGTATAAATAGTTGCTCTACGTTTTAAAACGTATGTTATTTTTATTCCTTTTTTCTGAATATTTTTGATATGCAGTTGGTTGATTGTGCAGAACCTGTGGGTATGGAGGGCCAAATGTATATCATCCACGTCACTTGGGTGTTGCAAACACCGTAATCGTGTGCAATGACAGTTGGATCCCATATCCTAGGAGTTTGGCCTTAGGACTCAGAATCTCTCCTGAGTGTTTGAATGAGGTAGTGGTGTAAAGCTTTGGATGGCCATATTGGGCTCATGTGCACAAGGGAAAGACAACTTGTCTACAAACAGAACAATGATGCTGATGTGGGAAGAAAGGAAACAATAGAACATAGGGCTTGGAAGGATAGAATTTAATTTTGTGTTCTGCTTATTGCTGCATAAAATATCCCAACACTTAGTGGCTTAAAACAATTATTTTATTATGAATTATCATGGATTCGGTGGGCCAGTAGTTCAGAGAGAGCACAGGGGAATAGTTTCTATTTGCTCCACAATGTCTTTGCTTCCCTCAGCTGGGAAGACTCCATGCCTGGGGGCTAGGGTTACCTAAGGGTCACTCACATGTCTGCCTGGGCTGGGATGACCTAAAGACTAGGACCGATAACTGGAACATCTACCCTTGGGCTCTCCATGTGGCTTAGCACCTAGAACAGTGTGTGTAGGACACAGCAGACATTCAGGAATATTTATGCAGCTCGTAAACACTTAGAGATTTTCATATGTACAAGCTAAGAGTCACAAAAATTCATCTTTCCTTCCCTGCAGGGAGAGCTTGGTAAAGCTGAGGCAGTGGTTGGTGGAAAGTGACCCATTTGAGTCTGACTTCCTCATATCTCTCCTTGGGCACAAGTTCAGACTCCCAATAAAGCCACCTCTGAGCCAGGTGGCCTCAGAGTAGTTGGGCTTCTAACACAGTGGCTCGTGTTACTAGCATGAGTGTTCCAGGGAACAATGTGGAAGCTACGTGGCCTTTTAGGACCCAATCACATATTGTTACCTCCACCATACTCTGTTGGTCAAAGTAGTCACAAGAAGCCACTGAGTCCTGGGAGGTGGACATAGGCCAGTGAGTACTTACTAAATTGAATTGAGCTGAGAGGTTTCAAAGGATTTTAGGGCCAATTTTCAAAACGCCACTCCTGGTTTCCTGTTTGGGTTTCCAGTGCCTCATGCAACCTGGCTTCCCGTCAGTGGGTTTTATCAGATAGCCCTGTGTCCTTTCAGTCTTCCTTTGCATGCATTCTTTTGGGTGTTCTTTTCAAACAAATGATTTCTGCCTAAAATAAAACTTACCCTCTAGTTCAGAAGTAAGATCTCCACATCTGTCACAAGGGGATACTTTGAACAATGGTAGAAACAGAGTGAGAAATCCAATGTGGGTGGTGCTGCAGGTTCACCAAGGTCAGAAGTTGGGGGAAAGGGATCACTGGAAGAGTCAAGACCAATTCATGGAGAAGTTGGCACTTGATTCATGGAGAAGTTGGTTCTTATTAGAGGAAGTCTAATGAGAAACTTAGGCCACCCTTTGTCACAAAGAGGATTTCCAACAAAACACAGCATTGGCCAGACCACAGAAATATTAGCTGACTTGCAAACAAGAGACTATGATGATGAAAATTAGATTTGGGCTGATGGGATTTTCTGAATCTGACCACGTTTAATGAGAAATTAGATCGTAGCAATCTAGTTTCTTAGCTCAGGGAGCGCTTTAGATGCATTCTTTAGGGGGAAAGTGTGCTCTGTCATATACCTTGCTTACTTATGCCAGGATTCACCTCAGCCATGCGGTGGCACTTACGCAATAGCTTGCCTTCCTTTCTTATGGTTGGCTGAGTGGCCAGACATGTTTCTGCAAATAAAGATCTCTGCCTCTTTGACTCGTTTGTCCACCTGACCCAGGCAAACCTCCATCATAGGAAGAGTTCACTCCTCACCCCTTGCTGGGGCCCTGAGTGGCAAGGTAATTTACTGCTCCCATTCCTTCATTCCTGTCCAGCTCCCAGGGGGTGCCAGACCTGGGCTTGAAAGCTGTAGGAGGCAAGAACATTGCCCTCTAGGGAGTCTTTCTCATACTAATGCTGGACTTGCTGTTATGTGAGATAACGTGGTTATGATTTAAGTAGGTTTCAGATGGAGTTCTTGTTTGCAGCCGTTCTAAGCATCCCTACAGACCTGACCTGCTGGCATCCCAGCTCCACAAGAGCAGGCATCTTGTCTGCATGCTCACTGAGGCAGCTCCAGTGCCAGCCTGTCCTGTGGGCAAGGTGATGGACAAGGCACAAAACAGTTGGCATTTGTGGTAGACATTAGCAAATTTGGCCTAATACTTCCTCCTCTCCCACCTCTGGGCCCATGATAGGCTGGCACTCTGTGCCCTCGTGGGAGGGCATGTCACTGAGACCAGTGGTGGCTCAGAAATGGTGCCAGTCTCTTCCAGGCCAAGGAACTCACAGATGCTGGGACCCCCAGAGTTCTCTCTCCTCTCATATGGCCAATGGCCCCACTCAGTGTGGAGGTTGCCCTGTCAGCTCAGGTGTCTGAGTGATCACAGTGAACTGCTGATCTATGAGGCACAAAAGCATGAGCAAAAAATGGTTCTTTGTTGTTTTAAACCACAATGATTTTAAGGTTGTCTGTTGCTCCAGCATAACTATCCTGACTGACTCAGGGCAGAAAGGGAGAAAATAAAATGACAAGATCCCTCTATCATTGATGGGGAGATTATGCTGTGGACTGAGGAACAGAACACATTTGACTCTGTGCACCTGCCTTACCCTTCCCCCAAAATTAATTTCTTCTTCTTCTTCTTTTTTTTTTTTTTTTTTTTTTTTTGAGACAGGGTTTTGCTCTGTCACCCAGGCTGGAGTGCAGTGGTATATTCTCATGCCAGTGCAGTGGCATGTTCTCATGCCACTTCAGTCTCCACCTCTCAGGCTCGCACGATCCTCCCACCTCAGCCTCCCAAAGTGCTGGGATTACAGGAGTGAGCCACAGTGCCCAGCCTGATTACTTAAATTGCAAAACTCAGGCTAGAATGGCCTGTATCAAAGGTTAGAATATCCTTTCCAGCATCATGGAAGAGTCTGATCAGGGCCAGCCTTAGCTCTGTCCCAGCCTCTTGCCTGAGGAGCATAATAGGCTTTGTGTTGTAGGCTGAACTGTGTCTCTCAAAAAGATATGTTTATGTCTGTATTAGTCCGTTTTCATGCTGCTGATAAAGACATACCCAAGATTGGGTAATTTATAAAGAAAAAGAGGTCCAATGGACTCACAGTTCTGCCTGGCTGGGGAGGCCTCACAATCATAGCGGAAGGCAAAGGTGAAGCAAAGGCATGTCTTACATAGCAGCAGACAAGAGGGAACTTGTGCAGGGGAACTCCTCTTTATAAAACCATTGGATCTCCTAAGACTTATTCACTATCACAAGAACAGCATGGGGAAGACCTGCCCCCATGATTCAGTTATCTCCCACCAGGTCCCTCCCATGACACATGGGAATTGTGGGAGCTACAATTCAAGATGAGATTTGGATGGGGACACAGCCAAACCAAGTCAATGTCCTAACACCTGGTACCTATGAATGTGATGTTATTTAGTAATAATGTCTTTGCAGATGTAATTAGTTAAGATGGAATCATCATACAATGACTGGCATCCGTAAGAGAAAACACACACACACACACACACACACACACACACACACACACAGAGAGAGAGAGAGAGAGAGAGAGAGAGAGAGACAGAGAGAGAAACATGCAGAGAGAGAGAGAAAAGACAGAAGCAGAGATTGGTGTCATGCTTTCACAGCAAAGGGATGCTGAGATTGCTGGCAATCACCAAAAGCTAGGAAAAGATAAGGAAGGATCATTCCCTGCAGCCTTTGGAGGAAGTGTGGCCCTGTATATACCTTTATTTCAGACTTGTAGCCTCCAGAACTGTGAGAGAATGCCACCTGGTTTGTGGTATTTTGTTCCAGCAGCCCTAGGAAATGAACACACCTAGTATCCCAACCTCCCCTCCAAACACCAGCTGAGGGTAAATCACCTATTGCTGAAAGGGGTCATCCCCATCCTAGGGAACATAGACAGCCACCAACTGCCAACCAGTCACTTCACTTCAAGTCCACATCCTAGCTCAGCCATCCCTTTCTTTGCTAATGATCTTGGAGCAAGATGATGACTTTATTAGTGTAACTGCAGCTAAATTTAAAGCCAGAGAGGAAAGCCATTTTGCAATGAGGGCAGAGTCATACTGGGACATTCAGGGAGCTGATTTTCAAACATCGTGGACTTTTTTCTTTTTCTATTTCTGAAAAAGACATGGACTAATTTTATAACTAGTAATGACATGATTCTACTCACTTCAGCAGTAAAAAGATGAAACAAGGGGCTCAATCAGCATATTTCATAAAGAGATTCATTGACTCCAGGAACAGGAAGGGCTATGGACTCTTAATCCCCACCCTGGATTTGCCTGGAGAACAGCAAACAAAATCAAAGCCATTCTCTCCTCAGAATCTGCAGGATCAAAAACACTCCCTCCCTGAAACCTCCTCTTCCAGGCCTGCTGTCTCCCTCCTCTGTAACAATATTCCTGCAGCAGCTGATTCGGCTCTTACCCCTTTCTGTGGTCTGGATGTTTATGTCTCCCCCAACCACCTAAATTAATACATTGAAACCTCATCTCCAAGGTGATGGTGTTACCAAGTAGGGCTTTTGGGAGGTGATTAGTTTATAAAAGCGGAGCTCACATAAATGGGATTAGTGTCCTTATAAAAGAAACCCAGAGGCTGAGTGCGGTGGCTCATGCCTATAATCCCAGCACTTTGGGAGGCCAAGGTGGGCAGATTGCTTGAGGTCAGGAGTTCAAGACCAGCCCGGCCAACATGGTGAAACCCCCGTCTCTACTAAAAATACAAAAATTAGCCAGGTGTATTGGTAGACACCTGTAATCCCACTACTTGGGAGGCTGAGGGAGGAGAATCGCTTGAACCTGGGAGACAGAGGTTGCAGTGAGCCGAGATTGCAGCACTAACTCCAGCCTGGGTGACAGAGTGAGATTGTCTCAAAAAAAAAGAAAGAAAGAAAGAAAGAAAGAAAGAAACCCAGAGTGTGTCTGCTACCTTTCATCATGTGAGGACACAGTAAAAAGGCACCATTTATGGGTCATGAAACAGGTCCTCACCAGACACCAAACCTGCTGGAACCTTGATCCTGGACTTTCCAACCTCCAGAACTGTGAGAAATAAATTTTTGTTGTTTATTAGTCACCCAGCCTAAGGTAGTTTATTATAGCAACCTGAATGCACTAAGATACACCCTCAGTAAAGCCAGGGAAGCCTCCCTCCACTATAGTCTACCAGTGAGTCAGGCTAACTAATTGGAATCTCTGCTTTTATTAACTTCAGGTGACATTACAGAGCAAGTGAAGGACTATGTGGGTTCCATCTGCATGCTAATTAAAGCCAGGCTCTGCCCTAGGAACCAGGATGCATGACCCACATTTCCTTTTCCTCTTGGACAAACAGAAGGGAAAAAATTATAATCAAGATCAAAAGTGAGTCAAAAGACAAATGGACAGGAATTCCATAGAAATGCCTCCCAGGTCAAGGCGGTCCCCCTGAGAAATTGCCCAGGGTGTCTTTTCTCCTTTAGCATCCCTGCATGCAACTCTCCCTCTTTGCATGGTGACAGACAGTTGTACGGTGGGCAGAGTCATTTCCTGGTGTCCATTTCTCTCATTTCTCTCATCGTCACTTTTCCAGTGACGGAGTGAAAAATTGCTCTATTGGCAGCAAGGCTGTCAGGGAGAACTGAGAGTTGAAACAAGCCACAACTTTTCAACATTGCTGCTCTAGAGCTAACCCATAAATGGCACCCATTCAGAACATGAATGTCACAAATCATCTAAGCATAAACTCTCCTAACACCCACTCACTCACACAGCCAGACAAGAGTACTGACTCTTCCAGAAACTCTCTAGTTTACAAAATCTCACCCATCCCTTCCAGGATCATCCTATGACTTTCTCTGGTCTCAAATGCCCTGTCTGTCCCCAATTCCCTCCTGTTAAGATGTTCCTCAGTTCCTCTCTGCTATGGTTTGAATGTGCCCCCAAATGTTCATGTGTTGGAAAATTAATCCCTCTGCCCTCATGAATGAATTAGTGTTAGCTCTGCCCTCATGAATGGATTAATGGGTTAATGAGGCCTGTGTGGTCATAAATGGATTAATGTCACTATCACAGGAGTGGGTTCGTTATTGAGGGAAGGGCTTTATTATAGAAGCGAGCTCTCTCTGGCTCTCCTGCTGTTGCCCTCTCACCATGTAATGCCCTTCACCGTGGTATGATGCAGCAAGAAGGCCTCACAAGATGCCAGTTCCATGCTCTTGAACTTCCCAGCCTCCAGAACCATGAGCTAAACATTTTCTTTATAAGTTACCCAGTCTGTGGTATTCTGTTATAGCAACAGAAAACAGACAAAGACACCCCCCATATGCAACCTCTTTTGCTGCAGCAAATAGTAAACCTGACTTTGTTGACTATATGTGGGTTCCTGGTGGTCTTTGACTGAGAGACATCAACTCCCAACTCAAGCAACCAGTGCTCTCAACTGCAATCCCTGATCCACTGGAGTGTGGTGATCAGCTGTGAAGTGTGTATTAGGTAATTGGTGGCTAGTACTAATTAAGATTCTCAAGCTTGGAAATAACAAAGGAGTATGGCTTGCCCAGGAGGAACTGTGCAGAGCCATGGGGGACACCTCAGATGTTCGTGGGAATGTCACATAAGGGGTGGCATGTATGCAGCTGGCTTATGCATAGGGAATCACTAGCTACATACTTGGCCATTCTCCTTCATTTCTGCCTTTGTCTGGGGAATTCTCGAATTACCTGAGCAGAAGGACACATCACCTCCATCTATGTTGTTTCATGGATAAGGCGTAAATGGTTTTTTTTGTTTGTTTTTTGTTTTATTTTGTTTTTAGACATAGTCTCGCTCTGTCCCCCAGTCTGGAGTGCAGTCGCACAATCTCGGCTCACTGCCACCTCTGCCTCCCAGATTCAAGCTATTCTCCTGCCTCAGCCTCACAAGTGGCTGGGATTACAGGTGCACCACCACCCGGCTAATTTTTGCATTTTTAGTAGAGGTGGGGTTTCGTCATGTTGGCCAGGCTGGTCTCGAACTCCTGAGCTCAGGTGATCCACCTGCTTCAGCCTCCCAAAGTACTGGGATTACAGGCGTTACAGGTGTGAGCCACCACACCCAGCCTAAATGTTTTTTAAAATCCTATTTATTCTCTTTCACTTAAAGGTCACCATTTTTCATATTGTTGGATGGAAAAAAGCAGCACCCATTTAAATGTTTAAATGTCAATGATGAATATTGAGCAAGTGCCTTTTATGTGCTTGATCCTTGCAGAGAATACAGCTTTGGATGGGGCAGGTACACTAAATGCCCTTCCACAGCTTCCAGAATGTCAGGGAGGACAATTTGAGACAAGGAGTGTGAGGGTTGCTGAGATCAAAGGAGGGTGGAAAGCGAGATGTACCCTTGCCTGGTTCACTAAGGCTGCCTCTGACAACAGAGGAAATGTGAGTGAGGCCTCTGAGGCAGGAGGCAGGGCCCAGTGACTGCTGTCCTGAATCTCTTTACAAATCCTGTGATTTGACCTGGAGAGTTCTGAACAACAGACACTTGCTCATTCATGGGTGGGCCCGGAAGGCCTGTTTCACGGACCATCGTGCAGCTCCCACACCACAGCCTTGTCACAGGTCCTTGCCAAGATTTAACAGAACAAAGGCCGTGGGCCCCAGCAGTGTCTTCCCAGGTGAAGATCTCTCAGGTCTCGCATTTGTTCCAGGGTACCCTGTTCCCTGCCTTGCCGTTCCAGCTCCTTGGCAGAAGGCCTGCACATCTTATTTGAAAAGTCAAGGGCATTTTTCCCTTCTTTTTTTTTCCTCCCCTGGTTCAGATGTAGGTGTAGGACACATCCCAAAGAACACAGCCCTCCAGAACTGCAGGCAGTCCAGAGTGGCAGGAGCCAGGGGAGGTTGGGCAGGTTTCTGTTTCCTGAGGGGCCACTCACATCATCTCCCCAACTTAGGGAGAACATAGAATCCTTCACAGCTACACAAGGACAGGCATTCAGTCTCTGAGATAATAAGGAATTCACAGCAACCAGGCTTTCCTCCTTCATGGACTGAAATGACTGTTTTATGTGCATTTGGCTGAAATAAGGAGCATTTCTGTTGATTCCAGGTTTACCTAACTGAGTTCAGCTACATGAGGAAGTTTAAATTGGCTTACAGTCTGTGGGCATATGGAAGGCTGAAAAGAGCTGGTGTGTCAGCAGATATGAGGCTGAATCACAAATTCATTCAGGAAGTCCAAGATTAAAGTCTAGTTTATATTATTATGTAACAAATATACCTGCCAAGCAACACATCCAGGCAAATAAATTTGGAGTATTTTTATGTAGGATACAGCTGGGATACAAAGCTTGTATATATTTAAGACTTATGGGAATGGTAAATAAGACTACTTCTGTGGAATCTCTTAAAAAGGTAGTTTAAAAATTTGGAGCATGGAGTAAAGGTCCCAAATTCTTATGAACTAGGAGCTTCCTGCTAACAGTCATGTGCACTTTATCTGTTAATTGTTTACTGTCTCATTCCTCTGAGTGCAATTGCGTTCCCCAGGAAGATGAGTCTCTGGACATGCCAGGCAAGGAAAGGTGATTTTGAAATAAAAGTACTAGAAGACGACATGTTCAATTTTCATACCAGTCATAAATACGTATATAGTTCTATTTATATATACACTTCTATTTATATATTACATATATAGATATGAAATATATTTAGAAATATATATATTTTTAAGTGCAGGGTTTTTTTAAAAGGTATTGTGATGTCAAACCACACTTAAAAGTGAGTTAAGGTTTCTACCTCTGGAACAGCAGAGTAAAAATCTTCAAAAATCCACTCCTCTATGAAAGACATAAAAACACTGCCAAAACAGTCAAAAATCAACTTTTTCAGAATCTGGAAATTAACTGAAGGCTAGCAACAATTTGAAGAGAATTTATTCAAGCAAAACAGCTGAATCTTGGTGAAATGCCTGTGGCATTTTAACTTCTCTAATGTCATTCTCCTCTCCCCAGCTCCACAGTATGAGCCTTGAAGACTGAAAGCCCTGCAACCTTAACAGCTATGAAAACTAGTACCTACTAGTCACTGGAGTGAGTAGAACAAGTTGGGAGCTTCTCAAAAACTCCACCCCCCACTAAAATTCACTATTTGATCTCACAGCTTACTGAAAAGCTACCTTCTCAGGGCTTAGACTCAAGAGCTCACTCTGTGTGAACAGCCTTACCATTTGTCAAAAACAATCAGTAGCAATTGTTTAATATTGCAACTGGAGGTGTTGTTACCTCCAGAGCCAACAAGAGGCTGAGCAAAAAACAAAAACAAACAAACAAAAAAACAAAAAAACTGGGAAATGAAATATCTACAGGGGGCTTTGAAAAGCTCTGACACATCCCTGGGAATCTAGAAAACCATGCATGTGCAGGGATGAGAACATGCCCAAGAAAGACCTGAAAGGGTCCTAAGTTCTTATCTCAGGCCAGCTTGAGGTACTTCTCATGCAGGAAGTAAAGCCTAAGGCAGAGTTGTAAATTCTCAGCCAGAATATTGAAGGTATGTCCCAACTCACACACAGAGTTCCTCTATGAAGACTGGAAGACTCATATGTTCAAGGTATTTGAGAAAATCTCTGCCCAATCAAGGGCTGTCTATTAAGCTAACTAAGCGCTGACTTCAATAGCCATACAGAATAAAAAAATACAAACTTTACACACTTAGTCCAGGAAAAACACTAAACAAACAGCAATGACAATAAGCAGAAACAAGCAAACCCTGGATGGAGTAGTATGATTTACAAAGTTGACAAATTATATTGTTTAAAATGTCCAATTTTCAATAAAATATTATGAACTTACCAAAAAAAGGGGGCCCAAAGAAGTATGCTCCCATGCATAAACAGTCAATACACACTATCCCTAAGGAAGCTCAGAACTTATGTATTAGTCCGTTTTCATGCTGCTGATAAGGACATACCTGAGACTGGGAAGAAAAAGATGTTTAATTGGACTTACAGTTCCACATGGCTGGGGAGGCCTCAGAATCATGGCAGGAGGCAAAAGGCACTTCTTACATGGCAGTGGCAAGAGAAAATGAGGAAGATGCAAAAGCAAAAACCCCTGATAAAACCATCAGATCTCATGAGACTTATTCACTACCACGAGAACAGTATGGGGGAAACTGCCCCCATGATTCAAATTATCTCCCACCAGCTCCCTCCCACAAAATGTGGGAATTGTGGGAGTACAATTTAAGATGAGATTTGGGTGAGGACACAGCCAAACCATATCAGCTTACTAGAGAAAGACTTTAAATCAGCTATTATAAATATTTTCAAAAAAAGTAAAGAAAACCATGTCTAAAGGAGGTTGTCTCATCAAATAGAGAATATCAATAAAGAGATAGAAACTTTTTAAAAAAACAAATAGAAATATTAAGTTGAAAAGTATAAGGCTGAAATAACAAATTCACAAGAAGGCCAAGAGACAATTTGAGCAGGCAGAAGAAAGAATCGGTGAATTTAAACATAGGTCATTGATATTATCCAGCTTGAGGAACAAAAAAAAAAAAAGAAAAACTATCTGAGCCTTAGATATTTGTGAGGTCACCATCAAGCATATCAATATATGTATAATAAGCATCTCAGAAGGAGAAGATAGTAAGAAAAGAAAGAAAGGGTATTTGAATAAATAAGGCAGGAAACTCCCCAAATCTGATGAAAAACACTAATATGCACATCCGAGAAGCTAAAAGAATTCCAAGCAGGATAAAGACAAAAAGATCCACACTTAGACCCATCATGGTCAAACTGTTGAAAGTCAAAAAGAATTTTTAAACTAGTAAGAGAAAAGACTTCAAGTATAAGGGAGCTTCAATAAGAGTAACAGGTCACTTCTCATCAGAAACTATGGAAGCCAGAAGACAGTGGGAGGACATATTCAAAGAGATCAAAGAAAAAAAGCTGTTGACCAAGAATTCGATATCAGCCAAACTCTTCTTCAAGAAAACAGAAACTTAGGCATTCTCAAATACAGAAAAATGGAGAAAATGTATTGTTAGCACACATACCACATAAGAAATATTAAAGGGAGTCCTTTAGGCTGATACAAAAGAACACTCGAGAGTAACTTGTATTCACACAAAGAAATAACACCAATAAAGGAAATTATGTAAGTAAATATAAAAGACAATATAAATATATTTTTTGTTTATGACACTGTTAAATTTTACCTTATTTAAATGACAACTGCATAAAGCAACAATTATACAACTGTGTTGATGAGTTTATAATGTATACAAATTTAATTGGTATAAATAAAATAGTACAAAAGAGGGAAAAGGGAAAAAAGCCATATTGGAACAGGTTTTCACTGTCTACTATAGAAATTAAATTGGTGTCAATCTGAACTAGATTGTTTTACATTGTTAATTATAATCCCTGGGGCAATCATTAACAAAATAACTCAAATGGCTATAGTAAAATAAATATCAAAGGAATTAAAATAATAGACTAGAAAATATGTATTTAACACAAAAGAAGCCATTCATAGAGGAATAGAGAAACAAAAAGGACATGACACTCAGAAAGCCAATAACAAAATGTCAAACATAAAATTCTAGCTTACCAGCAATTATATTAAGTGTATTTGGACTGTTATATATGCATACATTTTATATATGTATGGAGTAACTACTAAAAAAACTATACAAAGAGATACACTCCAAAATACTATAGAGAAATAAAAATGGAATTCTAAAAAATGTTCAAGTAACCCACAGGAAAGCAGGAAAAGAAAAAAAGAACAACAAAGATAACAAAACAAATAATAAAATGGCAAATTTAAGTCTTGACATATCAATAATTACATTAAATGTAAATAACAGTCTAAATACACCAATTAAATCAGTTGCTCATATTTGTGTGGACCTAGTTCTGGAATCTCTAATCCATTAAGTTGATATGTTTGTCTGTCACTTCACCAGTATCACACTATCTTCATTACTGTAGCTTATAGTAATTTTTAAAATCCAGCTAGCATGAGTCTTCAAATTTTATTCTTTTAAAAAAAATGTTTGGACTATTCTAGTTCCTTTGCCTTTCCATATAAATTTTAGAATGAGCTTGTCTATACGTACAAAAAATTATTTGGGGATTTTTATGGGAGTTATATTAAATCTAAATTAATTTGGAGAGAATTGACATCTTCCTAATGTTGAGACAGTGTAGAATTGGTGGTGTTTCTTTTATAAATTTTGGTAGAATTTGCCAGTGAAAATATCTGAACCTGGAGATTTCTTATGTATGAAATTTAAACTATGACTTCAACGTCTTCAATAGTTACAAGGACTAATTCAGGTTATCTACTTCCTCTTATATGGGTTTAGTCATTTGTGATTTTAGAGGAGTTGGTGTATTTCATCTATAATCTCAAATTTGTGTGCATGTAGCTGTTTGTAGTATTCTCTTATACCTTTCATTTCTTGCAGGATTTCTGGTACTGTTCCCATTTTCATTCCTGACACTGGTATTTTTTGTCATCTCTCTTTTGCTCCTTATCAGTTTGCCTAAAAGTTTATCAGTTTTACTGACCTTTACAAAGAACTTGGTTTAACTGACTTTTTTTCATTGATTTTGACCTACAAAGCTTTGGTTTCACTGATGTTCCCTATTATTTTTCTGTTTACAGTTTCATTGATCTCTACAGTTGTCTTCATTTCCTTCATTCATTTTGCTTTGGATTTATTTGGCTATACTTTTTCTAGCTCTACTCCATTTTAGATTATTGACTTGAGATTCCTGGGTTCAAGCAATTCTTGTGCCTCAGCCTCCCAAGTAGCTGGAACTACAGATGTACACCACCACAGCTAATTTTTATAGAGACCGGGTTTTGCCATGTTGGCCAGGCTGGTCTCAAACTCCTGGGCTCAAGCAATCCACCTGCCCTTGGCCTCCCAAAGTGCTGAGATTACAGGTGTGAGCCACTGTGCCTGGGCTTCTATTATCTTTCTTATTGACTGTTTTTTTTTTTTTTTTTGAGACAAGATCTCACCCTGTTTCCTAGACTGGAGTGCAGTGGCACAATCACGACTCACTTCAGCCTCAACCTCTCAGGCTCAAGTGATCCTCCCACTCCAGCCTCCCAAGTAGCTGGAACCACAGGTGCACAGAACCATGCCTGGCAGATTAAAAAAAGAATTGTAAAGATGGGGTCTCACTCTGTTTTCCAGGCTGGTCTCAAACTCCTGGGCTTAAGTGATCCTTTTGCCTTGGCCTCCCAAGGTCCTGGGATTACAGGTGTGAGCCACTGTGTTCAGCTTTCTTACTGATTTTTAATCTACTTCCATTATGTACAGAGAATAGACTTTGAATTATTTCAATACTTTTAAATTTGTTAAGTTTTATTTTATGACCCAAGATATGGTTTATCTTAGTCAATGCTCCATGAGCACTTGAAAAGAACGTGTATTTGGCCAGGCAAGGTGGCTCATGCCTGTAATCCCAGTACTTTGGGAGGCAGAGGCAGGCGGATCACCTGAGGTCAGGAGTTCAAGACCAGCCTGGCCAACATGGCAAAACCCTGTCTCTACTAAAAATACAAAAATTAGCCGGGTGTGGTGGCAGGCACCTGTAATGCCAGCTAGTTGGGAGGCTGAAGCGGGAGAATTGCTTGAACCCAGGAGGCAGAGGTTGTATTGAGCAGAGATTGCACCACTGCACTCTAGCTGGGGCGACAGAGAGACTCCATCTCAAAAAAAAAAAAAAAAAAGAATGTGTATTCTACTCTTGTTTGAGGTATATTCAATAAATTTCAATTAGACCAAGTTAACTGATAGTGTTGCTCAGTTCTTCTATATATTTGTTCCGTCTATTAGTTGTATGGATTACTAAGAAAGGAGTGTTGAAGTTACCAAATATAATTGTAAATTTGTCTATTTCTTGTCTCAGTTCTGCCAGTGTTTGCTTCATATTCTGATTCACTGTTTTTAGAATGTATACACGTTTTGGATTGTAATGTCATAACAAGTCACCCCTTTTGTTATTATGCAGTGACTCTATCTTTTGAAGTTATCTTTGCTCTGAAGTCTATTTTATTATTAATATAGCCTCTCCATCTTTCTTTTGTTTAATGTTTGCATGTTGCATTTTTTCCCATCCTTTTACTTTTCACCAAAGTGACTTTATTGTAGACAGCATATAGTTGGGTCATTTTTAAAAAATCCGTTCTGACAATCTTTTTCTGTAAAGGCAGAAAGTAAATATTTTGGGCTTTGCAAGCCATACATCCTGTGTAGCAATTACTAAAGTCTGTTGTATTGGGAAAGCAGCCATAGACAACATGTAAACAAATGGGCATAGTTGTGTTCCAATAAAACTTTATTTACAAAAACACATAGTGGACTGGGCTGGAGGTGGTGGCTCACACCAGTAATCCCAGCACTTTGGGAGGCTGAGGCAGGAGGATCCCCTAAGGTCAGGAGTTCAAGACCAGCCTGGCCGACATGGTGAAACCCCTGTCTCTACTAAAAATACAAAAATTAACTGGGCATGGTGGCAGGTGCCTGTAATCCCAGCTACTCGGGAGGCAAAGGCAGGAGAATCGCTTGAATCCTGGAGGCGGAGGTTGCAGTGTGTCGAGATCACACCATTGTACTCCAGCCTGGGTGACAGAGTGAGACTCCATCTCAAAACACAAAACAAAACAAAACAAAAAAACAAACAAACCACACATAGTGGACTGGGGACTGGATTTGGCTTTTGAAGTTTAGACATTTACATGTAATTGAGTTATTATGTCTGGATTTAGGTCTATGTTTTATTGTTGGTATTCTGTTTGATCCATCCACTTCTTCCTTCTTGTTTTACTGGCCATTTCTGTTTGGTATTCTTTGCTGAGTCTTCCTTATTTCCTCAGACTCTTAATTATGGAGTACCCTATGGTT
Source organism: Homo sapiens (assembly GCF_000001405.40). Taxonomy (NCBI): domain Eukaryota; kingdom Metazoa; phylum Chordata; class Mammalia; order Primates; family Hominidae; genus Homo; species Homo sapiens. The sequence goes on from NC_000002.12 coordinate 112,208,657, forward strand.
CAGTACTGGATTACTACTCTCTCTCTTTTTATCTCCACTAACTTTCCAGATAATCTTATACAGTCTGATAGTTTTTAATATTATCTACATGCTGATAACTCCAAAATTTATATTTCCAGGCAAAACTTCTTGAAACAAATCATAACTTAAAAGTGACAACTTCAAGTTCCTCTGACATTTGGGGATCAGTTCATTTGTAATAACATAAATATATTTCTAGTCCAAATGACCCAAATTAACCCTCTGGACCTATCTTGAATGAATGGCTGATTTCAGAAAAAGGTGATGATGATGTGGCATTTGATTTGGACAATCCACCCCCTCCCCAAGATCCCTTTTGGTTCCCTTAAAAATGCATATTAGACAACTTCCATTGTATTGTCCCTTAAATTTTTCAGTGTATTTACATCCATTACCTCATTGGAATCTCAAATCAAAATCATAATGTAGGCATGACAGATTTTATTTTTGGCTCCATTTTCCGGATAAAGAAACTAAGTTTCAGAAAGATTAACTGCCAAATGTCACACAGCTTAAAAATGAAGAAAATGGGATGCAAACACAAGACAATAATGAAAACATGGTGCTTTTTCTGCTGAAACAGGCTACCTTTCCCCCTTTATCTGCACCTCCGGCTGCTTCTCTGGAGGTGTTTTAGTACGAAGAGTGCTTCAGAACTTCTGAGTTTGACAGACTTGGGTTCAAATTCCAGCTCAATCATTTGCTGAATTACCCTGGGAAAAACTCAACCATTTTAGCTTTCTGGTGTGAAATGGCAATGACATCATCTACCTCATAGGCTTACTTTGACAATTAGAAGTAATAAAGAAATATACCATAAACTTAGGGAGTGAAGAAATAATTTAATGGGCCCACAAAGCATGGCATCTCCAGAGTGAGAAAGGGGAGACAGAGACACAGTGTGTCAGAACATGACTACATTGAGAATGTCAACATGAGAGGGTAACCAAGCATGGGCTATCACCAGAGCCTGAGCAGGGTGAGGAAAATGGAGTCAGACAAAAATTGAAGTCACAAAAGGAAGATGGAAATCTGACCCAGGATGTAGGAACCCTATATAGGGAAGATGCATGTCTTCACAGGATGGCCACCTGACATAGTGTGAGAGCCCAAGCAGAGTGAGGAGGCCATCTGCTTAGAAGAGTGGCCCAAAAAAGGGTGTCAGAGCCAAAAGAGGGTGAAATTGACATCTGCACAGGTCAGCCTGGCCTGGGGTGTTGGAGGATGAGGGTGAAGTAGGATTAAAGGTGGAATCTATACCAAGTGGAGCCGGAGCACCAAGTGGAATGAGAGATGTTTGTGTGGGGAGTGGTGATGCTGGCAGCCCAGCACGGGGTGTCTGAGCCTGGGGAGGGTGAGGAGGGAATTTGTGCAAGATACAGGGCACTGAATTCTGAAAGGGATGGGGAGGAATCCAGATTGGTGATGGCAATCTGACATGAGGTGTTGGAGCCCAAGCAGAGTGAGGGCAGTGTCTTTACATGAGGTGGAGAATGTGGTGGCAGGGGCATGGCTCGGTATACCTGAAGCCCAGAAGAGTATCAGAGTCTTATCCTTCACTCAGAGATGGGGTAGCAGTAGGTAGCTGCAGTGGCGATGGAGATCGTAATCAATTAAATTAATATGTATATTAAAGATATTGGGATCCAGAATTCTCGCTGTTGAAGAAGGTTGTTAAAAATAAGGAAAGGTAATAGGCCGGGCACGGTGCCTCACGCCTGTAACCCCAGCACTTTGGGAGGCCAAGACAGATGGATCACCTGAGCTCAGGAGTTCGAGACCAGCTTGGCCAAGATGGTGAAACCCTGTCTCTACTAAAAATACAAAAATTAGCCAGGCATAGTGGCACATGCCTATAATCCCAGCTACTCAGGAGACTGAGGCAGGAGAACTGCTTGAACCCAGGAGGAAGAGGTTGCAGTGAGCTGAGATTGTGCCACTGCACTCCAGCCTGCGTGACAGAGTGAGACTCTGTCTCAAAAAAAAAAAAAAAAAAAAAAAAGGAAAGGTAGAAAATTGGACTGGAATTCAAGATGCTGGTGTGAAATCATGGTTTCCAATACATGTTGAAATATAGATGTAAATGTGTGTACATTTATACATACACACAAGACACATATTCCCTAGTTGTGTCTTAAGAAGGCACTAGATGCAGTGACATTCAGTAGTAATGAACACATCTAGCAACCAGTATTGGTTTGTAAATGCTATTCTTAACTAAAAGGAATCTGGGCTGCTTGGAGAAATGGCTGATCTGAGGGCTACGGTGGGAAGATACAAAATAAGCCTGGAGCACCTCTTCCAAACTCATTCAGGTTGCTGATAAAGTGGCTGTGGTTATAAGACTGAAATCTCCACTTCTTGTCATCTGGGGGTTGCCCTCAGCTACTAGTGGCTGTCCACAAGTCCTAGATGCATGGCAGTTTACTTCTTCAAGGCTAATAGCAGAATCTCTCTGATGCTTCCTATCTTTGACTTCAGAAAGGGCCCAGTCTCTTTAAAGGGCTCACCTGATTCATTGAGGTCTACCCATGATAATCTGCCCCACATTTTTTTAGAGTCAAAATCAACTGATTTGAGACCTTAATTGCATCAAATGTCAAATCTTCATATTTGCCATATAATAAAAATTAATCATGGGAGTGAAATCCATGATATTCATAATAATGCCCACATCCAAGAGGAGGAATTATGTAGGTCGTATACACTAGGGAAGAGGAATCTTGGGAGCCATCTTAGAACTCTGCCTACAGAAAGGAGAGGGGGCAAAGAACCACTCTTTTTCATTGAAAAAATCTTCATTATGCTTTTATAATTCACTCATCCATAATAAACTCCATAACAAACTTTATTTCATAGTAAACTTTTATTTAACTATGTACAACTTCAGTTAAAAATTATATTTAATAGAATCTAAATGCCACTGAATCAATAAGATTCACCATTTCTTATGTACTGCTAAGAAAACAATAACCTGCTAATTAAAATGAGTCTATCAATTGTAAAATATATTCCAGTTTCAGAGATGTTAAATAATGTGTAGCTCAGAGTAACATACAATAACTAAAAACATGTCTTTTTTTTTCTTTCATGCCTCCAAGACAAGTTCGAATTTAGTTTATTTTTAAATAATGTAAATGAGTGTTACAAATTTCACAGGAATCAACAGCACTTTTAAGATGAGTTGGGCATCTTGTCCCTCCCTATCCAAACATATACATTCTCCCCTCTCCTCTTAACCCTTCTAAATATATCTACTCTTCCTAGTTTTCTGCTCCTTATTATGAAAATAGCCCTCCCCATCTTAATTTCTCTTCATTTCTTAGTCCATTTGGGCTATTATAACAAAAATACCACAGACTAGGTGGCTTAAACAACACTTACTCCTCACAGTTCTGGAGATGGGGGGAGGTCAAGGTCAAGGTGCTGGTATATTAGTGTGTGGTGAGGGCCTGCTTCCTGCTTTGTAGACAGCCATTTTCTTGCCGTGTCCTCACATGGTGGAAAAGGGAGACAGCTCCCCAGGGCCTCTTTTATAAGGGCACTAATCCCATTCATGAGGGGCTCCACCCTCAAAACCCAATCATCTCCCAAAGGCCCTACCTCCTAACAGTTAGTCCTAGGAGTCAGGATTTCAACACATGAATTTTGGGGGTCGAATACATTCAGTGTCTAACACTTCCTTAAACCTGTTTCTTAATGTGTGCTCTTTGCAGGAGCTGAATACAATGAATGTAGTTTTTGGTGAAGAGGATGGCGAGGGGGAGAAACATGGACTTTGGGAAGAAGAATGTAGGTTTGCTTCTTAGTTCACATTTATTAGTTTCCCTTTGGCTGCAGGTAGCATAGTAGACAACCCAAATCAAAATGGCTTCAACAATAATGAAAATATATTATTTCAGGTGGTATGACATGAAATCTGAAGGTGAGGTATCGCTCATCTAAGACTGGTTAAGTCCATGGCTCAGCTGTTATCAAGGATCCAGCTTCTTCCCAACTTTCCTCTCTGTTTTCTTCAGCTAGCACCCCTTGAAATCTTAAGACAGCTGTCTCTGTTCTGGTGTCATAATCCCTATTATAAGACTGTAATAAAGATTAAAAATAGATTTAAAATGCATAGACACAATCCTAGCATTCAGCAGGTGCTCAACCTGAGATATTCTGATCTTGCCAAACTCCAAATGTGATGTCTTTGCTTATAATTGGCAGGAGGAGCCCCATGCTCTTTAGGCGCATTACCAAATCACCTAGTATTTTGAGTTCAGCAAGCACAACTCAGAAGAAATGCTTTTTTTTTTTTTTTTTTTTTTTATAAGAGACAAGGCTCTGTTGCCCAGGCTGGAGTGCAGTGGCACAATCAGGACTCACTGCAACCTCGAATTCATGGGCTCCAGTGATCCTCTTGCCTCAGACTCTCAAGTAGCTGGGACTCCAGGTATGCACCTCCATGCCTGGCTAATTTAAAAATTTTTTGTAAAGATGAGATCTTGCTATGTTGCCAAGGCTGGTCTCAAACTCCTGAACTCAAGTGATCCTCCTGCCTTGGCCTCCCAAAGTGCCGAGATTCAAGGTGTGAGCCACTGCACCCGGCCTGAAGAAATCCTTGCACGTAACCCCCCAGTGGTTATGCTTATAAGAAACTAGTCAGTGAACTAAGACAATTATGCTGAAACTCAGGAAACCTATTAAAACAGGGGACAGTCATTTAACATCTCGGGGTCTGAATTCCTAAAGTTCTACAATTGGATCAAGTTAAAACACCAAAAGGCTATATACTTGACCTATATTATCTCACCAACAGATAAAAATTGAGTTCTGGCCGGGTGCGGTGGCCCACACCTGTAATCCCAGCACTTTGGGAGGCCGAGGTGGGTGGATCACGAGGTCAGGAGATCGAGACCATCTTGGCTAATACAGTGAAACCCAGTCTCTACTAAAAATACAAAAAATTAGCAGGGTGTGGTGGCATGCACCTGTAGTCCCAGCTACTTGGGAGGCTGAGGCAGGAGAATCACTTGAACCCGGGAGGCAGAGCTTGCAGTGAGCCAAGATCGCACCACTGCACTCCAGCCTGGGCGACAGAGCGAGACTCCGTCTCAAAAAAAAAAAAAAAAAAAAAAAAAAAAAAAAAAAATTTAGTTCTACTATTATGTGGCTTTTAGTAACTGACCATAAAAAGACCCATATGAAACCTGTCACACAGAATTTTAGAAATGAGAATTCTGTCCATTCTATTCTGTGATTTCCATAATGAAGACCCACTTAAGAATTTTTTTTTTTTTTTTTTTGAGACGGAGTCTCACTGTCGCCCAGGCTGGAGTGCAGTGGTGCGATCTCAGCTCACTGCAGGCTCCGCCCCCTGGGGTTCACACCATTCTCTTGCCTCAGCCTCCCGAGTAGCTGGGACTACAGGTGCCCGCCACCTCGCCCAGCTAATTTTTTGTAATTTTAGTAGAGATGGGGTTTCACCATGTTAGCCAGGATGGTCTCGATCTCCTGACCTCATGATCCGCCCACCTCGGCCTCCCAAAGTGCTGGGATTACAGGTGTGAGCCACCGCGCCCAGCTAAGAATTGTTTTTATGAAATTATTGAGAGATTTTGCCTCCTGCTTCCTTTCTGGTATTGAGAGGTAAGTAGTTGATCACTTTATCCCGTTTGCTTTGGCTTTAAAGACGGTCAAGGATAAATTCAATAGAGCCATGATAACCATGCTGGCCAAATAAATCTGTGCAGATTTTTCCCATACAACTTTCTGGCTTTATTTCTCCTGGTTTGAATTTTTTAGACTATGGTTTTATTATATATATATTATATATGCTTGGAGCTGCATCAAGGGTCAGTGAGATTTACTTCACAGGAGGAAACCAAGGGGAGCAGAGGGAAGTAGGAAGCCCGGCTTGGTATGGCTACAATGGCTAGGTGATAGAGTACTTTGGACGAATGGCTCTTGAGACGAATGGCTCTTGGTTCAGGGAACGGCACAGTGGGGGCGTGGCTGAAGCAGTATACTCGGAAATCTGCTCTGAGGAACCAGAGCAAACTGTACAGAGGAAAGGGGAGAATGGAGGCCAGTGATTGGCTGTGAGGTGCTGCCATAACCCAGGTAGGAGAGACCCACAGGCTAGCAGCTGCTTTGAGAACACAGGACACATTCATGAGAATCTCTGTCTCCTAACTTGATTCAACACAAATTAAGATATTTCACTTACACAGGTATGCTTGTTTCTTAAAACAATTAATTTGAAAAATAAGAGGTTTTTAACCTACTCTATTTGACTTCTGAGTCCCTCAAATCTCTGCGGTGTCTTTTAAGTTTACAAGTGAGATGGGTACTGCCTCAGAAATATAACAATTATTTTTTTCCTTATATATAAACTTTATATATAAAATCTATACTTTATAAGTATCAAACTATTATACATGAGGTAATATTAGGAAGTAAACTGCTAGACTGTAGTATAAGATTAACTACAAGTATTGACAAGGCTCATGAAAATTAAAAAATTAAGCATTCCTATTTATTCCCTTTCTATGCAATGAATTGCATTATCCACTGTATAAGGTTGTTATGAGACTTAAATAAGAAGTGCCTTGCCCACCTCCCGAGCCACAGCTGAGAAGCGAACCAATCAACCTGGGCAGACAGCAAAAGGGCACTGAGAGATGACTTGCTCTCCATTCCTCAGTTTCCTGCTTCTAAGGGCCTAGGATTTACCCTTGTTTCCTGCTTTCTTTCGTCTTGTCTGATAAACCTTTGCTTGGAGTATATGCAATTCCCTTTCTTGCTTTAGCAGGATTAGATAACAATGAAAATAACTTTGATTCCTATTTTCAAATAGGACTTTGCTAAGAAGTATCACTAGCTTTGGTGTACTCTGTATGTCCAGCAAGTTGGTAATACTATTACTTTTCCCAACAATAAAACAATATAATGACGAGTTTCCATTTCATGGTATTTGTCTAATAATAACCAATAATCAATATTACTATATAAAACTGCATATTTAGAATCTCATTATTATTTGTACTTGGAACATTAGTATTTGAATCTTGTGTTAATGATACCATCACACTCCTAAAGTTTGTAACTCACACAAGTGTATAATCTGACTACAGTTTATAAACCAATGAGAAAGATAAATATTCTTATATTTTAACAACAGAAAAGTTACGAACTCTAAATTTAGAAATGGTATAGTAAGAGATATTGTTTCACTTTATTTATAATAGTAAGAAACTGGAAACAAATGTCTAACAATAGGAAACTGGTTTAAAAAAATCATAGAACCATAATTTATTTTAAGCCCTAAAATGAAATTGTGAACCATTAAAAATATGTTGTAAAACTATTTAATGTCATAAAGAGAACTAACTCTGTTTTTATGGTCCATCTACCAATGTCTTCCGAGCAGTTCTCTCTCCTCAAACCTCCTCTACCTCTTTACTCACCCTCACTCAGCCTAACCTTGCTTCCGATTTTATTAAGGAAATCCAATCAATCAGAAGAGGTTTCTACAATTTACTATCACATTTACCCACCAGCCATCACCTCTGCCATATATGCTCCTCTCCTATTCCAATGGCTGGAATGTCTCAGGGAAGACCAAGCCCTTCACTTGTACATTAGATCCCAGCTCTCTGTCCCATCCATTATGGAAGCTGCACATCACCCCAGTCACACAAGAGGGCACTCTGAATGAGGAATCTTGTAAACTACTCCAAATCACCAGTCTTGAACAGTCTTGAACACGCATGGGCGTTAAAGTACTCTTTATCTGTACATTGCTACCTACAGAAGAAAACAGAGAACAAAAACACATCAGCTCATGAAAATTACCAGCAGAGCCGCCCTTACTCCCAGTTCTCATCTCCCAAAACAACAACAACAAAAAACATATAGCTGAAGAAAACAAGCAAAAATCCAAACAGAATTAAACACCCCTCTTTGGGAAAATTAAAGAACATTCTGAATTGAAATTCAAAAACTAAGATTAGAACTGAAGCAAAAAAAAAAAAAATACAAATAATGAGACAAGAGTTGACTAACCTCAGACATGGCAAACAAGAAAAAAATTATATTACAAATGAAGACTATATTACAAGAAAGAATAAATTTGAATGGAAACATGATAAACATTATCGGACAAAAGCAGAAAGAGAACAAAAAATGAGATGAAGAAAGAAAAATTTAATAGAAAACAAAGAAAACACATTATAGAGAAAGAAACACAGTAACAATAAAATGACAGAAACTAAACCAAACATTTGGTAATTTCAACAAATGTGAATGGTCTTAATCCACTTATCAAAAGAAAAAGATTTTTGGTTGAGCCCGCAGAGCAAAACCCAACTACATATGTTCCATACAAGAAACAAACCTAAAAATTATTCAGAAAAGCTAAAAACAGACCAGGCGCGGTGGCTCACACCTGTAATCCCAGCACTTTGGGAGACCAAGGCGGGTGGATCACTTGAGCTCAGGAGTTCGAGACCAGCCTGGCCAACATGGTGAAACCCCACTTCTACCAAAAATAGAAAAAAATTAGCCAGACATGGTGGCACATGCCTGTAATCCCAGCTATTCAGGAGGCTGAGACATGAGAATCACTTGAACCCAGAAGGCAGAGAGGTTGCAGTGAGCAAAGATCGTGCCACTTCATTCAAGCCTGGGTGACTCCATCTCAAAAAAAAAGAAAAGCTAAAAATAAAGTGATGGGCAAATGAATATTAAAAGCAAATGGAAACATTTTCAAGTTGCAGTATAAAATGTGAAACCACATCAATGAACTTTTTATACTGTTACATTAAAATCCATTGGTCTTTGTAGGTTGGATGGGTGCTTTATGCATGTATAATTCTGTCATATTGTGCATTGTTTATTTAGAAAATATCAGTTTACTAATCTATGCAGATCTTCCACATGTTTCATTATATAGTAGAGTGTTTTTAAAAAGTTACATTCTTTAATATCACCAATGAATCTTGCCAAAACAGTCTTTAGGTACAGGAAAGCTTTCAAGCTCACAGGGACAGATCAGATGTTCTAAAATTATAATTTTTGCTTAAAAGCTTGAATTTTATCATTGATGACAAATATTTTCAGTTGTCCTCCTCAAAGTGACAGGGTCACTCTGTTCATTTCTGAAAAAGTTCCTGTCAAACATCTATATCTGAAAAAAAATGTTGCCCCTTGGTTTTGTTTCTTTGTTTGGGTTTGTGTTTGTATGTGTGTCTGGTTTCTTGTGTTTTTGTTTTTGTTTTTGTTTTTGTAGAGATAGGGTCTTATTGTGTTACCCAGGCTGGACCTGAATTCAAACTCCTGCCTCCACCTCCACAGCAGCTGGCATTACAGGCTCATACCAGCACACCCAGCTCTCAGTTGTTCTTTCAAGTAAAAATAGCAGTCATGAAAAACAACTCATTCAGCTTGCAACTCAGATAACACAGCACATGTACTTTTCTTAGGAATACAGTTGCAGAAGTACTTCATCTATCTTCCCATTCTCTAGGCATAATATTGAAAAGACTGTATATGAGGTTTAATAACATTAATAATTGTTACTGCTTCATCAAGGACATTCTTAAATGAACCTCACCCCAAAGGCAGATGTTTTCAGAAGGGAACTCTACTCAAGGTTTAGAAACCAGGCAGTCTCAATGGAACATAGACTCTTCTAGTGGAAATGCCTCTACTGTTTGCCTTATTGAGTATGGTGCATTCCTATTAAGGTATAGCATATTTTATCATGTTAAAAAAGTATCCCCCCAATGATCTTCTATGTAGAAAACCTCAACACACAATAATCAGGTGTATTTCTACACACAAACAATGAACAGTCTAAAAAGGAAATTAAAACAATTCCATTTACAGTACCCAAAAAGAATAGAATACGGTTGACTCTTGAACAACACAAGTTTGAACTGTATGAATCCACTTATATATAGATTTCAATAAATACACTGGAAAATTTTTTGGAGATTCACTACAATTTGGAAACATAGAGAGAGAGAGAGTCTACTTATGTGTTAATCGACTGTTTATGTTCTTGGTAAGGCTTCCCATCAACAGTAGGCTATTATTAGTTATGATTTTGAGGAGTGAAAAGTTATATGCAGATTTTTGACTGCATCTATATATGCAGATTTTACTGCAGGGGTCAGTAACCCTAACTCCTCTGTTATTCAAGGGCCAAATGTACTTAGGAATTAATTTAATCAAGGAGGTGAGACTTGTGTAACAGAAACTATAAAACACTGCTGAAAGAAATCAAAGGCACATAAATAAATGGAAAGACATCTCATGTTAACGGACTGGAAGACAATATTGTTAAGATGTTATTACTACCCAAAGCAATCTATGTATTCAATGCAATCTCTATCAAATTCAAATTGATGTTTTTTTCCAGAAATAGAAAAATCTGTCTTAAAATTCATATGGGATCTGAAGGAACAAATAGCCAAAATCTTGAAAAAGAACAAATTTGGGAGACTCACACTTCCTGAGTTCAATACAAAGTGATAGTAATCAAAACAGTGTGCTAACAGCATAAAAGATAGACATATAGAGCACTGGAACACAGTGGAGAGGGTAGAAATAAACCCTCACGTCTATGGTAAATAATTGACAAAAGTACCAAGACCATTCAATGAAGGAAGGACGGTCTTTCAACAAATGGTGCTAGGAAAACTGGATCTCCTCATGCAAAACAGTGAAGTTGGACCACTGTCTTAGACAACATACACAAATTAGCACAAAACAGATCAAAGACATAAATGTAAATGCTAAACCTATAAAGCTCATAGAGGAAAACATAAGGGAAAGTCTTCACAACACTATTTACAACATTATTTACCCAGAAGTCATTCAGGACCAGGTTAACTTCCATGTAATTGTATAGTTTTGAGCGATTTTCTTAGCATTGATTTCTACTTTTCTTGCACAGTGGTCTGATGAGAGTGTGAGTGGGGTGATTTTTTTTTTTAATTTGCTGAGGATTATTTTATGCCCGGGTGTATGGTCAATTTTAGAGTATGTGTTATGTGCAGATGAGCAGAATGTACATTCTGTTTTTGGGTGGAGAGTTCTGCAGATGTCTACTAGGTCCATTTGGTCAAGTATAGAGTTCAGGTCCCAAACATCTTTGTTACTTTCCTACCTCAACGATCTAATACTGTGAGTGGAGTGTTTAATGTCTCCCACTATTATTGTGTGGTTATTTAAGTCACTTCATAGGTCTTTAAAAATCTTTGTTGGTTTAAAGTCTGTTTTGCCTGAAATTAGAATAGACAACTCCTGTCTTTTTATGTTTTCCATTTGCTTAGTAGATTTTTCTCCGTTCCTTTACTTTGAGCCTAAGGGCGTCATTGCATGTGAGATGATCCTCCTGAAGACAGCATACCATTGGGTTTTGTTTCTATATCAGCTTTCCAGTCTGTGCCTTTTAACTGGAGTGTGTAGCCTATTTACATTCAAGGTTAGTATTGATACATGCAGATTTGATCCTGTCATAACATTGTTAGCTGGTTATTATGCAGACATGTTTGTGTGGCTGCATTATAGTGTCACTGGCCTATGTACTTTTAAGTGTGTTTTTGCAGTGGCCAGTAATGGTCTTTACTTCCCATATTTCGCACTCCCTTCAGGACCTCTTGTAAGGCAGGTCTGGTGGTAACAAATTCCCTTAGCCTTTGCTTGTCTGAAAAGGATGTAATTTTCCTTTGCTTATGAAACTTAGTTTGGCTGGATATAAAATTCTTGGTTGAAAATTCTTTAAGAATGCTGAATATAGGCCTCTAATCTCTTCTGGCTTGTAGGGTTGCTGCTGATAGGTCTGCTGTTAGCCTAAAGACCCCTTTGTAGGGCTGGGCGCGGTGGCTCACACCTGTGATCCCAGCACTTCAGGAGGCCAAGGCAGGTGGATCACCTGAGCTCGGGAGTTCAAGACCAGCCTGACCAACATGGAGAAACCCCGTCTTCATTAAAAATACAAAATTAGCCAGGCATGGTGGTGCGTGCCTGTAATCCCAGCTACTCAGAATGCTGAGGCAGGAGAATCACTTGAATCTGGGAGTCAGAGGTTGTGGTGAGCTGAGATCGTGCCATTGCACTTCAGCCTGAGCAAAAAGAGCGAAACTCCATCTCAAAAACAAACAAAAAAGATCCCTTTGTAGGTGACCTGCCTCTTCTCTCCAGCTGCCCTTAACCGTTTTTTCTTTCATTTTGACCTTGGAGAATCTGATGACTATCCGTCATGAGGATGATCTTCTTGTGTAGAATTTTGCAGAGGTTCTCTGTATTTCCTGAACTTGAATGTTGGCCTCTCTAACAAGGTTGGGGAAATTTTCATGGACAATATCCTGAAATATGTTTTCCAAGTTGCTTGGTTTCTCTTCCTCTCTTTCAGGGACGGAAATGAGTCATAGATTTGGTCTCTTTACATAATTTCATATTTCTCAGAGGTTTTGTTCAGTCTTTGATATGGTTTGAATCTGTGTCCCTGCTCAAATCTATGTTGAATTGTAATCCCCAGTGTTGAAGGTGGGGAGGTGACTGGATAATGGGGGCAGATTTCTCATGAATGGTTTAGCACCATCCCCCTTGGTACTGTCCTAGTGATAGTGAGTGAATGCTCATAAGATATGGTTGTTTAAAAGTGTGTAGCTCCTCCCCACTCTCTCTCTCTTGCTGGCCATGCGACATGCTGGCTCCTCATTCACCTTCTGCCATGTCTGTAAGTAAGTTTCCTGAGGCCTCCTCAGAAGCAGATGCCTCCATGCTTCCTGTACAGCCTACCATGAGCTAATTAAACCCCTTTTCTTTATAAATTACCCAGTCTAAGGTATTTCTTTATAGCAATGCATGAACGAACTAATACAGTCTTCTTTATTGTTTTTACTTTATTTTTGTCTGACTGAGGTATTTTGGAGAGCCAGTCTTCCAGCTCTGAGATTCCTTCTTCAGCTTGGTTGATTCTGCTGATAAGACTTGAGACTGCACTGTGAAATTCTTCTAGTGTGTTCTTCAGCTTTATCAGGTCAGTCTGGTTCTTTCTTATAATGGTCATTTGGTCTAACACCTCCTGTATTGTTTTATTGTAATCCTTAGATTTCTTGGATTGGGTTGACTATCTCCTGTATGTCATTGATCTTTGTTCCTATCCATATTCTGAATTCTATTTGTAACATTTCAGCCATTTCAACCTGGTTAATAACCATTGCTAGGGAACTGGTACAGTCATTTGGAGGTAAGAAGGCACTCTGGCTTTTTGAGTTGCCAGAGTTCTTATGCTGGTTCTTTCTCATTTATATCGGCTGATGTTCTTCAATCTTTGAAGTTGCTGTCCTTTGGGTAGATTTTTTGCTTTTTTCTTCTTGATAACCTTGGGGGTTTGATTACAGTATAAGGTGGGATCAGTTGACTGGCTTAGATTCTAGCCTGCTCCTGGGTCTTGGAGGAGCCCTCTCTGATTACTGTCTCTGTGCCCATGTTTCTTTTGTTGAGTGTTCTTGTCCATGGGGCTCTCCCTCAGACAGGAACCTCAGTTGACAGATAGGTTGTATCCTTGCTAGGTCAGCCCTAATCTGTTGTTGTCTGTTTACTTCCTGAGTAAACACGGGGTTGCACCTGCCTGCAGAGTTCAGGTAGAAGTGGGACCACTGGGTTGGAAGCTCTAGCAGGTGTGGCCTGGCCTGTCTGGCTACAAGAGGTGGGGGGAGGGTGGAGTTGCCTGCCCTGCTGTCTGGGTGTTTCCAGGGCAAAAGGAGGCTGTGCCCTAAAAAAAGAAGAAATTCTGACATGGTACAATATGGATGAATCTTGAGGACATTATGCTAAATGAAATAAGCCTGTTGAGAAGGACAAATACTATATGATTTCACTTACATGAGATACCTACATTTGTCAAAATCACAAGGGACAGAAAATAGGATGGTGGTGACAGAAATGTCTGTCAAAAAGGACAAACTGTATGATTTCACTTATATGAGATAAAAAAAGGACATACTGTATGATTTCACTTATATGAGATATCTAAAGTAGTCAAAATCACAAGAGACAGAAAACAGGATGGTAGCTGTCAAGGCCTTGAAGACAAGAGGAAATGGGGAGTTTTTGTTTAATGGATACAGGGTTTTAGTTTTGAGATTAAAAACATGAGCTCTGGTAATATATGTGGTGGTAATGGTTTCAAAACTATATGAATGAACTTAACATTACTTAATTGTACATTTACAAATGGTTAAGATGGTAAATATTAGGTGTATTTTATCACAATAAAAAACTTTTAAAGTATCCATCTATTCCTATTTTCTTTAGTGTTTTTTTAAAATAAGAAATGAGTGTTGACTGCATGTTCTCACTCATAGGTGGGAATTGAACCATAAGAACATTTGGACACAGGGTGGGGAACATCACACACTGGGGCCTGTCGTGGGGTGGGGGAGTGGGGAGGGATAGCATTAGGAGATATACCTAATGTAAATGACGAGTTAACAGGTGCAGCACACCAACATGGCACATGTATACATATGTAACAAACCTGCACGTTGTGCACATGTACCCTAGAACTTAAAGTATAATTTAAAAAAAGAAAAAAAAAGTAAAGAATATTTAAAGAAGGAATAATAAATCTATATGAACAATTGCATGTCAATGTATTAATTTAGATGTAATGGACAAATTTCTAGAAACACACAAACAATCCTCAAGAATAGAATAAAATAAATAAAGCCATTAAAAAAAAGAAATGAGTGTTGAATTTAGCAGAAAGCTTTTTTTAGCATCTACAAAAATCATCATGATATGAAGGACTGCTGTTTTTCCATGATAATTCTTGTATAACCTCTTGACTTTTTAAACTATCTGCATATATTACTTTTATAAGAATATTTAATTTAAAAAACTTTGGGGCTACAAGCAAAATAGTACATTAAGAAAAATGTATAGGTTTAGATGTGCTGAGAAAGAAGAAATGCTAACAATCAATCTTTGGGCAAAATAAGCCCAAACAATGTAAAATGACTGATATAATCTAGAAAATAAATTGATGAAATAGAAAATTAGTATAAAATAGAATTAAAGAAAGCAAAGTTGGTTCTTTCTAGAGAATAATGTAACTACGAAACTGCAGATTAACTGATGAAGAAAAACAGAAGGCACAAATAATCAATATAAGGAATAAAGGCCAGGCACGGCAGCTCACACCCTGTAATCCCAGCACTTTGGGAGGCCAAGGCAGGTGGATCATTTGAGGTCAGGAGTTTGAGACCAGGCTGGCCAAAATGGTGAAACCCCATCTCAACTAAAAATACAAAAATTAGCCAGGGTGGTAGGTGCCTGTAATCCCAGCTACCCAGGAGGCTGAGGCAGGAGAATCGCTTCAGCCTGGGAGGCAGAGGTTGTGGTGAGCTGAGATAGATAATGCCACTGCACTCCAGCTTAGGTGACAGAGTGAGACCCTGTCTCAAAAGGCATTAATATTTTGACATAATATTAATGATATTTGAAAACTTCACATTTATATTTAAAAATTTAGTTTATATCAGGAACGTAAGGGTGGTTTAGTATTTTTAAATGCATAGATATAATCTGTTGCTTTGGCAGAATAAAAAGAAAAACTCTGGTCATGTCAAAAAGAATTCCAAAAAAGTCAACATCTCTTCCTGATTATAAAACAAAGAAACAAAAAGTCCAACAACTCTTATCAAGCTACAATTTGAAGAGAATTTCATTAACTTGACAGAGTTTCTACCAGAAAATTGCAGGACACATTGTATTCAGTGGGGAAAATATTAATAGCAGTCTCTTTAAAACCCAGGACAAAAATACACTATCATTGCTTTATTTCAAATTACATTGCCTCAAAGACTTGAACATAAATGTTCGCTGAAGCTTTATTTATAATACTCAAATGTCCATCAACAGATGAATAAACAAGTATATCCATACAAAAGAACACAATTCAGCAATAAAGAGAAGTGTGCTGCTAATATACATAAAAACAGGAAGCTTGAAAACACCATACTGAGCAAAAGACACAAGAGTGTAGACTATATAATTCTGCTTATATGAAATTCTAGAACAGGCAAAACTAATCGATACTTACTGAAAGAATACCAGTGGATGCCTAAGGTCTGAGAGAAGGAGAAGAATGAATTGTAGTAAAGTGTCACAGGGAACATTCTGGGGTGATGGAATGTCCTATTTATTGATTGTGGTGGTAGCCACATGGTTATACACATGTCAAAACTCATTGAACTGTATACTCTCCATTTATTTAGATCTTCAGTGTCTCTCGGTTTTGTAATTTTCAGTGTACAAGTGTACACCTTTTTAATTTATTCCTGTTTTATTCTGTTTGATGCTACTGAATGAAATTGTTTAAACTTCATTTTGAGACTGTTCACTGGTAGTATGTAGAAAGAGAATTTACTTTTGTGTATTGATCTTGTTTCCTGAGACTTTGCTGAATTTATTAACTCTAGTAGGTTTTATTTTGTATGTGTGCATTAAAAATGGGTGCAATTCATTGACTGTTCTGTATACCTCAAAATAGTTAATTGTTAAAAAAAAAACTAACAAAAATATGCAACCCACTGGGGAAAATAATAAAATGTTATCAAAAGACATTTTGAAAGACTATAGACAACAATTAGCCAGGTGTGGTAGCACACACCTGCAGTCCCAGCTACTTGGGAGGCTTAGGTAGAAGGATTGCTTGAGCCCAGGAGTTCAAGGCTAAAGTGAGCTATGATTGTGCTACTGCACTCCAGCCTAGGCAACAGAGCAAGACCCTATGTCTAAAAAAAGACTACAGTCAACATATTCATAGATTAAAAGCCTCAATGTCACAAAGCTGGCCAGGCACAGTGGCTCATGCCTGTAATCCCAACACTTTGGGAGGCTGAGGCGGGCAGATCACTTGAGGTCAGGAGTTCGAGACCAGCGTGGCCAACATGGTGAAACTTAGTCTCTACTAAAAATACAAAAATTAGCTGGGCATGGTGGTAAGTGCTTGTAGTCCCACCTACTCAGGAGGCTGAGGCAGGAATATCACTTGAACCCAGGAGACGGAAGTTGCAGTGAGCCAAGATCATGCCACTGCACTCCAGCCTGGACAACAGAGTGAGCATGGTGGCTCACGCCTGTAATCCCAGCACTTCGGGAGGCCAAGGCAAGTGGATCACCTGAGGTCAGGAGCTCAAGACCAGCCTGGCCAACACAGTGAAACCCCATCTCTACTAAAAATACAAAAATTAGCCGGGTGTGGTGGCGCACACCTGTAATCCCAGCTACTTGGGAAGCTGAGGCAGGAGAATCGCTTGAACCCAAGAGGTAGAGGTTGCAGTGAGTTGAGATTATGCCACTGCACTCCAGCCTAGGCAACAGAGCAAGACTTCATCTCAAAAAAAAAAGAAAATCTTTTTATGATACAGAATTCAAAAGGATTATAAGACAATACTATAAACAAATTTACGCCAACAAAGTAGACAACTTAGATGAAATAGCAAAATTAATGGAAAGATACAAATTACCAAAGCTGTTTTTTTTTTAAAAAAGAAAAATCTGAATAAACTTATAACAAGGACAGAAATTGAATCTGTTATGTAAAATCTAATTAAAAAAAAGCGGCTGGGCGCGGTAGCTCACGCCTGTAATCCCAGCACTTTGGGAGGCTGAGGCGGGCAGATCATGAGGTCAGGAGATCAAGACCATCCTGGCTAACACGGTGAAACCCCGTCTCTACTAAAAATACAAAAAAATTAGCCAGGTGAGGTGGCGGGTGCCTGTAGTCCCAGCTACTCAGGAAGCTGAGGCAGGAGAATGGTGTGAACCCGGGAGGTGGAGTTTGCAGTGAGCCAAGATTGTGCCACTGCACTCCAGCCTGGGCAACAGAGCCAAGACTCCATCTCAAAAAAAAAAAAAAAAGCTCAGGCCCAGTTGTCTTACTGGTGAATTAAAGGAGAAATAATAACAAATTTTCATGAATTCTTCCAGAAAATAGGGGAAGCTGGAACACCTTTCAACTCATTCTAGGAGGCCAGTATTACCTTGATACGAAAGCCAGAAAAAGACATCACAAGAAAAGAAAGCTACACATGAATATCCCTCATAAACATGAAAAAGATGTAAAAATCCTTAATAAAATATTAGCCAATGAAATCCAATAATAAATTATATACAACATGACCAAGTGGGTTTTACCTCAAGAATGTAAAACAAATTATTTTACAACTAATATATCATGTGAATAAAATAAGAGGAAAAATTATATGGTCATCTCAACAGATGCACAGAAATCATTTGATAAAACCCAAGATTCATCCATGATAAAAGTACTCAAAAAACTAGAAATAGGAGAGAACCTCCTTCAACTAGAGTATCTATAAAAACCTACAGCTAAAATCATATGTATTGGTGAAAGACTGAATGCTTCTGCCAAATATCAGGACAAAGGCAACATTATCTGCTCTCACTTCTATTTAACCTTGTATAGAAGGTTTCAGCCAGTGAAATCAGGCACAAAAGAAATAAAAAGCATTAGAAAGGTTAGAAAGGAAGAGGCAGCTGGGCGCGGTGGCTCACGCCTGTAATCCCAGCACTTTGGGAGGCCGAGGCAGGCGGATCGCCTGAGGTCAGGAGTTTGAGACCAGCCTGGCCAACATGGTGAAACCCCATCTCTACTAAAAACACAAAAATTAGCCGGGCGTGGTGGCAGATGCCTGCAATCCCAGGTACTCGGGAGGCTGAGGCAGGAGAATCACCTGAACCCGCAAGGCCGCGGTTGCAGTGAACCGAGATCGCGCCATTTGCACTCCAGCCTGGGGGAGAAGAGCAAGACTTTGTCTCAAAAAACAAAGGAAGACATAACATAATCCTACATATACAAATTCCTAAGGAATACATGCACACACAAAATAAAACCTACTAGAGCTAATAAATGAATTCGAAGTCTTGGGAAACAAGATCAATAACAGAAATAAATTCTATTTCTACATACTACCAATGAACAACTAAAAATAAAGTTTAAATTACAATTCCATTCAATAGCATCAAACAGAATATGTACGAATAAATTAACAAAAAAGTGTACACTGTACACTTGTACAGTGAAAATTACAAAACTGAGAGAAACTGAAGATCTAAATAAATGGAGAGACATTCCATGCTCACAGATCAGAATTCTATGTGCAATTTTCCACAGATGCAATGCAATCCCTATCAAAATCTCAGCATGGGTTTTTTGCAGAATGTACAAGCTGATCTTAAAACTTATATGGAAAAGCAAAAGATCCAGAGTAGCCAAAACAATCTTTGAAAAGTAGAACAAAGCTAGACAGCTTACGCTTCCTTATTTCAAAACTTAGAACAAAGCTATAGTAATCAAGACACTGTGATAGTGTATAAGGACACACATATAGAGGTCAATGGAACACAACTAAGTACAGAAATAAATCCATACATTTATAGTCAGCTGATTTTTGACAAAGGCATGAAGGCAAGTCAGGGGGAAGGGGCAGTCTTTTTTTAAAATGGTGCTGGTGGCCAGGCACAGTGGCTCACCTTTGTAATCCCAGAATTTGGGAGGCCAAGGTGGGCAGATCACCTGAGGTCAGGAGTTCAAGACCAACCTGGCCAACATAGTGAAAGCCTGTCTCTACTAAAAATAACAAAAATTAGGAGGCATGGTGGTACACACCTACAGTTCCAGCTACTCGGGATGCTGAGGCATGAGAATCACTTGAACCTGGGAGGCAGAGGTTGCAGTGAGCCGAGACTGCACCACTGCACTCCAGTCTGGCAACAGAGTGAGACTCTGTCTCAAAAAAAAAAAAAAAAGTGCTGGGACAATTGGACATCTACATGTAAAAAAAAGTTTTGCCCTTAACTCACACAATTCCTAAAAATTAACTCAAAATGAATCATAGACATAAACACAAGAGCTAAAACTAGAAAATTTTTAGAAGAAAACATAAGAGCACATCTTGTGACTTTGTGTTAGGCAATAAATTCTTAGATACAACACGGAAAGCATGATCCATAGAAGAGAAAACTGATAAACTGTACGACATCAAAATGAAAACTTTGATGCTTCAAAAGATACCATTAATAAAATAAGACAAGCCACAGATTGGGATATTTGCAAATCATGTATCTAATAAAGGATCTGTATCCAACATACGTAAAGAACTCCTAAAACTCAATAAGAAAACAATCTAATTTTAAAATGGGCAGAGATCTAAACTGACTAATGGCCAATAAGCACATGAAAAGATGTTCATAGTCATTTGAGAAATGAAAATTACAACTACAGTGAGATACAGCATCACTCCTACTGGAAAAGCTATAATCAAAATGACTGACAGTAACAAGTGTTGCTACGGTAATTAAGATAGTATATACTGGAGAAAAAGACAAATGGAGAAGAACTGACATCCCAGAAACAGACCTTCAGATCTTCACTTGATGGAAACTTGACATATACCAAAAGGGGTATTACAGGTTAGTGGGGGAAAGAGCAGTCTTTTTAATTAAATAATGCTTGGGAGATTGGTTATCCATGTGGGAAAAAGGGAACAACAACAACAAAAATAAGAATGATATGAGGCCTCTATCTGATACCATTTTAAAAAAGTCTATTAGTATTATTTTTTCTTTTCTCCCTAGAGTTACAGTTATACTCTTTTTTCATTCATTCTACCAGTTCCTCCCACATGTAAAGTACAAAAGGTGGAGTACAGTTTCCTTCTCCTTGACTTTGGGCTTGGCCATATGACTTACTTTAGCCAATGGGTTATAAGTAAATGTGCTGTAAACAGGGCTTTGCCCTCTTGAGTTTCTGCCAACACCATGAGAAGAACATGCCCTAGCTAGCCCACTGGTCCCAGGAGAGTTAGATAAGTATGGGCAGAACTGACCCAGCAGATCTGCCATATGAAACAGTGCCAACCCAACCAAGGCCAGATGAGATCAGCCAACTCCCAGCCAATCTATATATGCATAAAAAATAAGCACTTTGTGTTATTCACTACTGAGAACCTTGTAGTTGTTTTTGCTAAGCACCATTACTGTACCAACTGTTAATACAATTCCCAATGGATTAAAATATAAACGTATACAGCAAAGCTCCAAAACTTAAAAAAAAAGTTAAATTACTTTACAGCCTCATGACAGGGAATAATTTCTTAAATGAGACACAAAACACAAAAGTAGGCATAAACAAAAAGATTCCCAAAATAAGTAATTCTACTCACTGAGATGCCGCAAAAAAAAAAAACAAAAAACGAAAAGACCGTCCACAAAATGGGAGAAGGCCTGCCACACATACCTCACAAAGAATTATATAAGGAATATATAGAAATCAATGTATAAAGGACAATCAGACCAATAAAAACATGGGCAAAGACATTAACAGGCATTTCACCAAAGATGAAACTCAAAAACCAGTAAGCATAAGAAAAGATGCTGCACTTCATGCAAATTAAGTTACGAGATTCTATTTTTACATCCACTAAATTGGTTGAAATTAAAGTATTGACAATATAAAGTACTGGCAAGTGTAGAATGACAGTTCTTCTACACAGTTTGTAGGAGTATAAACTGGTATAACTACTTGAGAAAAAAACTGATATTATATTAAATTTTATGATGATATGATTCTACTCCTTGGCACATACTGTGGATAACTTGTGCACATTCATGCCAAGAAGTATGTATATGGATATTTACAAGAGTTAGTATTTTTAAAAATTGAAAATAACCTAAATATTCATTAATAGTAGAATGACCAAATAACTAATATAAACATAAAGTGAAATGTTATATAGGAGTAAAAATGAATGACAGCTGCATGCATCTACACGAATGAATAATGTTGGGTGAAAATAGCCACGTCATCAATTAATACAGAGAGTATGATACAGTCTGATAAAATCCAAACATAAGCAAAACTAAATATATTGTTTTGTGAATTATACGTATTTGGTAAATCTACAAAGAAACACAAGAGGAGAATAAAAATATACCTGATAGACAAGCCCACACAAGGAAGCAGGCTGATGTAGATCCATATAGGTATGTAAATATATCAAATATTTTATAATTCTTTTTTAGTGGCGGAGGAAGAAGAAAAATACTTCTATTTGAGAACCCTATTGAGGTTGCATGCCAACTTCTGGAGATGTTCAGACAAGAAAAAAAGAAATGTGGTAAATTCTAATTTTACCTTTTTATGTCTATTTTATTTACATGACTTCTTTTCAGTATCCAAAACCTAATATAAAAAAAAAATCACATAATCATTTTTATGCATTCATGTGTAATTCAGGTATACTGTCATATTCATAACTTTCAAATGATTCCAATCAAATTCATCCTAATAATCATCTAATATTATTTACTACTACTACAGGAACTGAAAAACTTATTTCATATATATCACTTTTCCATATCTATTTCACACAAATAAACAACTAAATATTTGGTACAACTTCTAATTCCACATTAACCATTCATATTTTACAACCTAAAAATATCTATAAACAAGCACCTTTGACTTTGTAATATTTACATATGCTCAAGGGAACATTTTGCCAGAAGATCGTATGGTTGGCTTCAAAAGAATCTTTTAAATTTTCATGTATACTTAGATTAAATTTTTAAGAGACTAGCTCCAACTAACATGAGAAATGAAAGAATACAAATGACTGTAACTTTTCAATAACCTTTTCTCACAGACTGAAAGAATATCTGAAGAAAACATTTTGAAATTACTACTTAACTATTATTTGATGTAATTCTAAAATGTTTATAAACCCGTAACTTGTAACTTTCCTTCCAAGAATCTTTATAACAGGAGTACTATTTTTCTTATTTGATTTGCTTTGTTTAGCTTAGCTTAGCTATTAAAATGGCTAATTATACTGAAGATTTTACATCTTTCCAACTTAAATCAGCAATGAATATACATCTTCCTTTCAGCTACAAGGAAACATATACAAATGAAAAATATTTAAACTGAATTCTTAAGTTATTAGTCCTAATATATCCCATATGCTAACCTAAGAGGCACTCTCCTTAATTATCTTCAAATTCTCATCCTTAGTTCAAACATATTCCTTAAAAAAGAAAAAACAAAAGATTATTAAAAATTATACTTACTTTAGCCAACAATTCTTGTGTTTCAGGAGTCAGTGGAGCATGAGAAAACTTGCAGTATTCTCCCTGATAACATTTTGTTCCTGTATGGTAAAACTTACAAGGATATTCATGTAACCCAAGTGTTAAGGAAGAGAACAATTTTAATCCAATTGAAATAATGTTATTAACTTAATGACTTTATTTTTCCTAAATAAAGACCTCTGTGGCCGGGCGAGGTGGCTCATGCCTGTAGGAGGCGGAGGTGGGCAGATCACTTGAGGCCAGGAGTTCAAGACCAACCTAGCCAACATGGCGAAACCTCGCCTTTACTAAAAATCCAAAAAAATTAGCTGGGCATGGTGGCGCAGGCATGCCTGTAATCCCAGCTACTCAGGAGGCTGAGGCACCAAAATCATTTGAACCTGGGAGGCGGAGGTTGCAGCGAACCAAGATTGTCCACTGCACTCCAGCCTGGGCAACAGAGCAAGATAATGTCTCAAAAAAAAAAAAAAAAAAAAGACCTTTCCTACTAGCAGAAACTGGATTTCTCTATTTAAAGTATGAGATAATAAACTAACTGGAATACATTTAAAAATCTAATTTTAGAAGGACTACATACGTAAATCAAGTTTCTTGGCTATGACAGGACATTTTTTTCCTTCATATCCATTCTTATAATAGAGTACAGGCATGTTTCATATATGAAAGGGGTATATATTTTAAATACCTTGATAAATGTGATCATTTTTAAAGCATTCCTTTGGGGGTGGAGGAATCAAAGTCAACAACGACATATCTTACAAATCTGGATCCTTTGTACATTAGACTTGTTTACAACAGAATAAATTTATATAACTTCAATATTTTCTAGGAAAACAATCCTCAAATTACAATTTGATACTCCTTATATTGAATGCCTGAAGAAAAAAATTTTTTTGTGATGACTAAAGGTGCTATTAACCTAAAATGTTTATGTTCCATGTTTTTACAACTTGTCTGTGCCATTTGCACTGAAGAGCTAAGGCTATTCTGCAAATTAAGGGATGATTAATTTCTACACAGTACAGAATACACAGAAAACAGGTACTCCCAAATTATGTAATCCTTGCCTTTTTATGAAGTAGCTTATTTGAATATAGATTCAATTAATCAGTGTCACAGTAGAAATTGTGATAAGTCTTTCTGGGATTTGAAGAGGTCTCATGGACCCTCTATACCACCCAGGTTGAGCAGAAAGAATCATCATTTGAGAGATTTTCTAAAGAATCCCTCTTTTCTTGCTTATGAAAAAATCCACGTACAATTTAATCACTTTGATACTAAGTTGGGCTTGGATAATATCATTTTGGTATACCTAAAACACTGGTTTCATTAAAAATTTTGCACATTTAAAATGTTCATGTAAATATTTATAAAGTCACCATATCTTGTGATAAAGGATATTATGCAAATACAGACAGTTTTCACCTCTGGTACAATATCCTTGTACATAAAACTTACACATTTCCTTTTTCTTTTCTATCTCTGCATCATGATCAAATTTACACTGGTCTCCCTAGGCCAAAAGAAGGAGCAAGGAAAAGCCATTATTTCTCATAGTCAAGTCATTATGATTTAATTCCTACTAAACTTTAAATAAGCAAATGATTCCAGAAAGAACCAAAGTCTTAGAGGTAGCACATTCTAACTGTTAATAAATTATAACCACATCACATATATCTGCTTAAAATCTTCTTAAGTCCCAAACATTTTTAAACATAAAGCATTTTTTAAAATTATCAGTCGCTCACGCCTGTAATCCCAGCACTTTGGAGGCCGAGGTGCGCGGATCATGAGGTCAGGAGATCGAGACCATCCTGGCTAACACGGTGAAACCTCGTCCCTACTAACAATACAAAAAAAATTAGCTGGGTGTGGTGGCTAGCGTCTGTAGTCCCAGCTACTTGGGAGGCTGAGGCAGGAGAATGGCATGAACCCAGGAGGCGGAGCTTGCAGTGAGCCGAGAATGCGCCACTGCACTCCAGCCCAGGCGACACAGTGAGACACCATCTCAAAAAAAATAAATAAATACATAAATAAAAATTATCTGACTCAGGTGATCCACCCACGTCGGCCTCCCAAACTGCTGGGATTACAGGCCTGGCTACTTTTTTAAACATAAAAGAATACTTCACTAAAATTTTCTAACTGATTTTTTTCCAGAATGAAACAGCTTTAAAAACCTAAAGGTATGAATTAAAAGAGTATCAAACAGAAAGAGCAGTTTTACATTTTAGTAGATTTTTGCTTACACATTTTTATACCTTAATACATTTCCTTTCAAGAAAATATTTACAAATTTGTTTTCCCTTGCGTTCCACTGTATGTTGGTTGATGAATGCCTGACTCAAATGCTGCTGCTTCTCTTTAGGTTTACCATCCTTTAAAAACAAAAACAAAAAAACTAAATGTAAGAAACAGAAAATTAAATATTTTATTCTGTTGCACAAAATTATTTAAACCAACTTCAGAGCCTTAAAGGTGACTCTTCTAAATTGGCCTTCATATGTAAAATTTGGATTTCTGTACACCAGGTTAAAAATGAATGTTTTGTCAGTTTCAACAGCATTCCATCATTGAATATTAATGTTTGTATTGATTTGAATATTTTATGATACATTGCCTTTATTTTGTAAAAATGAATGAAAAAAATTTTTTAAATGGGCCAGACACAGTGGCTCACGCCTGTAATCCCAGCACTTTGGGAGGCTGAGGCGGGTGGACCACTTGAGGTCAGGAGTTCAAGACCAGCCTGGCCAACACAGTGAAACCTCATCTCTACTAAAATACAAAAATTAGCTGGGAGTGGTGGTGTGCGCCTGTAAGCCCAGCTACTCTAGAGGCTGAGGCAGGAGAATCGCTTGAACCCAGGAGGCAGAGGTTGCAGTGAGCCAAGATTGCACCACTGTACTCCAGCCTGGGCAATAGAACGAGACTCCATCTCAGGGAGAAAAAAAAAAAAATTAAATGAAAGTGATAGTATTTATGATTAAAAACCGAAGTCTAAGAACGAAGATCTTTAGAGTGGTAGAGACAAAGTTGGAAATCAGAGTGAACCAAAAGCAGTGGAATCTATAGTTTCAATGAGATGCTCACTGGGTGTGAGTTGAGCACACTTATCAGCTCAAATTAACACACGCAACTAGAAATACACCGTCAAAGATGGTGATAAAGGTATAAAAGGAGATTTTTACATTAAAAAAAGGAAGAAAATCTTATAATACATTTAAGCTCTTCAGAAACATAAGGTACTTTTTACATGTTAACTTATGCTACAGATTACAGCTTCTGTATACCAAATTTTTGCATACAGTTTTAGGAATACAGTATGTACAAACAAGGGAGCTGACTGTACAGTCATTTATAATAATGTCAAATTTCCACTTAGCACCATCAAATTTATGTCTTATAAATATCTGCCAGTTTAAATCTTGTTTTATTTGGTAACATTATTAAATTCTATATATATGTTTAGAATTTGTTCCTTGTGTAGAAGGGCTGTCAGCTTTGGCTGAATAATCATTTGAGCCATGTAAATCAAATCAAAGAGAATATTGACAGGGGGTTGAGAAACAAAATCCTAGTCCTGGCTTGGCCCTGTGTGACTATGGGTAATTACCTGAACCACAGGGCTTCAGATTCCTCATTCATAAAATATGGAGGCAGGGGACAGACTGTATATAAATGTTTTTCAATCTAGAATATTTGGCATTTCTAATATTTTACCACCCCTTACCCTTGTCCCATATGACCAAGCCTAATAAAAAAAGTTGCCATCCAGTTAAAAGCCCTCAGAAAAGTGGAATCCAGAAGAGGTACTTATTATTCTACCCTGCTTACATCTACAGACCAAGGAAAGGGAACTTCTAAAAACCAAAATCAAAATACAGGAAGGTGGGGAGTGGGGAGATTCAGTAAGGCCAATGCTCAGAAATATTGATTTTTAATTTCCAGAGGGAGCCAGGATGAGGGACTTTAGTAGTAAAAAATTTGTAAGACTCAGTGGCCTTTGAAATGCCTCATGACTATTTGATCTTCTCTGGGCTTCCCATTTTTCCCGAGTCATTGATAGTATAACACTAAAAAAAAAAAAAAAAAAAATCAAGGAGTGACCAGGCACAGTGGCTCATGCCTGTAATCCCAGCACTTAGGGAGGTGGTGGGTGGTGGGAGCCGAGGCAGGTGGATCACCTGAGGTCAGGAGTTCAAGACCATCCTGGCCAACATGGCGAAACCCTGTCTCTACTAAAAATACAAAAATTAGCCGGGCATGGTGGCGGGCGCCTGTAGTCCCAGCTACTCAGGAGGCTGAGGCAGAAGAATCACTTGAACCCGAGAGGCGGAGCTTGCAGTGAGCCGAGATCGCACCAGCCTGGGTTACAAGGCGAGACTCTGTCTCAAAAAAATATATGTATAACAATAATAAAAAAAATCAAGGAGCTTGTGTGCATATATTCAGGAACAACAGTGAGAACGCTAAGGCTTAAAAGTGGTGCTGGCAGCTAATCAGTGAGAAAAAGAAAGCTGCAATAAGAAGGAAGAACACAGAGAACCCAGTGACAGTAAAAGGACATCTTCATCCGAAAACCGATTCTGTGGGATGCTTCCACCTCTCCATATCACATAGCACTTCTTGTCACTGAAGTATAAGATCAAGTCCAAAAGCATGCAGGGGTCAGGTATTCCTAGAAGCATATATTCCAATACCTCTTCCTGTGAGCCGCTGTTCCTCAGCAAAGCATTTGATCCTTTGTTTCCAGGGCCAGGCCATTTTCGCTTCATTTTCTTCTGTTTGCCATTCTTGTGACCAGCTTTAAGATTTTTATTTTTTTGTTTAGCAGCTAAAAACAAAAAATTAATTTAAAAAATGACATAAAGTTACAATAGCAGTTTACTTTTAAGAAGTACGGGGCCAGGTGCAGTGGCTCATGTCTGTAATCCCAGCTCTTTGGGAGGCTGAGGCAGGAGGACTGCTCAAAGCTAGGAGTTCAAGGCCAGCCTAAGTGTTCAAGGCCAGCCTAGGCAGCCTAGAGATCTTGTCTCTACAAAAACATAGCTGGGTGTGGTGGTGCACGCCTGTAGTCCAGCTACTCTGGGACTATAGGCTAAGGCAGGAGGATTGCTTGAGCCAAGGTGTTCAAGGTTACAGTGAGCTATGACTGCACTGCTGCACTCCAGCCTGGGCAACAGAGTGAGAACCTGTCGCAAAACAAATGGAAAAAAGAAGTATGATTTACAATAATTGAGGAAAGTTCTCTAAGGCTCAATAAGTGAAAACTGGCATGATAGTGATCAGTTTTCCTAGAAGCTCTGGGACTAAGGGACCAAAAAGAGAATTATGATAATACATCCTGGATTCCCCATTCATTGTTTTTAAAAATATATAAGGTATTGTCAAGAAAAAAGCAAGATAATAAAATCAGTCTTATAAGTTCTAAGGCAGATCCTTTTGAAGTGTTCAGAGTATGATGGATCTAATTAGGAACTGCAACAGTAAAACTTTAAGTGTTTACAATGACCTCATAAATTACTGTCAGATTTTTCACTGAAAACATTTTAAATAGATCAAGTTTTTATTTATTTATCTATCCGTGCACGCATTTATCCATCTATCCTGCAATGGCATAATCATAGTCTACTGGAGCCTCGAACTCCTGGGCTCAAGCAATACAGATCCATTTTAAGTAAAGAAAACAACAAAAAAATGACAGCATTAAAATTTTAATTTTTTTTTTTTTTTGAGACAGAGTCTCGCTCTGTTGTCCAGGTTGGAGTGCACTGTGTGATCTCGGCTCACTGCAACCTCTGCCTCCTAGGCTCAAGTGATTCTCGTGCCTCAGCCTCCAGGGTAGCTGGGATTACAGGCATGTGCCACCATACCCTGATACTTTTTTTTATTTTTAGGTTTCACCATGTTGGCCAGGCTGGTCTCGAACTCCTGACCTCAAGTGATCCACCAGCCTCGGCCTTCCAAAGTGCTGGGATTACAGGCGTGAGCCACCATGCCTGGCCAAAAATTTCATTTATAATTGCCATTTGCCCTCATATTTATGGCTAAATCTCATTTTAGTAATCTAGAAGAATATATTTCTGAGTTACAGTCTGACATACAACCATTCCAGTCAATCCTCTTTAAATGACAGCAATACAAGCAGGCATATCCTATCCTTCACACATGCAGAGGCCAGGGCTTTAGCATTCTCCCTTTAGAAATAGTCAGGGCCTTTGATAACCCACCTCCATCCTCCAGCTCCCTCTACAAACTAAGCATTTAATGCACCAAGTGGCCAGGTCTCAGATGGGGTCTCTGGCCATGCAAGCTCATGTCTGGTATAAATATTCATGAAAACCATAGTCTTATCATAAGATAAAGTGCAAAGAAAAATCCTCTGTCCGTATATGGACAACTGTGACTGCTTCTCTAGATAAACTTTAAATGATAAAATAGTTTGACTCTTACCCTGTGGGGTATCTTTTACTCCTTCTTTCTTTGTAGATTCTTCAGGTTGAGCAGCATTTGCCATTTCTCTGGCTTGTATGTACTGTTGAAGCTCTTTGGCAAAATTATCTTCTGATTCCTGACTGCAGATATCATTATCACTATATACATCATAGTCCTTACTTCTTGATTTTCTATGCAGCGAACTTTTTGGTGATATTGCAGAGTGTCTAAACTAAGTAAAAATTAAAACTTCAATTTTAAAAACCTAGCATGATTCAAAACAATCTGGCTATACAGAAGAAACAAGATTGGCTATAAACTGGTCATTGTTGAAGGTGGGTAATAGGTACATGGGATTCATATACTATTCTCTCCACTCATATATTTGAAAATTTCCAGAATTAAAAAAAAGAAAAAATTTCCAGAATTAAAAACAAACTAACAAACCACTATGACATATCTATCCTTAAAGATGATTTGAGGGAAAATTCTAAATTTGTACATTGTGTGCCTTTGACTGAATTAAAAGTCTAAACCCCTAAATCTTAATTATTTGATATGAGAGGATTACAGTATTACAGTTCACACATTACATTTCTGCCTTTGCATTGACAGTACTTTTAAATGTCTTCAATAATTTATCATTTTGTAAAACACCCCAAGTAAACTGTAATGGTCCATATGAAAACCCACTTACACTTAAGATACATCTAAGCTACCAAAGTCTAGTCTTTCTCCTATAACTCACAGAAGTGGTAGCAGCAATGATGACAAGGAATAAAGAACTACCCTATTCTCTGTAATCAAGTTAACTTTACTTGCAGAAAGAGTTTCCTAACTCTGTTGTTGCACGTGCCCAAGGCAAGGGTGAAGAACCCAGGCATGGGAGCTAATCCTAGAGGAGCCCAGGCTGATGACAGCAATGACTTAAAGCAATTTCTGCATAAAAATTTTCAGGTATTGGTTACATGTGTTTCTACACTTGGTGACACAGGTATATTAAACTGTATCATTATAATTAGTATGTATGACACATTTTAATCAGAAAGTTTATTTTTAAAAAATGACCAAGTATCAAAGGGCTCCTATTCTGATGTCACGAAGAAATGGCATGCCTATCATTACAGTGGATAATGATTTTGTTTCAAAGCATACTTTGGGGCCTGGTCTCTTATTTGCTTTCACATGATAACTAAGAAGCAAACTCAAAACAAACAGACAAAAAACAAAACAGAAGAATCGCTATTATAAAATATATTAGGTGGCCCAATTTAACAGTTTACTTTTTTTTTTTTTTTTTTTTTTTTTGATGGATTCTCACTCTATTGCCCAGGCTGGAGTGCAGTGGCACGATCTTGGCTCACTGCAACCTCTGCCTCCCAGGCTCAAGCGATTCCCTTGCCTCAGCCTCCCGAGTAGCTGGGACTACAGGCATGCACCACCATGCTCAGCTAATTTTTGTATTTTTGATAGAGACAGGGTTTCACCCTATTGGCCAGGCTGGTCCTGAACTGCTGACCTCAAGTGATCCGCCTGCCTCGGCCTCCCAAAGTGCTAGGATTACAGCCATGAGCCACCATGCCCGGCAACAGTTTACTTCTGATGGTTAACTTCAAAGTTAGGAGTTGTTCCACCAGAGGATTGATTATAAGCCTAGAAAATGAACTTGCTCCCTGCTTAAAGAATCCAAACAAGCTGAGGAAGTTTCTTGATCTGACAATGGCCTCAATTATACCTTATCTTCCCTACACCAGACAAGACTATCAACCAATTATCTTCAGGCCACCAAACTTCTTGTCTCTAGGTCTTCAAGAAAGAGTGCCTTTTCCCCATTAACACCATAGAATAAACTTGTAAATGTAACTTCTGGACTGATAGATCAGGGGTTGGCAAATTTTCAGCTTCACCACCTGTTTCTGTAAATACAGTTTTACTGTAACACCAATTACATCCATTCATTTACATATTGTCTTAGTTGTGACAGAGACAACATGGCCTACAAAGGTGAAAAGATTCACTAACTGATCCTTTATGAAAAGGTTGGCCGACTCCTGTGATAGATTATGTTTACCTTGGTTTTGGCCTTTAATTTTATTTAGTAGGCATGGGGGAACCAAAAAGATTATTCAGTATGCAGCAGCTCCTATGAAGTTTAGCTTAATCAAATACATAGAGGTGAGATTTTCTTCAGTGCATCTGAATCAAAATATTAAAATGATCCAAATGAGTGATTAAGTTCCCTCTGTCTGCACAAAACACATAGGCCTACAGTATTGAAGCAGACTCCTTTTACGACAAGTAATAATACGTTGGACTTACATTAAATGAAGACATGAAACAATCTGGCAACATTAATAAAGCCAGGACAATCATCAATTTTGCTGTTTTATTATACAGTAGGGATAAATATTACTAATGATTCTTTTCAGAGGGCATTGAAATATATAAAATACAAATAATTGAATACTTTTCTTCACTTAGCTAGCTATAAACTCATTGCTTCAGTTTGTTGTTTTTTGTATAATTTAAAAAGCATACGAACATGATTACATCCCCTTTCTCCTTTTGTAAGAGTCTAAATAACTTTTTTTATTCAAGATGGTTTACTGAACTAGTATGGCCTCCAGAAACCTCCAAAATTAAAGTACAGGTAACAGTGTGTGTGTGTGTGTGTGTGTGTGTGTGTGTGCGCGTGTGTATGTGTGTTGTGTTTTGTGTGTGTGTGTGTGTGTGTATGGGAGGCATGAAGTGCATTCATCAGGAATTAAGAGTCAAATTTCTGATAGACAAAAAGGAAGTTATGCTCTAAAGGGTGGGCTTAGGTACAGTGTGAGAAATGGGGCTATAAATGAGAATGAATTAAAATTCTACAAAAAACAGACAAAGCTGTTACAACAAATTCTCTCTGCCCTCTCCCTCTCCAGAACACAACCACCCAGGTACTTTCCCTAGGAAAAAAAGAGAAGGCTGTTATCCAAAGAAATGGAATAGAATGTCTGGTAAAAGCTAAGATGTGGGTACTACGACCACCCACATGGAGGTACTAAATCTTCCATGGGCTGGCATTTGGGAGCAACCCCTACTAGAAAAATACTCCATCCTACTCACCATAAAGCAGGGGTTCTCACCCTGCTGTCCAGAGACCCCCCCCTCAAGGGCCTATGGATTGAATTCAGAAAATTCAGTGAACTTGAATTCAGAAAATTCAGTGAACTTGAATGAGAAGAAAACCACATATTATTTTCATCAACCTCCAAATTGACATTTGGTATTTGAACAAAGGAAGTATGTTCAAATATGTTATTCCGTTTTGAACATAGGAAACAAAATATAGCAGTATCAGCAGTGCCTGTGACTGTCACTAACACAAATCACAGATATTTTCATGTATCACATTATAGTTGTTGCAGATCTCAAAATACCTTTTATGTTCATGACCACTGCAAAATTAGAATCAGACTAACTGCTCTGCTAGGTCTTAATATTCAGTGTATTAATAAAGAACATATTACTCTATAGCATTTGTTTTTAATATTTTGATAAACTGTATTTCAATCAAATCAATTTCCTTTGTAATCAAACATTTTATTTTATACACTTAAAAAACTTGAAAAGGGGTCCATAGGCTTCACCAGACTGCTAAAGGGGGTGCATGGCACAAAGTGGACTGAGAATTGTTACACTGCTGGAAAACCTCCTATCCACACAGCCTACTCACTCACCACCCAGTCAGGCTTCCTATTTAGAGAAAAGGCCTTTAGAGACACAGACTTACCAACACATCAGCAGAGGACATCTATTAACTCTCTGGGCCTTTCTTAAATGAATGGACAACAAAGGAATACAAAAGCATGTGACAAAAATCTAGAGCTGGAGTCAGTGAACTACAACCCAAGGGCAAAATCCGCTCTGCCACCTGTGTTTGTAAGCACCCACAAGCTAAGAATGAACTTTACATATTTTTTCATGGTTGAAACAAAAGAAATCAAAAGAATATTTCATGACACTTGAAAACTATATAAAATTTAAATTTCAGAGTCCATAAATACAATTTTATTGGAACATAGGCATACTCATTCATTTATATATTATATGGCCTGCTTCTTTGCTACAACAGCAGAGCTGAGTAGCTGCAAGAGACCTTCATGGCATTCTCATCACTTCGTAGAGATGCTCAGTTATAAATTGACAACATTTTGAGTGCTTCATTGAGTACCTCATGCTATTTAATTTTTTTTCCAGAGCATACTTACCACATCAAAACACAAAAAGCAAACTTCAAATGTCAAGTATTTAAAGGCGCAGTGAATTGTGGATTATTATACTGTCAAGTCAGACGGCAAATCACTGTGGTTATTATGTAACAATACTACAGTAGTGCTAAAAGAAAACAATGTATGTTGACATTACAGTATTAAGCATTCACCACAATATTCCCAACTCACAAGAGAGTAACAGAAAAATTAGAAAATTTTACTCCAGCTCTCTTCTGATTAAAATTATTCTTTTTTAAAATTAGACAATTTAAAATAAATGATCACATCCACAGATCTTTCCAAAAATAAAACAAAAACAAGACTATAATCAAAGTAAGTTTCATTTGTAGCCAAAGAAAGCTTATAATGAGTTAATTAAATCATGATTGATTACAGCAAAGAAATCTGTCCAGAGAAAATAAAGTTCTTAAGACAAGTGGCCTTTTGGCAAGAACAGCTGCTCAAAGATATGAGGAAACTGGAGCTTCATCAGACAATTTAAAACCAGGTAAATACTTTCCAGTGGTTTTCCTTGGCTTTTAATGAGTTCACAGGTGTTACTGACACTGCTTGGTATCACTGTGCTGTTCAAAGTTAAAATAGGAACAAGATCTCCATACCTACATTAATTTGCAGCAGATATATTTTGCACACTCAAACAGTTCCAGAAGTGTTTTTTCAGACTTTAAGTGCTTCAAAATCCATTTAACTATGCAACTGAGGAGCTTCCGCCTAACCTTTGATTGGCAGTGACTCATCTGCAATGTAGTAACATGCTAAAAGACAAATCTAAGAGAAGAATCGAACAAAGTTCCATAAATGTCTTCCAGGCAATGTATATGCTCAATTAAGATCATATTCTGGTGAACTGATATCAGTATTGGGCAATATCCATCTGTAGCGAAAAGACATTTTCAGAGATGAAATAAAGTCTTATTATATATCAGCTTAACAGATGAATCTTTGCAATCAATTTTGATAAGGAACAGTAACTTTGAACCCCAATTAAGCAAATAATTACCTCACAAAGAAGAATCCCATTCTTCTCATTAGAATCGTATTAAAAAACAATTATTATTATGTACTGAAGTCTATCAGTCAAAGGCTGTGTTGTGGAAACTTGTTTTCTCTCCTTCATTATATAAATACGTACATAACATCCTCAATTTTGCTTCTTGCCTTAAAAACCTAAAATATTTATTGTCTTGTCCTTTATAGAAAATGCTTACTGATCCCTGATCTCCAGAACATAACAAAAAAGCAAGAAAATAACTGAAAAACAGATCCAGAAGAAGCAACTATCATTTGAGAAAAAGAACTCGAAAATTTAAAAATACACAAAGATATTAAAAAATATATTCAAAAACAATGTTAGAAAGCTATCAAAACAAGAATAAGATCTTAGTTAAATTGTAATTTATGAAATAATGATAAATAGAAACAGAGGAAATATCTTGGGATATAAAGAAAAAAGATAAAAAATAAGAGATATGTCTCATATAAAAGGATATGAATAAATAATCTCACCACAATAGCACTAAGCAGAATGAATGAAAAAAGATTCACAATCGCATAGAATTAAGAATGCCAAGAATGAAGAGAAGAGCCTTAAAGCTTCCAGAGAAAACAGGATACTTACAAAGATATTAGAATGAAATTGGTAAATTTCACCTTTGTAACACTGGATAGTAGAAGACAATGGAGCAGTAACCTCAAACTTAATTCTATTTCAGCCAAACTATCAACAATGAGGTAAATTCAAGATATTTTCAGAAATGTTAACAAGAACTCAAAAATCTGTCTTCCATGCATCCCTACATATGGGTGTATGCCAACCAATGAGAAACCAACAGCTAGAAAATGATACTTAAAAAAAATTATTCACAATAGTTTCATTAAACACTTAGCAATAAATATAACAAAAGGTATATAAGATGTGAGATATCTACAAAGAAAGTTATAGGCATACCTTATTTGATGTCCTTCATTTTACTGTGTGTCACAAATAACACATTTCTTTTACAGATTGAAGGTCTGTGGCAACCCTGCATCAAACAAGTCTATTGGCACCATTTTTTGAAAAGCATGTGTTCACTCTGTGTCTCTGTGTCACATTTTGGTAATTCTCGCAATACATCTGTTATAGCGATCTGTGATCAGTGGTCTTTGACGTTACTATTGTAATTTTTGAGGGGGTGCCATGAACCATGCCCACATAAGATGGCGAACTTAATCGATAAATGTTGCATGTGTTCTGACTGCTCCACCAACCAGCCATTCTCCTGTCTCTCTCCCTCCCTCTCCCCTCAGGCTTCCCTATTCCCTGAGACACTAAGATACTGAAATTAGACTAATTAATAACCCTACAATGGCTTCTAAGTGTTCAAGGGAAAGGAAGAATCATATGTCTCTACTGAAATCAAAAGCTAGAAATGATTAAGCTTAGTGAGGAAGGCATGTCAAAAGTCAAGACAAGCTGAAAGCTAGGCCTCGTAAGCCAAATAGCCAACTTGTGAATGCAAAGGGAAGGTTCCTGAAGGAAAGTAAAAGTGCTACTCCAGTGAACACACTAATGATATGAACACAAAACAGCCTTATTGCTGATACAGAGAAATTGTATTGGTCTGGATAGAAGATCAAACCAGTCATAACATTCCCTTAAGCCAAAGCCTAATCCAGGGCAAGGCCCTAACTCTCTTCAATTCTATGAAGGTGGAAAAAGGTGAGGAAGCTGCAGAAGGAAAGTCTGAAGTTAGCAGAGGTTGGTTCTTGAGGTTTATGGATAGACGATGTCTCCATCACATAAAAAGTGCATGACAGGCCAGGCGCGGTGGCTCACGCTTATAATCCCAGCACTTTGGGAGGCCGAGGCGGGCAGATCACTTGAGGCCAGGGGTTCAAGACCAGCCTAGCCAACATAGTGAAACCCCGTCTCTACTAAAAATACAAAAATTAACTGGGTGTGATGGTGCACACCCGTAGTCCCAGCTACTCAGGAGGCTGAAGCAGGAGAATCGCTTGAACCCAGGAGGCAGACGATGCAGTGAGCCAAGGTAATGCCAATGCACTCCAGCCTGGGTGACAGAGCAAGACTCCATCTCAAAAAGCAATGTGCATGATGAAGCAACAAGTGCTGATGTAAAAGCTGCAAATTATCCAGAAGATCTAGCTAAGATCATTGATGAAGGTGGCCACACTAAACAACAGATTTTCAATGTAAATGAAACAGCCTTATGTTGGAAAAAGATGCCACTTGGGACTTTCATAACTAGAGAGAAGTCAATACCTCACTTCAAAGAATACCCTGACTTCACCACTACAATCTATGCATGTAACAAAATTGCACTTGCACCCCGTAAATTTATACAAATAAAATACTTTAAAAGGCTTCAAAAAGATAGGCTAACTCTTGTTAGGAGCTAATGCAGCTGGTGACTTTAAGTTGAAACCAATGCTCATTTACCAGTCTGAAAATTCTAGGGCCCTTAAGAATTATGCTAAATATACTCTGCCTGTGCTCTATATATGGAGCAACAGAGCCCAGATGGCAGTATATCTGTTTACAGCATGGTTTACTGACTATTTTAAGCCCACTGTTGAGACCTACTGCTCAGAAAAAATATCCTTTTCAAAATACTACTGCTCATTGACAATGCACCCAGTCACCCAAGAGCTCTGATGGAGATGAATGTTTTCATGTCCACAAACACAACAACCATTCTGCAGCTTATGGATCACGGAATAATTGACTTTCAAGTCTTATTTAAGAAATAAATACAAAATACACTTTTTAAGGTTATAGTAGCCATAGAAAGTGATTTCTCTGATGGATCTGGGCAGAGTAAATTGAAAACCTAGAAAGGATTCACCATTTTAGCTGACATTAAGAACATTCGTGATTCATGGCAGAAGGTCAAATATCAACAATAACAGGAGTTTGAAAGAAGGTGATTGCAACCCTCAGGGATGACTTTGAGGAGTTCAAGACTTCAGTAGACGAAGTAATTGCAGGTGTGGTGGAAAAGCAAGAGAACTAGAATTAGAAGTGGAGAATGAAGACGTGACTGAATTGCTGCAACTTCATGATCAAACTTGAACAGATGAGGAGCTGCTTCTTACAAGTGAACAATGTGGTTTCTTGAGATGCAATCTATTTCTGGTGAAGATGCTATGAACATTGTTGAAATGACAACAGATTTAGAATATTATATAAACCTAGTTGATAAAGCAGTGGCAGGGGTTGAGAGGATTGACTCCAATTTTGAAATTTTTACTGTGGGTAAAATGCTATCAAACAGCATCACATACTACAGAGAAATATTTTGTAAAAGGAGAAGTCAATTGAGGTGACAAACTTTACTGCTGTCCTATTTTAAGAAATTGCCAGAGCCACCTCAGTGTTTAGCAGTCACCACCCTCAGCAGCTATCAACACTGAGGCAAGACCCTCTGCCATCAAAAAGATGACTCGCTGACTGTTAACATTTTTTAGCAACAAAGAATTTTTAATTAAGATATATACTGTTTTCTAAAATATAATGGTATTGGACACCTAACAGAGTACTGTATAGTATAAATGTAACTTTTATATGCACTGGGAAACCAAAACATTCTTGTGCCTAGCTTTACTGCAATATTTGTTTTATTGTGGTGGTATGAAATCAAACCCTCAAAATCTGAGGTAATGCTCTTTCTTAACTTGCAAAGTGTTTACCTGGGTATTCTCTTTTAAATAAGCTATAGCCAGCCATGGTGGCTCACACCTGTAATCCCAGCAGTTTGGGAGGCTGAGGCGGGCCAATCACTTGAGCTCAGGAGTTCGAGACCAGCCTGGCCAACATGGCAAAAACCCATCTCTACTAAAAATACAAAAATTAGCCAGGCAAGGTGGGTGACAGGCACCTGTATTCCCAACTACTCGGGAGGCTGAGGCAGGAGAATTGCTTGAACCTGGGAGGTGGAGGTTGCAGTGAGCCAAGATTTTGCCACTTTACTGCAGCCTGTGCAACAGAGTGAGACTCTGTCTCAAAAATAAATAAGTTAATTAATTAATTAGCTGTGATATTTATTTGATAATGTATTCACCTTTTACATACTTGTGAGTGAAGAGGCTGCACTGAAGCAAGCCTGGTTGAGAATAACCTAGGAGTCCATCTTCTCACAGTACTGTTTTGCAGAAACTATGTAAGACAGTTGTAGAATGTTGTTTCTGCCTGTCTGCTGTGGAAGGTTATAATATATAATACGAAGTCTGGAGGAGCTAAAAGTGGGCATAAAAGACTGAGGCCTATGTGACTCAAGCAGTATAAAAAACTTGTGGGAAGTTGAAGTTGCAATTTCTTGTCGTCAACCTTGGCTCTCATCTTTGGAAGCCACATAGGCCCCAAAGGGGAAAAGAAGTTGCTTACTTGGGTAGCTGAGAGGCTTCCAAGAAGATGAAGATACTGTACCTGCTTTATCATCTGTCCTGTATTCTTTTATAAAACTAAGGAGGCTGGGCATGGTGGCTCACACCTATAATCCTAGCACTTCGGGAGGCCGAGGCTGGCAGATCACTTGAGCTCTGGAGTTTGAGACCAGCCTGGGCAACATGATGAAACCCTGTCTCTGCTAAAAATACAACAATTAGCCAGGTGTGGTGGCGTGTGCCTGTAGTCCCAGCTACTCGGGAGGCTGAGGTGGGAAAACTGCTCGAACCCAGGAGAAGGAGGTT
This sequence comes from Homo sapiens, assembly GCF_000001405.40. NCBI lineage: Eukaryota > Metazoa > Chordata > Mammalia > Primates > Hominidae > Homo > Homo sapiens. The sequence continues at coordinate 112,248,265 of NC_000002.12, forward strand.
GCAGTGAGCCAAGATCATGCTACCACACTCCAGCCTGGGCAACAGAGACAGAAAGAAAAGAAAGAAAGAAAGAAAAGAAAGAAAAAGAAAAAGAAAAGGAAAAAAAGAAAGAAAGAAAAAGAAAAAGCAAGCAAGCAAGAAAGCTAAGTAAAAGATACACTATTAAAGTCTATTTCTGTCTTATAAGTCTCAGTGACAATTTAACCCATTCTTCTATAGTGTGTTAAAACTCATTTTTTTTTTGAGATGGAATTTTGCTCTTGTTGCCCAGGCTGGAGTGCAATGGCATGATATCGGCTCACCGCAACCTCTGCCTCCCGGGTTTAAGCGATTCTCCTGCCTCAGCTCCCTGAGTAGCTGGGATTACAGGTGCCTGCCACCATGCTTGGCTAATTTTGTATTTTTAGTAGAGATGGCGTTTCTCCATGTTCAAAAACAGAAAAGAAGGGCAAGATAGGAATATACATTACCTTTGTTATGGGTTGAACTGCACCCTCCCAAAATTCTTATAATGAACTACTAACCCCTAATACCTCAGAATGTGACCTTTTTTGGAAATAGGGTCATTGCAAGTGTAATTAATTAAGATTAGGTCATTAGGGTGGGCCCTAGTCCAGTGACTGATTTCCTTATAAAAAAGGAAAATTCAGCCGGGCACAGTCGCTCAGGCCTGTAATCCCAGCACTTTGGGAGGCCGAGGCGGTCAGATCGCTTGACCCCAGGAGTTCGAGACCAGCCTGGGCAACATGGCGAAACCCCATGTATATTTTTTCTCTACAAAAAACACAAAAATTAGCTGGGCGTGGTGGTGCACACCTGTAATCCCAGCTACTTGGGAGGCTGAGAATTGCTTGAGTCCAGAAGGAGGTTGCAGTGAGCAGAGATTGTGCCACTGCACTCCAACCTGGGTGACAGAGCAAGACTCTGTCTCAAAAAAAGGAAATTCAGACAATTCAGACACAGGCATACAGGGAGAACACCATGTGAATATGAAGGCAGAAATCAGGATGATACTTTTGCAAGCCATCACCAAAGATTGCCAGCATTCCATCAGGAGCTAGGGGAGATGAATGAATAGATTCTTCCCCACAGCCTCAGAAGGAACCAACCCTGCCAACACCTTGTGCTGGGACCTCCAGCCTCCAGAACCTTGAGACAATAAAGTTCTGGGGTTTTTTTTGTTTTTGTTTTTGTTTTGATTCGGAGTCTCGCTTTGTTGCCCAGGCTGGAGTGCAGTGGCGGGATTTTGGCTTACTGCAACCTCCACCTCCTGGGTTCAAGTGATTCTTCTGCCTCAGCCTCCCTAGTAGCTGGGACTACAGGTGCATGCCACCATGCCTGGCTAAATTTTTTTGTATTTTTAGTAGAGATGGGTTTCACCATATTGGCCAGGCTGGTCTCAAACTCCTGACCTCATGATCCATCCACCTCGGCCTCCCAAAGTGCTGGGACTACAGGCGTGAGCCACCGCGCCCAGCCAAGTTCTGTTGTTTAAGCCACCCAGTCTGTGGTACTTTGTTATGGCAGCCCTAATGAACTAATACGGGCTTTAAGCTATAAATCACTAAGGTTGGTTAAGTTAACAAATCATAACCCTCAAAAATGTTAACCCAACTTGAAAGAAGCTTTTGAAACTGTTTACAGTCCATTTCAGAAATAACAAAAATAGAAATAAATGCAATTATTAAACATATGTCATGTTAAATGACAATAAAGTTATTAAATAATAATTTATTTAAAAAGTATAACCAGTTTTCTTTGATATAAGTAACTGGGTCCCAAATGCTGGTAAAATGAGACAAGTAGGATCCTTCATTAATTTCTCATATCCATTTCCATCTGTTTTTTCTTTTTTTGTTGTTCCATGTGAAACTGAGAAAAAAAAATCTGCGTTTTCAACTTAAACAGTGGTCAACTTAATCTTACTTTTTTGGGAATTTGCTCGCACTCCAGTTTAATTTTCTCTTCTTGTGTTTCTTCAACTTCTGTATCTATTTCATCATCGATTCTGTAGCAAAAATATCAAATAACACAAAAGAGTTTTTTCAACCTGAAGTGTTCATACCACAGCGTTACAATTCACTGCTTTGGCTTGTCTTCAACTTACCCTCAAAGAAATTACAAATTCAAATTCTATACCAAATACTCCAGAAAATGTACAAAATTATGATGACCAATAAATGTCCATATATATTTATGAATAGCCTGTAAAATTTTAGATTATAAAGCCTTAATGTTCAAGTATTAGCAGCTATATAAATCATTCATTCATCCATCATTCCATTAATTCAACAACTACTAAGTACCCACCATGTACGAGGCTCCGGGCCTTAGGCCCTGGACTACAACAATGAAAAATACAGACCCTGTCACTGTGTTCTGAGAGCTTTCTATCTCCTTGGGAGAAAAAAATAAAGCTATTTCAATATGGTATGGTAAGTATAGGGGCATATATGGGGAACACAACCCAGACTTGGGGATCAGAGGCATTCAGAGCCTAAATGATACTTATGAGTTAGCCAAAAAAGAGGAAAGAGGAATGTGAGAGAGAAGGGTATTTTAGGCAGAATGCAGAGTGCCTTTTGAGATTAGGAGCGAGACAAACACATTTAAGTGTAAAGATGAAAAAGAAAAACTGTTTTCAGACTTACAGGACTGAGAAGTTGACCATGCATATATATAACAGTCTGAGACAATTACTTGAGGCTATTCCAGCAAAACTAAATATGAACCCAAGAGGGATGGGAAATATAAGAACATGGTGAACAAAGAAGACAATAAAATGTATAGATGTATCTGAATAATGGTTGATACTAGAAATATAGGGAGCTGAAGAAAATATTATCTTAGTAAGTGGTGACTATTGAACACAAGATTGGGAAAAGCTGTGAATTAAAATATGAGTTACACACCAGATAAAGGCAAGGAATTGGGGAATGTGTCCCATCTCAAGAGAACATGTTACAAAGGGAAAGCACTGACAGCACAAGGAGAATGTGAACAGTGGCTCCGTGGCTGTTCTTTCAAAGTTACAGGAGCTCAGGCTTCACAGCTTTGTCCAATTCAACAGTTTACACTGACTCAGAGCTCCAGAGTTACATCCATCAGATGAGGTACTAAGTTGTGAGCCTGCTACAGAAGCCACCATTACAAGAACCAAAAACCCCAATACTTGTGAATCTTTATAGCTATAGTTTCCAGTAATGAATCATCTCATGGAGTAGGAGGCAACCTCTCCTTAGGCAGAGGAATAATGACAATAATGACCTCAATAGCAGTAACAGCATCAGCCAACACTTGAATGATGCTTACTCTGTGCCAGATGCTGCTCCATACACGTAACACTTACCACAAACAACAGTGTTATGACATACATACTAAAAGCCCATTTTACGGATGAGAAAACAATCACAGAAAGGATATGTAACTTGTCACAGAGCTAATACATGGTGGAGCTGAGATCTGAGCCCCAGCAGGCAGGCAAAGCTCCCAAGTATGTGCCCTACAATCACACTGTTATTCAACACTGCCCATTCTAAATAGATGTCTACTTTCACTGTGAAGGTCTACAATACTCAGCACCCATATTAGACCTATGAGCAGGATAGGACAGAGGTGACCACCTCTTCTCTGTAAAACATGTTCTTTACTTAGCTTCAGAGATAGTGGGCTCTTCTAGTTTCTTCTTTCCACAGCTACTACTTCTCAGTCTCCTTTGTTGGTTCCTTATCTTCACAACTTTCAAAGTCAGTTCTCACCTCTTCTCTTCTTTGTCTATATTCTCATCTATATTCTCATTCCAGGCTATCCCTTTCTATATCATCACTATGAATATCATCTGTATGTAGTTGATTTCAATATCCAAGTCTCTAACCCAAACCCCTCTTCTTAAATCCAAACAGAGCTAACTTCCTAGTCAACATAACCACCTGAACATCTACTAGACATATGTAATCTTAAAACATCCAACACTGAACTCTTGCTCTTCTCTCTGAAGCCTAATCCTTCTTGCTATCTAAAACGGCAACACCATCCCTCTCAAGATCCCTACCAAAACCTTAAAGTCAATCTTGATTCCTCTCTCACATCCCCATCCAATCTCTGAGGAAATCCAGTTTATTCTATCTTCAACATACCCACGTTTGACCACTTCTTGCCACTAATACAACAATCCAAGCTGCTCTGGCACCCCTACATTCTACTCTCAACACAACTAGAATGACCCTGCTAAAATATTTCAAATGTCACTCTGCTGAAAAACCCTCCAATGGTCTCTTGTCTCATTCAGAGTAAAAGCCAAAGTCCTTATTTCGGCACCTACCAGTTCCTCCATGATTGGGCTCCCCTAACCCTACCCCAGTACCTCGCAGACTTCCAAGTCCCTCTTACTCCACCCCAGCTGTCCTGGCCACTTTGCTCCCCTAACCCAATCACACCAAGCTCACTCCGTCTGAGGACCTTTATACAGACTCCTCTCCACCCCTCTGGACTATGAAACCCCCTCACCTCCTTCAGGTCCCTACACAGATTTTTAAAACTTACCAATGTTATCAGTGAGGCTTTCCTTATCTACCTTCTTAAAATATCTACACCTCCCAGCCGGGCGCGGTGGCTCACGCCTGTAATCCCAGCACTTTGGGAGGCCAAGGCGGGCAGATCACAAGGTCAGGAGATCGAGACCATCCTGTCTAACATGGTGAAACCCCGTCTCTACTAAAAATACGTCGGGCGTGGTGGCAGGCGCCTGTAGTCCCAGCTACTCGGGAGGCTGAGGCAGGAGAATGGTGTGAACCCGGAAGGCAGAGCTTGCAGTGAGCCGAGATCGCGCCACTGCACCCCAGCCTGGGCGACAGAGCCAGACTCTGCTCAAAAAAATAAAAAAAAAACCCACAAAACTACTCCCTCCCTACCATCCCACCAGTGCTTATTTTCCCCTTACCCTTCATTCATTTTCTCAGGGCATTTAGTACCACCTAAAATATGATATATTTATGTATGTCTCCCCCTTCCCCTAATAATGTAAATTCATTAGTACAGAAATTTTCATCTCTTCTTCATTTACTACTATATCCCCAAGGCCGTAGCAGGTGCTCAATACGATTTTTTGAATGAATGAGAAGTATTCCCATCACAAATTACTCGGAAAAAAAACCAGAAACCATATGAGAAAAGACTGATTCATCTGACTGCATAAAACCAAACCACAACATCCCCATTCCTTTTTACATTGAAAAATAATGCCATAGGCAAAGACAAATGACAATTGGGAGTAAAGTATTCGCAGATAAGAGATCCTAGAATGTGAAAAAGACCAAAAAGGAGAAAAATGGGCAAATAATATGGACAGCTCACCATACTTCCATACCATCCTTCACCCATCATTTTGGCAAAATTCCAAGTGTCTTTTATGTATTGCAGTCAAGTTTTGGGGAATGGAGCTTGTGTCCAACACACTTTGAAACTGATAGCTGCTGTTCGGATTTTTAAATGTTGCTATTATCTTTTTTTTGTGTGATGAATTCTTATGTATTTTATAACATATCAATTAGTACCAGTTATTTTTCTTAGTAAATTATATCATCTGCAAGTAATTAGTGTATCTGTCTCTTTCCAATATTTATAGGGCTTATTTTAAAATTTTAGTCATTTTGCATGAGAAGCTTGGTGATAAAATCATGGATCCTGGACATAGCTCTTCCACTTACACTGTGCAATCTCGGCAGGTTATTTAGCCTCTCCGTGCCTCAGTTTTCCCATCTGTAAAACGAGGACGGCATCATCTTCTCTTTAAGTTTGTTTTGAGGATTAAGTGATTTATTTCATGTAAAGCACAAGGTAAAGCTCTGGATGATCAGTTAAGGTAAAATTTGAGATAGAGTGAACAGCTGACCAATATCGAATGGTAAAATCAATCACAACTGGAAATATATCTCAGTTGAGGGAAATAAAAGACGTAGGTTTAAGAACAAAGATGGTGGTTTTTAGCATTTCAAATCACTAGACACTGCTCCAAAAATATAATCTACAAATTAGGGCCATCTGACCAAGAGTCTCACTTGCTTTTCCAACCTAATGGAAATATTAAGTCCAAATGACGTCTGTTGCTTTATTGTGGTCTTTAGGGTCTTTCCATGCAAATCAGTGGACTAATGGCAGAGTATTGCCTATTCTTTACCTTTCAATAAACTTGTGGTTTCATCCTTTCTACAGAAAAGAACCTAGGAGGTGTCAGTGAAAAAGGTCACATCAGTGTCCTCTGGGAGTTTACGGTCTCGTGGAAACAGGCAACAACGGTAAAGACAGACGCTACGGGACCACAGAGGCGGGCTCCTCACCCGCTGCTGTGCAGAGAAAGGGGCGCATCCCGGAGCCTTCTCGCCTCCACCCCGCTCCCCCGCCCAGGCTCTCGACAGCCCCGGCCCTGACGGCCTAAGCCTGAGCCCCGCGTTCAGCTTCTGCTCCCACCCGGACCCCGCACGACCTCTATAGGTCAGACGGTGGCGCCCGGCCGGCCCACGTGCTCCCCACGGGCCCTCGCGACGCGGCCCGGACGTGGCCCCGGACTGCCTCCAATCCAGAAGAAACTAAGAGGCGGAGTCCCGCTGAGCCCCTGCATTCAAAAGATGAAAAGATATGGGATCACCTTTCGTCAGAGTCCGTGGCCGTTTTGCCGAGGGCCGGGTTGGGGGGTTTTGAGAAAAGATTCTCAAAATCCATGACCCAGACAGGTCCTCCCTTTCGCGAGCCGGGAAGCTACAGAGTAACAACCCGAGAGAGTGACAACCCGGACGCGACGAGACGGACCCAGAGCCGCGCCAGGGCCACAGGCTCCGCCCCGCGCAGCCTCACCTGCCCCGCGCATGCGCTGCACCGCCCTCCGCGACTCTGGGCAGGCCGGGTCTCTCCCTGCCTCCTTCGCCTCGGCTCTGCGCAGGCGCCGCCGTGGTTGCCCTTCTGTAAGCTTTTTCGTCCTTTACCTCAGATAGTAGAATTTTGTTTATTTTATTTATTTATTTGTTTGTTTGTTTGTTTATTTAAAGACAGAGTCAAGCTCTGTCGTCCAGGCTGGACTGCAGTGGCGTGATCTCGGCTCACTGCAACCTCCGCCTCCCGGGTTCAAGCAAGTCTCCTGCTTCAGCCTCCTGAGTAGCTGGGACTACAGGTGTCTGCCACCACGCCCAGCTAATTTTTGTATTTTTAGTAGAGACGGGATTTCACCATGTTGGCCAGGATGGTCTCGATCTCTTGATCTCGTGATCCGCCCGCCCCAGCCTTCCAAAGTGCTGGGATTACAGGCGTGAGCCACCGCGCCCGGCCCCAGCCCAGAATTTTTAAAATTAGTTGTTAGGATTCTGCTTTCACCTTGGTGAAAACTCTTCCATCAAAATCACAGTATTTCTAAGGGATGGTAGTAACAGCTAACATTTATCTGAGCACTCCACTACTATTCCTTAGAAATAGCGTTTCACATGTTAGCTAACTTAATCCTCACAACAGCCCTGTAAAAGATGTTCTATTACCATTCACAGTTTTGAAATGAATAAACAGATGTGTAGTCAGGTAATGTAACTTGTAGGGTCTCTACAATTGAATGGGAATTAAAATGAATACACAAGTAACCTCAAGACAGAAAAGTCCGTTAAAAAGTACCAAATACTAAGAGAATTCAGAAGAGGGAAAAAATTGCATCCAGTTGGGAAGGCTTCTTGAGAAGGGAGTATTTGAGCTGGGTCTTGAGATATTTCCATAGGAAAAGAGGAAGTGGGCATTCCAAGTAGAGAGAATTGTATGAAGGCAGGAAAATAGAGCATGCTGTTGCAGAACAGGAAATTGCTCAGTTTTGCTCAATGTAATGCCATTTAAGGGACCTGTAGAAAGGAAGGCTCAAACCCTAGGTTGGGCCAGTGATAGAGAACCTGACTTGCTTCTGTAAGTGAAGGGAGTGTTTGATTCTTGGCATGAATCAGGATCCCTTTACCGATTAGTGAAGGGAACTATTTGAAGCCAGACATCTTCCCCAGGGAAATTCTACTTTCCCATGTTGTTTATATTGTAGGCCATCACCTATGGAACATGAATCATTACTAAAAATTCAGAGAAAAAATTGAATTAAGGAGATAAAAACTAGAATTACCCCCTCTTTAGCAGGAAGCATTATTATAGAACCCAAATTGTTACCATACACACTTTTTTATATAAAATATCCAACATACAGCAAAAGATAACCAGACACAAATGAAAATTAGATTGGTAGGTAAAAAGCAGCTAAAACATCTGACCTGCAAAGGCATCAGACACTAGCATTTTCAGACAAAGACTATATAAAAGGCTACATATGTTTGTGTTAGATTGATGCCAAAAAAGGCCCCAATTTCTCCAACCTTTCCTGTATCCATGTCCTTTGCAATGTGACTTTGCAGCTCCTCCCATAAAGAGGTAGGATCTATTTCACCTCCTCTTTAATCTGAGTTGATTTTGCCTGATAGAATGACTTGTCTTAGCTAGTAGAATGCAGAAGTGGCCTGCCAATACCAAGCCAAGGCCCCAAGAGGCTTTGTATGTGTCTGCTGTCTCTTATATGCCTGCCTTCTTCAGGACAATAAACTCAGGCTACCCTGCTGACGATAAGGGAGAGGCATGTAGAAGATAAGGCTAATGGAGGACAGCGAAAACACCCAGTCAACAGCTAGCAAAACCCTAAAAGCAAAGCCTCCTAGGCAACATACAGCTGAGCACACACATGATGGAGTCCTGCAGAGAACCAAAGACTCTCAGATGATCCCAGTCCAAATTACTAACCCACATAAATAAATGGTCCTTGTTTTAAGCCACTAAGTTTTTAAGTAGTTTACTACATAGTAATATCTAACTAATAAAAAAGAAACTATAAAAAGTGTCATAGAGAAATTGGGGAGAAGTAACCAAGTAGAACTTCTAGAAATAAAAAATATAATACTGAAATTTTTAAAAATCAGTGGATGGGGCTGGGCGTGGTGGCTCACACCTGTAATCCCAGCACTTTGGGAGGCCAAGGCCGGTGGATCACAAGGTCAAGAGATAGAGACCATCCTGCCAAAATGGTGAAACCCTGTCTCTAATAAAAATACAAAAATTAGCTGGGCGGGTTGGCGCACGCCTGTAGTCCCAGCTACTCAGGAGTCTGAGGCAGGAGAATCGCTTGAACCCGGGAGGCGGAGGTTGCAGTGAGCTGAAATTGCGCCACTGCACTCCAGCCTGGGAGACAGAGTGAGACTCCATCTCAAAAAAAAAAAAAAAAAATCAGTGGATGGTGTGGTCATATTAAAATGTGTTCAAAAATTCCTTAACACTTCTCCCTGCAAAAGTTGGAGATTTAGTCCCCTCTTCTTTAATGTGGATAGGATTTACTTATTTATTTCTAACAAATACAATGTGGCAAAAGTGATGATGCATGATTTCTGAGGTCATAAGAAGACATTGTAGTTTCTGCCTTATTCTCTTGAATCATCTGCATGAAGGGAAGTCAGTCACCATGTCATGAATCACTCAGGCAGCCTGTGGAGAGCCAGCCATGTGGGTGAGGTACCTTGGAAACAGATCTCCCAGCACTAAGCAAGCCAGAAGACATCTCGACAGCAATCCCGTGAGAAACTGTGGGACAGAACCACCCAGCTAAGCAGCTCGCAGATTCGTGACCCACAGAGGATATAAGAAGATCAATGTTGGGCCAGGTGTGGTGGCTCACGCCTGTAATCCCAGCACTTTGGGAGTCTGAGGCAGGTGGATCACCTCAAGTCAGGAGGTTGAGACCAGCCTGGCCAACATGGTGAAACCCCGTCTCTACTAAAAATACAAAATTAGCTGGGTGTGGTGGCGCATGCCTGTAGTCCCAGTTACTTGGGAGGCTGAGGCACGAGAATCGCTTGAACCCAGGAGGCGGAGTTTGCAGTAAGCCGAGATCGCGCCATTGCACTCCAGCCTGGGCAAGAAGAGCAAAACTTCATCTCAAAAAATAATAATAATAATAAAGAAGATCAATGTTTGTTTTTTTAACCACAAAGTTTTAGGCCAATTTGCTGTCCTCTATAGCAATAGAAAAGTGAAATTCCCTATTATTATAAAGCAGATGGCCTAAACATAAAATTATCATATGACCCAGCAATTCCACTCCTAGGTATATACCCAAAGGAATTGAAAACAGGGACTGAAACATATATTTGTACATTCATGTTAATTGCAGCATTATTCACAATAGCCAAAAGGTAGAAACAAACCGAGTGTCCATCCACTGATTAATGGATAAAATGTGATATACACATAGGATATTATTTATCCATAAAAAGGAATGATGCTCTGATACATGCTGTCAGAACTGAATTTTGTATACTAGCTGAACTTTGAAAACTGTATGCTAAGTTAAATAAGCCAGGCACAAAAGGACAAATATTGTATGATTCCACTTACGTGAAATATCTACAATAGGGAATTGTATAGAGACAGACAGTAGATTAGAGGTTACCAGGGACTGAGAGAGGGTGAAACGGAATTGTTGCTTAAAAGTGACAGAATTTCTGCTTGAGGTGATGGGAAAGTTTGGAAATACATAATGGTGATGGTTGCACAACAATGTGAATGTAACTAATGCCAATGAATTATATGCTTAAAAATGGCTGGTCAGACACAGTTGCTCACTCCTGTAATCCCAGCACTTTGGGAGGCCAAGGCAGGTGGATCATCTGAGGTCAGGAGTTTGAGACCAGCCTGACCAACATGGTGAAACCCCGTCTCTACTAACAATCCAAAAATTAGCCAGGCGTGGTGGCGGGCACCTGTAATCCCAGCTACTCGGGAGGCTGAGGCAGGAGAATCGCTGAAACCCGAGAGGCAGAGGTTGTAGTGAGCCGAGATGGTGCCATTGCGCTCCAGCCTGGGCAACAGAGTGAGACTCCGTCTCAAAAAAAAAAAAAAGTTGAAATGGCAAATTTTATATTTCTTTTACCAAAATAAAATAAAGCAGTTGGCATGTTAAAATGGTGAAATGGCCTGTGATAACTCAGCTCCAGTATGAGCTAGATATAATACCTTATGAGTATGTGCTATAAATCAACAATCACCAATACATGGTGCTGTTTCTCCCATAGCCAGTATACACAGGGTCTGGGAATCAAGGCTTCCAAGTGGGAGTAGGTCCTCTCTGTATTATTCCTAGTGATGCCCTAGAATAATGTTTGCTGCCTATCTCCACAACTTTGGGCTCTGCTGGTTTAGAGCAGACTTTTTCAACCGTAACATTATTGTCATTTCGGCCTGGATAATTGGGGACGGTCTTGCGCATTGTAGGAAGCTTGGCAGCATCCCTGGCCTCTGCCGCTAGGTGTCAGTAGCAGCTGTTCCCCAGTTGTGGCAACCCAAAATGTCTCCAGACATTGCCAAATGTCCTCTGCGGGGAGCAAAATCGTCCTCACTTGAGAACCACCGGTGTAGCGTTAATCCCAAAAGTAGGAATGTTTGCATCAAGGGGCGTGACAATGAGTCCATTAAACTTGAGGTTGAGACTGCCGTTTGGCCACCTTAGGATCCTCATGCCAGTGAATTAACAGGTAAAGAAGGGGCTTACTGTATTGGCAGGGGTGATTAATCCTAACTATCAAGTTATCCTGACTACATAATGATGTTAAGGAAGAGTATGTCTAGGATGCAGCTGATTTCCTGGGCGGGAGACTAAGTAATCCTATGCTCTATGATTAAAGTTAATAGAAAACACCACCACCACAGGCAGCACTGAAAGTGCCCCAAACCCTTCAGGCATGAAGGTTTGGGTTATCCACCTGTTATCAGGAGGGCACTTGAGTGTAAGTTGTGGTGGTCCTTGGTGTTTTCAACAAAGAATTAGACAAAACGCACAAAGTAACAAAGGAATGAAACACAGGGACGAAGCAGCAAAAGCAGGAATGTATTAAAGCGAGAAAGCACTCCACAGGGTGGGAATGGGCCAGAGCAAGCAGCTCAAGGGCCCAGTTGCAAAGTTTTCTGGGTTTTAAGTACTCCTTTTGAGGTGCTTATAGATGAAGGATTTGGTCTCTGGCTAATTAAAGGCTGAGGTGAATTGGTGCCCTATGTAGATGAAGCGATGGTCCCTGCCAGGCCCTCGGCCAATCCAGGGCACTTTCCTTTTCCATCTGAGATGTGGTAGATGGGGGAGAGTTGTAGGGAGAGTAGCCTTTGATCCTTTGCTACTCTGGTGTGAGGAGATGGGAAGGGGGGGTTCCTTTTGGTTCAGCTTTAGGATATTTACAGTAATTGGCCTTAGGATCCCTTCCCCCAGACCCAGGTGTTTTCCTTTTGATCCAGCTTTGGGAAGTCAGCGTGAATTGGCCTCAGATTCCCTGCCCCCAGACCTTGGTGTTTTTCCTTGATTCAGCACGAATTGGCCTTAAGTTCCCTGCTTCCAGACCCTATTCTCCTGCCTCACGCCCAGCAAGGAGTCAAGACCAGCTTGGGAGAGCAAAGAGAACACGGCAAAGAGTAGGAGCAGAAGGTAGTTGTACAAATATCAGCTGCAACTGATACAGGAGCTTAAAAGAAATTGTTTAGGCTGTTAGTGAGGGCAAGCGAGTCCTCAGTAAGGTTTCCCTTTTAATAAAAAAGCAGCTCCAAAATCATTTCTAACAAAGAGCAGCCTGAAAAATCAAGCAGCAGACGTAGAAAAGCAAGCTAGAACCTTGCAGAGGTAAATGCTGGCAGCTGTGCCAATAGAAAAGGGCTACCTAGGAGCCAGGCATATCCAACATGGAGGCTCCATCTTCCCTTTTCTTTGTCACCACATGTACAGTCAGGGAACAGGCAACATGGCACCAGCCAGGTAGCAAACCTATCTGCATAATAAAAGATTAGGGTGGGGTTGCTAGCTTCTTCAAGCACCATGTAAATGGCGCACCTGGTCCAACCAATCCTTTGCACCCTATGTAAATCAGATACCAGCTCCTCAAGCTCATCTATAAAACCACCCACATCTCTCCCTGAACCTGGAAATGTTGGGGACCCCTTCCTCTGCATGAGGCAGCTTTTCTCTTTCTTTCACCTATTAAACTTCTGCTCTTAAACTCCGTCCTTGTGTGTCCGAATCCTCGATTTCCTTGGCATGAGACAATGAACCTAAGGAATTACCCCAGACGAATGATGCTGCTTCCCAACTACATGACCAGTAGCAAAAATGATTGCAATATTTATGAATATATCATTCTTAATTTGATATAAATTTGTGGAAATATGTGTGTGGAATTACACACACATAGACACACACACACATATATTTAAAATTTTCCCTTCTACTATTCCCCTACCATCTAACACAAAATATGTTAATAGTAGTTAACTTTATATCTCTATTTAAGTTATAGGATATAAAAGGAGGCATGTGACTGAGCTAAAAAAAGAATTCAAAGAAGAATGAACATCACCCAAAAGTGAAAAAGGGACTTTTTATCCTTTCTTGGGAAAATGGGTAGCATGTTTTTGGTTGAATGGGGGATTGGTGCATCATGTTAGGCAGAGGCATGACTTTGCTATTGCTTTTATCTGAAAACTAAATATGGGTTAAAGAGATATTTATAGGTACCTAGTTAAAAAGTGTATACTTGGGCCAGGCGCAGTGGCTCATGCCTGTAATCCCAGCACTTTGGGAGGCCGAGGTGGGCGAATCACGAGGTCAGGAGATGGAGACTATCCTGGCCAACATGGTGAAACCCCATCTCTGCTGAAATACAAAAAATTAGCCAGGCGTGGTGGCAGGCTCCTGTAGTCCCAGCTACTCAAGAAGCTGAGGCAGGGGAATCGCTTAAACCCGGGAGGCAGAGGTTGCAGTGAGCCGATATCGCGCTACTGCACTCCAGCCTGGTGACAGAGCAAGACTCTGTCTCAAAAAAAAATAAGTGTATACTCGATGATTTTGTAATATGTCATCTTAGTGTATACTTGGTGATTTTGTAACATGTCATCTTAGGTAGGCTAACCCATGTTTTCCAGGATTCTTATCCTGCATATTTCTAGTTAGGGTGGACCACAAGATAGATTTTGCATAAAATTTGGGAGGTGGAGGTAAAACAGCAGCCATATTGCTTTTTACATTCAGGAGGTCAGTGAAGGGGCAGAAGATGCTATTGCAACTCATGCACATTGTTGTTTACTGGTTTACCTTGTTGATATGGGACAACAACAAGACCTGATATAACTCACCCCAGATCCTCCTTCAGATTTTCTAAATTCTGGGCCAAGCATGTCTTTAGTTCCACGATAAAGGGCTCAAGAGTCTCCTGCACAACACCTACGTCATTAAAGTAGAGCAGATTAATACAGGTTCTGGGTTTATGCTCAGGGATTCTAGATTGTCTTCATTCTCCCCCACTTTACATCCAACTTCCCTTCCTGAATATGTGCCTTGCAGGTCTTAAAAGTTTTTTAGACAAAGTCTTGCTTCATCAGTGGCACAATTATAGCTCACTGCACTCCCATGGGGTCTCACTGTGTTGCCCAGACTGGTTTCAAACTCCTGGCCTCAGCAATCCTCCTACTTCACCCTCCCAAAGTACTGGGATTATAGGCATAAGCCGCTGTGCCTGGCCCCACCTTGCAGCTCTGAAGCTCCAATATCAGACAAGAGCTTTACAGACTGTTTTAAACAGCTCCCACAATTGCATAAGGTCAAATCCCTGTAAATCTAGCTAGCTATCATCTGTCATCTATCTATTTATTTATCTTCTAGTGATTCTGATTATCCAATTAGACTTTGAGTAATAAGATGGCTTTAATAGAGTAGACAGGGTTTAAAAGAAAATTAGTGAACTGGAAGATAAGTCAGAAGAAATTATCCAGAGTACATCATAGAGAGACTGCCACCCAAAAAAGGGAAGTTACAAAAGAGATTATTATAAAAACATAAATAATAGATTTAAATGTCTAACATATAACTAATAATAAGAAGAGAAGAAAAAAAGAAAGAGGAGGAGGACATATTTGAAAAGAAAAGGCTGGCCAGGTGTGGTGGTTCATGTCTATATTCCCAGCACTTTGGGAGGCCAAGGCAGGTGGATCTCTTGAGGTCAGGAGTTCAAGACCAGCCTGGCCAACATGGTGAAACCCTGTCTCTGCTAAAAATACGCAATAGCCAGGCATGGTGGCCCACACCTGTAATCCCAGCTACTCGGGAGGCTGAGGCAGGAGAATCACTTGAACCCAGGAGGCGGAGGTTGCAGTAAGCCAAGATTGTGCCACTGCACTCCAGCCTGGGTGACAGAGTGAGACTCTGTCTCAAAAAAAATAGAAAAGAAAAGAGAAAAAGAAAAAGAAAGAAAAGAAAAGACAGACTTTTCCAGATTGTTGAAACTCAGCAATTTACAGATCAAGCATTAAACAAATACTAGGCAGGATAACTAAAAGAAATCCATACTAAGACACACCATACTGAAACTACAGAAAAGCAGAGAAAATATGTAAAATAGCCACAGAAAAGTTTTAAAAGTTTACCTTCAGAATAATGACAATTAGACTGCCAGCTGTCTTCACAGCTGCAACAAGGGAATCCAGAAGACAATAAAATTATATCTTCAATAAATTGAAAGAAAATAAAACTTCTGAACTAGGATTCTATACCTTGAAACAATATTATTCAAAAATGGAGGTGAGCTATAAGATGTATTTAGGAAAACAAAAACAGAGAGGTCACTATGAGCAAATTATTTAGGAGATTCTGAATAAATTTAGAAATTAGAAAGAATGAATTTGATAGCAGCAAATCTCAGGTGCAGGTTTGAGTTATAAGAAAAAAATGGACAATGAAGAAACTGATCATTCTAAGTAAATATTTAGTGAATAGAACAATATTACTAAGGTATTTGGTAGTTAAAGTTTATATATGATGGGATTTCTGGTTCTAGGTAACATAGTAAAAGCACATTATAGTCCCTGAATATAGGTTTACCTAGATAGGATGCACGGAATTGCTTGAAGACTCTAGAAAGTAATTAACGCAGGCAGATTGGTGAAGAAGATGACAATTCAAAGTACCACTGAAATAGCGTTAAGTTTTTAATTTTCTTTTTTCTGTGGTCCTCCTGCCACTAAGCCCAGACATAGGTACAATTGCAAATGTATGCAGAAGTGGGGGTAACTGAAGCTCAAGCTTTCTGGTTGGACAACCAAAAAATAAAGCTCCAGGGACCTGAAAAATTTTCTAGGAGACCATAATGAAGAAGGGGCCTAGAAAAATGACATCATAAATTTCTGAACCCCCGGGCTTACCATATAGTTGCCCATGCATGGATCTGATCCTAATTGGCATGCCAAAGACTTTTGAGAGTTGAATAGACATAATTCATCCATGTCCTGACTGGTCCCTGGTAGTACAGATCTAAGATTCAAATAACATTGCAAAGGCATCCAGTTGAACAGGCACTGGAATCGCAGTGGGTTAGAAATCGAGGCCTGAACCTAACCGGGTCTATTACCAATAAAAACAAAAATATAAACATTCTGCATAAGATTTAACTAAGATCCAGAGGTTTTATAGCATATTATTATTCAGAATCTCCAGGATACAATTCAAACTTATTTGGCATACAAAGAACCAGGAAAATCTCAAATTGCCTGGGAAAAGACAATCAACAAATGCCAAAGCTGTGATGACTTATATATTGGAATTATCTGACAGACTTTGAAACAGCTTTTTATAAAAACGCTACACTAAATGCCCTTGAAACAAATGGAAAAAGTAGAGCATCTCAGTAAAAAAAGAGAAGACATAAAGAAGAACCAAATGGAATTTTGAGAACTGAAAAATATAAAAACTAAAATTAAAAACTCAATGAATATTCAAAGACACAATAAGTAAATCAAATATGGAATATCCCAAAATGTTAAAGCAGAAAAGAAAAAAATGGAAGAGCAACAAGAGAATGAATAAAAAAAATGTTAAAGATAGACTTAAAATCAAACATATTAATAGGTACATTGGATGCAAGTGGGATAAATTTACCAAATAAAACAAAGAGATTGTCAGAATGGATAAATATGATCCAGCTGTGTATTCTCCACAAGAAACTCATTTTATTTTATTTTATTTTATTTATTTTTTTGAGATGGAGTTTCGCTCCTGTCACCCAGGCTGGAGTGCAGTGGCACAATTGCAGCTCACTGCAACCTCCACCTCTCAACTTCAAGGGATTCTCCTGCTTCAGCCTCCTGAGTAGCTGGGATTACAGGCGCACTCCGCCATGCCTGGCTAATTTTGGTATTTTTAGTAGAGATGAGGTTTCACAATATTAGCCACGCTGGTCTCGAACTCCTGAGCTCAAGTGATCCTCCCACCTCAGCTTCCCAAAGTGCTGGGATCACAGGTGTGAGCCACCACCCCTGGCAAGAAACTCACTTTAAACATGATATGGATAGGTTAAAAGTAAAGGTTGGTAAAATACATACTAAGAAACACTAAACCAAAGAAAGCCAAAGTGACTGTATTAATATCAAACAAAGTGGACCTTAGAGTAAAAAATTAGCAGAGATAAATATAGATGTTGTGTAATTACAAAAAGGCAAATTCACCATAAAGTCATAATAGTCCTAAATAGGTATGCACAAATATACAAAGCACATGGAAAATTCACCAAGATAAACCATAAACTGGGTTATAAAATAAACTTTAACAAATGTAATAGTATTGAAATAATAGAGAGATATTTGCTAACCATAATGGAATTGAATAAGAAATCAATAATAAATAACAACAACAACAACGAAACCTCCAAATACTTGGAAATTAAACAACATACCTCTAAAAATTCCATAGGTCAAAGGAGGATTCACAAAGTAAATTAGAAAATATCTTGAACTGAAGCTGGGTCCAGTGGCTCACACCTGCAATCTCAGCACTTTGGGAGGCTGAGGCGGGTGGATCACTTGAGGTCAGGAGTTCGAGACCAGCTTGGCCAGTATGGTGAAACCCCGTCTTTACCAAAAATTAGCTGGGTGTGGTGGCACGCACCTGTAATCCTAGCTACTCGGGAGGCTGAGGAAGGAGAATTGCTTGAACCAGAGAGGAAGAGGTTGCAGTGAGCCGAGATTGCGCCACTGCACTCCAGCCTGGGCGAAAGAGCAAGACTCCGTCTCAGAAAAAAAAAAAGAAAGAAAGAAAGAAAGAAAATATTTTGAGCTGAATGAATGTGAAAATGCAACATAGCAAAATTGTGAGATACGGCCAAAGCAGTGTTTATAGGAATTTTAGAGCTCTAAATACTTAAAGATCTCAAATAAATAAACTTCTACCTTCAGAAGTTAGAAAAAACAAGCAGAAAGAATGATATATTAAAGATAAAGGCAGAAATCAACAACAGATAAGAGCAGAAAAACAATAAAGTTAAACCAAAATCTAATTATTTGAAAAGATAATTGATAATCTCTAGCAAAACTGAAAAGAAAAAGGAGAAAAGATACAAATTACCAATCAGACATGAAAGAGGATATTTCAGTACAGACTCCAGCGATAATTAAAAAAAAAAAAAGTCAATTTTATGAAACCCTCTTAGATTAAAAGCCAAATCCTCACAAACCACAAACCATGTAAACTCATCTAAGGTAAAGTACACAATCTAACAGAACAATAACTATTGAAGAAATTAAATTCATAGCTTAAAACCTTCTAAAATAAGAAATCTCAAGCCCCAGATGGTTTTTCTGGAGAATTCTACCAAACATTTAAGGAAGAAATACCAGTTTTATATGATCTCATGCAGAAAATAGAAAAAAAAGGAACACTTCCCAAATTATTTTATTAGGCATGCATTAATCCAATTCCAAAAACAGTCAAAAACAAAGAAAGAAAACTGCAGACCAATGTCCCTCCTGAACATAGATTTTAAAATCCTTAACTAAATGTTAAAAATCAAATCCAACAATATAAAAAGAATAATATGCAACAACTAAGTGGAGTTCATATCAGAAATATAAGGTGGTTTGTTATTTGCAAATCATTCAGTGCAATCCAACATGTTATGAGTCAAAACAAGAAAAACTATATGATCTCATCAACTGATGCAGAAAATTATTTGACAATATCCAACATCAATTCAGCAAATTAGGCATAGATAGATTTCCTTAACAGAAAGATTTCCTTAATAGACAAACCTTAACAAATGTCATAGAATTGAAATAATATAAAGTATGTTCTCTAACTATGGTGGAATTAAAAAAGAAATCAATAATAAATAACAAAAAACCTCAAAAACCAAAAAATAGATAGATATCCTCCATCTGATAAGGGCATGTCAAAAACTATGGTTACTAGCATACTTCATATGATTGAATGCTTTCCCTCTAAGATTTTGAAAAAGCAAGAGATATAAAAACTGAAAAAATGGCAATTTTTAACATAAAAAATAAATGAAGAAAGTCATTTTTCTGAGTGAAAAAAGCCTTACACAAAACAGCATTTATTCTATTTATAAATCACACCATGTTTTAAATCAGGCAAAACTAATTTACAGTGAAAAAAGTCAGAGGAATGGTTGCCTCTGGATGCAGATGAGGATTGAATGGGCAGGGGCGGAGGGAAATTTCTAGGGTATGGTCATGTTTTATGTTTTCATAAGGATTTGGGTGACACAGGTATATGTATTTTCTGCATTTTTCAGAACTCATCAAATTGTTTTCTCAAGATTCTGCACCTCACTGTATGTAAAATTTACCTTAAAATGGTACTGCAAAAATATTACATTCTAATTAATGATTTGTATGCTGAAGTGTTTAGAAGGTGCTATAGACTGAATGTTTGTGTTCCTCCCAAATTTATGTTGAAAATTTGAAATTTTGAAATTCAGTATGTTGAAACGTAATCCCCAATGTGATGGTATTTGAAGATGAGGCCTCTGGGTGGTGATTAGGTCATGAGGTTGGAGCCCTCTTGAATGAGATTAGTGCCCTTATAAAAGAGAACCCAGAGGGCTCCCTTGCTGATTCCACCATGTGAAGACACAATGAGAAGACAGCCATCTGTGAATCAGGAAGCTGGCCAAATCTTCTGGCACCTTGATCTTGGACTTTCTGACCTCAAGAACTGTGAGAAATAAATTTCTGTTGTTTATAAACCACCAGTCTATGATAATTTGTTATGGTGGCCCAAACAGACTAAAACCAGTGAAGTCTGCAACTTACTTTGAAATGTGTCTAAAGACAAAATCAACTGATGGATGGATAAAGGAAAGAATAGATAGCTAATAGTGTAATAAATATGGTAAAATGTTAACAAAGTAACAAGTAACAGAGAAAATTGGGAGAAACCTCTGGAGATTCCATGGCAATGGTGGAGTTTGTGGGACTAGGTGCTGTTTTAAACTGACGTCTGTGGGTTGGTGTCTTAGTATGTTTTGTGCTGCTGTAACAGAATACCTGAGACTAGTTGACTTAGAAACAACAAAAATGTATTCCTCACAGTTCTAGAGGCTGGGAAGTCCAAGATCAAGGCACTGCCATGTGGCCTGGTGAGGGCCTTCTTGTTGTGTCCCCACTGGTGGAAGATGGGAGGGCAAGAAAGGGAAGAGCACCATGTCTTCACATGGTAGAACAGCAGAAGAGAGAGAAACAACTCCTGCAATCCCTTTTTATGGCAGCATGAATCCATTCATGAGGGCAAACCCCTCATGACCTCTGCACCTCCCATTAGGCCCCACTTCCCAATACTGTTGCATTGAGGATTAAGTCCCCAACACATGAATTTTGGGGGACACACTCAAACCATAACAGTTGGTGTCTTGGGCCTGGGGCAGGAAGCAGCTTGGGAAGGTTGTGAGAAGATAAATTAGAAAAGAAACAGTTCCAATTGTGCCCTTGTTTCCCTCACCACTGCCTTGGACAGACAGTGACCCACATTTTATATTGGTGTCCTCCAGGCTAAAATCAGGGTAGTACAGAGCCTTGAGCTTGTGAAATGCTAGAAAAACAATGAAAAAAAAAAAAAAGACTCATCAGACAGAAACTAAGAGAAAGGTTTTATAGCTATATGAATATTTAAAAAAAAGATTTAAAAGACTTTAGGAAAAACAGCATCACTAGAAATGGAGAAAGTTACTAAATAACTTACTAGGAAGGGAAAACAACTTTAGACACTTTTGTACGATATCCTTGTAATAAATGAAGAATATGTGATATAACTATAAAAGAAGTGGAGAAATACATCATTGTGAGGGATTTAAATTACTTTACTTGATTGTTTTATCAAACAGATGAAGAAAAATCAGCAAGGATATAGAAAATAAGAACTTTACAATGAATAATCTTGACCCACTGGACATATATAGAGTTCTGCATTTAACAATGAGAGAATTTACATTTTTAAAGCACAAATGGAACATTTACAAAAATGAATCTTATACACAAACCCTCAAAATTGTAAAGAATAGGTGTTATACAGACCGTAATTTATGACCTCATGGCAGTTAAGCTAGAAGTTAAAAACACTGCTAAGTAACTCATGGGTTAAAGAGTAAATTATAATAAAAATTATAAAATAACTGAAAATAAAAATACCACATGTTAAAACTTATAGGATTCAGCAAAAGCAGTTCTTCAAGAGAAATTTATAGACATAAATACTTATAATAGAAAAGATACATCAAAATTAATGAATGAAGAAGTTAAAAATAAAATAATAACCAAAAAAGAAAGCAGGAATAAAGATATAATATGATTGAGTGAAAATTGATGAGACAGAGACAATAAAAATAAGAGTAAAAAATTATGACCTACAGTAAAAAGTGAATTCTTAAGGAAAAAAATCAATGAATCACTTATATGAGAATTTTTTTCAACCAAACTTGGGAGTATCGGAGGGGTGCAGAAACCAGCATATACAAAGGACCCACTTTTCATATAATAGAGTTGCCAAGGCCGAGTATGCGTGGATTTTGGTATATGCAGGGGTCTTGGTACCAATCCCCTATGTATGCTGAGGGATGACTGTCTATAAAATCCCCAGATATCATCCTAAATGGGAAAACTTTATAGTCATCTCCTTGAACATTGGGAAACAAGACAAGTATATCCAATATAACCACTTCTATTTAACACAGGATTGAATGTCCTAGTGCTGGAGATCCTAGCCAGGGCAGAAAAAGAAACTGGAGTCTAAGGATTGGAAAGGAAGAAATAAAACACTAGGTATGTTGTAACTTGTTATGCAGCAACAGAAAAGTAATACAAATACCAAATGCTTAGGAATAAATCTATAAAAGATGCAAGATATTTATATAAATGAAAGACATATAGGAAAAATTTCAACATTGTATTAAGAGATATGAGTCCTAAATAAATGGAGAGATATTACATATTCACAAAATGAAAGACACAACTAAGCAATTGTCAGTTCTTTCAAAATTGGTCTATCAATTCAAGGCAATGCTAATAAAAATCTCAAGTTTTCTTTATGGAACTTGATAACTCTAAAAGTTCTATCAAATTATAAATTCTAAATGACTACTTCTAAACTCTATATTAAAACTTAAGGCCGTGTGTGGTGGCTCAATCCTGTATTGCTAGTACTTTGGAAGGCTGAGGCTGGAGGATTGCTTGAGGCCAGGAGTTCAAGACCAGCCTGGGCAACACAGCGAGCCCCTGTCTCTACAAAAATAAAGACATAGGAAAAAATTACAAAATTGTATTAAGAGAAATGAGTCCTAAATAACACAGCGAGACCCTGTCTTTACAAAAATACAAATAAATTAGCCAGCCTGGGCACATAGTAAGACCTCGCCTCTACAAAAAATAAGCCAGATGTGATAGAGTGTACCAGTGGTCCCAGCTACTTGGGGCAGTGGGGGGGTGTGGACAGCGGGTGATGGCGGTGGCTGAGGTGGAAGGCTGCAGTTCTAGTTCTTGTATTATCTAGTGTGATATCTGTGATACATACACTCCTCCTTATCTGAGGCAATTAAAGACAAGGTGTCACAGATCACTAAGCACTATAATTGTGCCACTGCACTCCAGCACATCTGGATGTACTGAGGTCATAACAAGGCTTGATGAGGCACATCTCACGCGTGCACATGAAAATCTAATCATCATGCTTATGAGCTGCAAAAGAATTGGAGGCAACATTTTAAAAGTACTTTTTCAGGCTGGGTGCTGTGGTTCACACTTGTAATCCCAGCACTTTGGAAGGCCCAAGCGGGCGGATCATCTGAGGTCATGAGTTAGAGACCAGCCTGGCCAACATGGTGAAACCCCGTCTCTACAAAATACAAAAATTAGCCGGGTGTGGTGGTGCACGCCTGTAGGCCCAGCTACTCGGGAGGCTGAGACAGGAGAATCACTTGAGCTCAGGAGGTGGAGGTTGCAGCGAGCCGAGATCATGCCACTGCACTCCGCCTGGGTAACAGAGTGAGACTCTGTTTTAAAATAAAATAAAAGTACTTTTTCAAAGACATGGCTACTGTTCAGATGCTTGTATTTTTAGGGTGTGTGTGTGTGTGTTAAAAACTTTCCAGTGACTAACACAAGTATTCATTTGTAACCTCAGTGTGTACTGTACGGGGAATTATTCCTGCCAATTTAATTCTAACTCTAAGCCCCTATTCCGGTAGGTAGACAGAAAACAGTTGTAACTGGGGCTCCCTCCCCCTGCCTAGGGCCACATATACATTTAGGGTTTGTATAAGCTACCAGGAAGGATGGGGTAAGGGTCCCCTAATCTTCCAGCTAGGATGATCACCTAGGAGACCGTTTTTGTCCCAAGTCTGACCAGTCTCCGAATGTCTAGTGGTCCAATATTGGGAGCCTTGGTATACCAGGGCTTATTCTTACCATCTGGGACAAAACACGGGCAATAAAAGGAATTTTTCTTAACACTAAATGTAAAGGAATTCAAAGTAAAGTAATTGGCTTTTTAAAGTATATCCTTGGCCAGGCGCGGTGGCTCACGCCTGTAATCCCAGCACTTTGGAAGGCCGAGGCGGATGAATCACTCAAGGTCAGGAGATAGAGACCAGCCTGACCAACATGGCAGAAACCACCGTCTCTATGAAAAATACGAAAATTAGCGGGCATGATGGTGCGTGCCTGTAATGCTAGCTGCTACTCGAGAGGCTAAGGCATGAGAATTGCTTGAACCCAGAAGGCAGAGGTTGCAGTGAGCCGAGATCGTGCCACTGCACTCCAGCCTGTGAAGTGAAACTCTGTCTCAAAAAAAAACCCAACAAAAACCAACGAAACAAAAATAATGATATCCTTCCTACTTTCTTGATGTTAAAATGTCTTTTATGAAATAACCGTAAGATGTTTAATATGTTTAATTTATTTAGCAAAATAAAGTGTTGGTACCTTTATGTCCGTTACAATTTTTGTGTGGATAGAGGGTGGGGAAGGTTGACAAAGATAAAAAAACCTGGACATTAAAGTGGTGAAAACCAATTTTATTCAGTAATTACTAACAGTAGGGGAAAGAGCAGCGTTCCATTTCAATGCAGAGATAATTGAGCAGCTTAAAGAGAGAATAAGGGAGGGGGAAAGAGCCGGAATACATGCAAAACATTTCAAAGTCTGTCAGTATAAAAGTGATTAGATCAGCTGCGTCAGCTAGCTGGCGATTATCACTGAAGTCAGGATTCTACCCTCCCACCAAGAATGGGAGATAGCAACCTTCCAGATGATTAAATTTCAAAGGAATGGCTTTCAGGTCCTTAAGAAAGATACTCCTGAATTGTAGGAGAGAACACATACGTGTCAAGGGGACAGAGGAAGGACTCACAATTGTAAGCTCTTTTTTTGTAAATGCTCCAAGAAAGGGGGTCAAGGGCCTATGGCCAGGTGGGCAGTGTTGAGTTTTCTCTGGGAGACATTTAACCGAGAGGCCCGGGGAGAGATCTGCGGTCATCCTACGAACACGACCTTATGCTGCTACAAGGCTCGCTATAGTTTGGTGGTCTCCTTTTGCTGAGGTTTGGACAAGGTCATTACGTGACAAGAGTTCTGCAGTTCTCATGATCCATATGTCATTATTAGGTAAAATCTGTTAGGTTTAAAATTAATTAGTGTAATCTCTTTGATACCTACATTGCTCCTTAACTGAGGCAATTAAAGACAAGGTGTCACAGATCTCTAAGCACTTCTAGATTCTAAAAACCCATAGCCTCAAAGGAGCACTGCCCCTCAATGCTCACCCCCACACACCTCCCCTTTCTGTTACCTAGAGAAAAAGACCAAGACCTGATGACAAATTTTACCATCAAACTTAAGTGGCGCATGCCAACGGTTCGAAAAGGAGGCTTTTCATCCAGAGAGAACTGCACTGTCCTACGCCATCACAAACCAAACACCTTAACGAAGGCTTGAAAGAAATTCTCAGACCTCCAGATACAGGAGACAGGGGAAAACAGAAGTGCAAGAAAGAACAGCAACTGTTTACCACAAGGGCCTCTGGATAACTTCAAGAAAGCAGTTACCCAAATTAGCTACAGAAAGGCCTAAATTAACTAAAACAGTTACGATAAAACCGAAGTCCTGAGATTTTAATGTAACTCCAAATGTTAACATAGTTTCTTCATAGTACCTTCATAGTACCTTTTGAAAGCTCCCTACAAATTTATTATGGTAAAGTGTGGCTATAAGTACAGGTCCTGTCACTGGCTGCATTCAACTGAAAAAAAAAAAAAAATAGTGCGACCACAGCTCCTGTCACTGGCTGTATTCAACTTTAAAAAAAAAAAAAGGGGCGACTTTTTTTTTTTTTTAAGACGGAGTTTCGCTTTTGTTGCCCAGGCTGGAGCGCAATGACTCGACCTCGGCTCACCGCAACCTCCGCCTCCCGGGTTCAAGCGATTCTCTTGCCTCAGCTTCCCGATTAGCTGGGATTACAGGCATGGGCTACCACGCCTGGCTTATTTTTATTTTTAGTAGAGACTGGGTTTCTCCATGTTGGTCAGGCGGGTATCGAACTCCCGACCTCTGGTGATCTGCCCGCCTCAGCCTCCCAAAGTGCTGGGATTACAGGCGTGAGCCATTACGCCCGGCCTTTATTTTCAATGTATATGTTAATATCAAAAACTTTACATTTCCAATTTAATCCACTCATTGCAATTGTTTTTGAATGCATTCCATTTATGTATTAGTAAAATGTATTATTAAGGAAAGACAAATTAAGTCAGATATTTGGATTAATCATTGAGTCTATCATTTTAGTAAAAAGCAAGGAACTTTCCTTCAGGACTAATATATTAAATAGGCCAAAACACTGACTTGTCATTTAAAAATTTTTTAAGGTCACTTCATAAGTATAAAAAACTCATGCATGGTCGGGCGCGGTGGCTCACGGCTGTAACCCCAGCACTTTGGGAGACCCAGGAGGGCGGATCACCTGAAGTCAGGAGTTCGAGACCAGCCTGGCCAAAATGGGGAAACCCCATCTCTACTAAAAATACAAAAATTAGCCAGGCGTGGTGGCGCGTGCCTGCAGTCCCAGCTACTCGGGAGGCTGAGGCAGGAAAATTGCTTGAACCCAGGAGGCAGAGGTTGCAGTGAGCCGAGAGCGCGACACTGCACTCCAGCCTGGGCGACAGAGGAGACTCCATCTCAGAAAAAAAAAAAAAAAAAAAAAAAAAAAAAAAAAAAAAAGGCATGCCTAATAGTATTTATAAAATACTCGCATACATTTTACATGTTAATATTATTACGAAATAAAGTAACGTTTATATAATTATTTCAATAGCTATTCCTATTTAAGTAATAATTGGGTAAATTTAACAGCAAATACAAGAAAAAACTGCATGGCAAGCTATTTTCCTTAAAACATGATTCTGAACACTAAACGTTACAAAAACAGATACTTGCTACAACTGTGAAGGAGAAACTGCATTTCCCTATTATTACAAGAACAAAGGTTTTCACAAAAAAATTTAAGGACTCTACAGCCGCCTTGTTCTTTGTTATCCCACCCCTGCCCGCCTCGGCTAACGGTTTTGGGGCCCGTTTGCTTGGTGCGTCTGGAACTCCTCGGGCGGCGGGCGTCTCGCAGGAAAAACCGCGGCCCGTACTGCGCCGGGAGCAGAAGCGCTGGTGGCCCTCGTAGGTCCCGTGGGCTGCCTCCCCCTCCTGCAGACACTCGAGGAGCCATCCGGCCGCGTCTCTCGCCGCCCGGCCCCGCCACTAGGCTGCCGCCTCCGCCGCTGCACAGAGAAGGGCGAAGACCCGCCCCTGCAGGTGATTGACGGGCACTCTCCTCCAATGGTCAACGCGCTCGGCCCCGGCGGGCTGGGCAAGGGCCGCGGCTCGCGGAGGAATCTCTCTTGCCCTTTAGTCCCGGGCAAGGTGTTGCGGCCGGCGCCATTTTCTCGAGCCGCCTGTTTCGGGTGCCGCCATGTTGGTGAGGAGAAATCACCGTTACGGCCACTGTCCAAATCCCCGCGTCGCTGCACGCCGCCCGCCCGCTCCCACGCCACAGCCACCGGCGGCGAATAGAGACTAGAGCGGCAGCGCCGGCAGCGCGGGGCCGTTGCCCAGTGTTTGCAGTTAGAGCCCCATCTCTCTGGCGTGGTTGTTAATAGACTGGAAAGTCTGTGTCTGTGTCGCTCACTAGTAACCGTGAGTTTTTACCACTTCGTCACCTGTCGGCGGCGGCCGGGAGCAGGTTCCCGCAGGCGGCGCGGGGGGTCTTCCCCGCGCCCCGCCGCCGCCGGCCTCGCAGACCTGCCCTCCAGCCCCGCCCCGTTCTTGACCAAACATGACAGACTCTGAACATGCAGGGCACGACAGGTCGGGAACCCTTCTTGTCTGTCTTTCTGTCGGATGAGAGGAGGGGTCTGGGGCGGCGGGAGCGGGCCGGGGCCGGGCGCCTCCTGCATGACCTAGACGTCTCTGTGTGGCTCCGTCAGTTCCATGACGCGCACTCTTATGTAAACTGCTGGATCGCGGCCGCGGGGGAGGTCGGCCCGGCCGCGCCCGCCTCCCCGAGCCGGGGTCGCTGCTCGCCAGCGCCGGCCCCGCCCCCGGCCGGGCACGTGCGAGCCCCCCGCCCCCCGGGCGGGCTCCGTGTGCGCCGGGCGGCTCTCAGCGTCCCGGCTCGGTGCTGAGGTCCTGCTTCTGCCCGTCCAGGTGTCGGTGCTCCCGGCCAGATAGGACCAGCCAGGAATTTTCAGGAATGGGTGTTTTGATATTTGACTGCTTCCCGAGAACCGAGAACACCTCTAAAAAAATAAACATTTGGTTTTCAGGGAAGTTTTAAGCAGCACCAAAAGGCCATCTGTTGTATACAGTCTTATCCCTTGGAATTTGAGATGGCAAGTTTCAAGTTTAATATGTTAACACAAAATACTTAGGCTTTGCAGAAACTTAGTTTAGCACAGTTTTACCCTAACGTAAAAACTCCATGGATTATTCCGGCTAGCCCAATTTTCTAGATGGTGTGTATCACTTGAATATTGAGATTCTGATTTTTTATTTTTTGCTCTGTGCCTTAAGAGGCACATTCTTGTTTCCATTCGAGTTTGGGGACATTTACAAAGTATACTGTAGCATACTTAAATTTTGGTTATAATTCAAATTTTCATTCGTATATATCTTTAATAATGCGAAAGGGGGGCTTTCATTCATTAAACTTACTGAAACAAAATCCATTGCATCTGATTCTTACTTAGAATATTAATTTGAAAATCTAGAACCTCACAATTACTCCTTTGTGAATAGAAGTAAGAAAAAATATACGTTTTACTATAGACTATATACATTGCTGAAGTTTTATCTGTAGTAATGTGATCGGCTTGGTAAAGCATCCTAAACACGTTTTTTAAAACCCAGAAGCAAAAATCACAAACACTGCTGAAATTTGAAATATCTAAATACCTAGCAATCTTGAGAGGGATAAAAATGGTATTTCAACAACTTCAGTATTGTAATAATAAAAGTAGATTCCCAGAGGGCACGTCAATCAAAGTGTAAAAATTTTTGGAAAGTAAAATGCACTTTTAAAAATGATAAGCTTGCACTTGGCACATTTTTAATGATTTTTTTAACGTTATCTTTTGTATTAAAAAGGAAATTCTTAGAATGGGTTGACTAATACCTTGCTCTTGAGGTATGGACAAACCAATGATGGGGTTTTGCTAATGGAGCCTAAAATCCTTTTTTTTTTTAATATGGAAGAATATCTGTTCCCCTCTCTTAGTGCACAAAGTAACTTCTATATATGGAGTTATGTATTGTACATCATGAAAAAACAATGCCATCAAATTCAAGTATCAAAATAATTTTGCTGGTAAGGAACTGTGATGACAGACCTTTTAAAGAATTTGAAATTTTAAAATACTGGTTTAGAGGTTAGAAAACTTTAAAGAATTATTTGTAAGATATGTTAATAGGTTGGTAGTAGGAGCTAAAGATTAAGATTAGTCTATTTTATTTAAAATTCGGACTAAAAGTATTTTCTAGTGATTTCTGAAACAAAAAGGTTAGCTCCACTTTAACTTAGCCAATTGTTAAGTGGCATCATTGTGCTGAGATGAAGGAGATGGTTTTTTTTTTTCATGCTTTTTTTGTCAACCCACATGAAAAACAAAACAACTACATCAAAAACAAAGTGAACTAGAAGTCAGGAGAAATTCTACAAGATCAGATCAATGGTTCTAAACCTTCCCTGGGGAACTTTTTTTCTTTAAAGTATTGGCGCTATTTCTGTTGGTCTGGACCTCAGCCTGGGTTTTAAGAGTTCTAAAAGCTCCCCAGGAAATTCTAATATGTGCCAAATTGAGAACCGCTATACTCGATCAGTGTTTCCCAATGATAGTTAATCATCAGAATCACTTTGGGGAATAAATTTTTGTTCTGCCCAGAGCAACTGAATCAGAATCTCTAGGGTATTTTTCATAGGCTCCCTGGGAAATTCTTAAGAAATTTGGGGAAAAAATGGACTAATCTGCGGGCTTCCAAAATACTGTATCTTTCCATATAATAGCTATTTTATGCTGTTATAAAAGTTTCTGTGAATTAAGTGGAGAAAAATATATGAAACTTGGTATATGGAGCTAGGCTTTGTCTCAAGGATTTTATTTTATTTATTTTATTTTTTTGAGACGGAGTCTCGCTCTGTCGCCCAGGCTGGAGTGCAGTGGCACTGTCTCAGCTCACTGCAAGCTCCACTTCCCGCCTTCACACCATTCTCCTGCCTCAGCCTCCTGAGTAGCTGGGATTACAGGCACCCGCCACCACACCTGGCTAATTTTTTGTATTTTTAGTAGAGACCACGTTTCATCATGTTGGACAGGCTGGTCTTGAACTCCTGACCTCAAGTGATCCACCAGCCTTGGCCTCCCAAAGTTTTGGGATTACAGGGGTGAGCCACTGTGCCCAGCCAAGGATATTCTTTTTATAACATTTTCAAAAATTAAGGCATATTGTGTATGCAGGAAAAAAAATGAAGCCTATGATTTATATTTACAATTGCTTTGATTTTATACAAATTAAAATATTACTGTTTATGAGAATGAGATTCTAAATGTAAATGGAATTCACAGAATGCATAATTTTTTTCTCGTTTAAAGAAATAGAGTCTCGCTATATGCCTAGGCTGGTCTTGAACTCCTGGGCTCCAGCCATCCTCCCATTTCAGCCTCCCAGAGTGTTGGGATTACAGGCGTGAGCCACCACGCCTGGCCTTGTACATGTTATATAGTGAACATTTTGCACAAGATTGTTTGCCAAATGAATAATTTAAAAAAAATCCATTTAGTGTACTTTCCTTTAAATATTTTCACACCTGGAGTTAAAACATTGTATTTTATAAGATGTTATTAATATAAAAATACTTCTAATTCTACTTGTGGCTATGTAGAATGTAGTAGAGGACTTTTGCATAAGCCCAGAGCCTAGTTTCTAAAGGTCTTTAGGGATTTAGGGAAATCAGAGGGAGGTATAATTCTGGTCTCTCGTCGTTCAGTTCTTTTTCATTCAGTTCTCTCAGGCACGACTCCAGCCGCTCAGTTTTATATTTCAACTGGATGTTGACCCAATTAAAACAATTCACAACTCCTGAAGACGAAATACTATGAGTCCCTGCTTTGGACACATCTGTAGTAGAGTAGGAAAAGATAAATATAACCCAAGTAATTGTTACAGAATTTTCTGAAATATACTAATGGTAAAAGGTTTTGTAGGGCTTGTACTGGGGAAAAAGATAATTTTTTAGCATGAACCTTTTAAGAGCTTGTGAGTCTCAAAGAGTCTTTAACTGATAGGTGATATGGATAATACTCCCCTTTGGGAGGAGGTTTATAATACATAAACAACCTCCCCACCCTTCCCTCGCAGCTTTCTGTCCTGTACTACAAGAACAACAAAACTCCAACTAGTCAGAATTGCAAGTGGTTTATGGCCCCCCATATAGATTGAAAACTTGCTAAGAGACTGCACTGGAGAACCTGAAAGGATGAGGATGGAAAAGATGATTATACTTTTCATTTGCAACAGGGCTTTCATTTGATTCTCACATTAATCCCATGTGGTAGTTAATTAAGGTAGCATTACAAGGTTCAGTGAATTGTCTGAGATCTCATAAATACAACCTAGATAAGAACCCAGGTATTATTATTTTCAGTCTTGCAATATTATTTTCCTACTTGCAATATTATCTTCACTCTTCATTAAGTTTGCACAGCAAAGTAATGGAATAAGTTCTGGGCTTTAATCCTTGAGTAGTTTGGAATTGTAATGTGCTACATTTGAGAGAGAGCCCTTCATTTTGAATAAAACCTTGGTACTGATCCTGATCTTCTAACTTGGGTTAATGCTCTTCCCCTTTTCATTATTTTTTTCATTTGTGAAATGAAGTAGTTGCACTAGATCATTTTCAATTTTCCTTCCCACTTAAATCAATTTTAATTAAAAAAATTGCAGATGCCTTTTCTCAGATTAGAGTACACTTTTTGCTCCACACAATATCTGGTTTGTAAATTAGTATGTTCCGTGGAGTAAATAACTTTCCTGACTAGCCATTAACTTACTTCTGATTCCTGAATCCACTAATTTAACTATTGTTGAAATTACTAAAGGAAATTTTTCTTTAGCAAATGTAAAACCTCGTATCAGGTCTCAGGTTTGATGTTGTAAAGCACTCTGACTCTCAGGAAGACTCTTTTTTTCCCCCAACCTCTCATAAACAAATATTTCATTCATTATAAAATTTCATTCATTACATTTTCATTCCTCAGACTTAACAGTGTTTCGTCTCTGCTAAGTATAGTGTTAAGCACTGACAAAAGAACTCTGGACACAACATCATGAACTTGCTCTCTGGGATCTTATAATCTAGTTGCAGAAACAGATTGGTAAATACATAGTATAGCACAAGTACTATAATGGAGGCCTGAACTGAGTGCTGTGGGGGTACACAGATGAAGGCTTCTGGGAGACATCATGGCATAACTAGACCTGGAGGATGAATAAAACTTTGGCCAAGTAAATACAGAGATACACGAAAAGCATGGATAAATGGCACAAGTAGGTTCAGGGATGATAAAAGTGTTAGTATGTGGAGAGTGTACAACTATTTTGGGGAATGGGGAAACGGATTAAATTTGGGGCCAGACCCTGAAGGATGTGGGGATCCCATCAAAGTCTTTTAAGCAGGAGAATGATCAGATGCATTTTTTGGTATACTACCTGGGGGATAGGAGGAAATGGACTACAGAAGGGGAGATCAGTAGAAGGAAGACAAGTTAGGAAGCTTTTCAGTCATTTTCATTAAACATGAAGCTTAATATGTATTGTTCTAGGATCAGGAATACAGCAATAAAGAAAAAACTTGGTGTAATGAAACATATTTTCTTGGGAGAGACAGAAAATAAACATGAAAAACAGATGTGTTCAATGGTGATAAAGCAGAAAGGGAGATGGGGAGTCAAGTGGATGTGGGGAGGGTGTTTAGGGAAGCACTTATGAAAGAGTAACATTTGAGCAAAGAGCCCTGATACAAGACAACAATTCAGACCCAAGACATTTGAGGAAAGAGCATCCATATAAAGGGAGTGGGAGGTAGAGAAAGCCTGGACCAGGAATGAGCCTGGTATGATTGAGGAAAACACAAGGGATTTCACTCTTGAGTGACCTGGGAGCTAATGGGGGATTAAACAGAGGAGGGACAGGATCCTCTATGGTATATGGTAAGTGAGTAGTATGGTAAATGAGGTAAATGAATAGTAAAAGGAACTGCTGTGGTAATTTAGGTAACAGATGATGATGGTTTAGGTGAAAATGGTTGGATTGTGGATATGGTTTGATTGGTTTTAGAACCAATAGGATTTACTGGTGGCTGGATGTGGACAATGAGAGAATAGAATGAACCAAAGCTATTGTAAACGTCTAGAAATCAGATGAGGACTTGACCAAAGGCATTGGCAATGAGAAAGTAGGCACAATTCATGAGGTATTTCTTAGCATTGATAGAGTTGGATATAAATATCTGGAATTTTTAGCTGATTGAAATGTTAGTTGAAATGAATGATACCACTCAAGGTATGTGTGTCAAGAGGTATGGAGAAGAGCACAGAAGTTTTTGGAAACCAAGGGAGGAGAAAAGAAGGGATAGTCACAGAGCAGTAAAGAAAAATAAAGGTTAAAAATAGGTCACAGGATGTACATTATCCTAAGTTAAAATATTTTAAGGTTTGAATGAAAGGGTGCTGCAGGGTTTGCAAACTGGTGGGCTTCAGGCCTAAAATCTGCCTATACTGTTGTTTTTGCCTGACAGAATATCTTAAAATATCTGTATTTGAAAGCATTTAAGGCTTGACTTGTGCTCTACACTCCACAGTCTTATCATTCATAGTTTCTTGGCAAACTCACCACTCAAGGTGTGCCTCACTTATTTAGGAGATCTGCCTCACTAGGGTAGACATTTTAGGTTTATGACTCTTAAGTTTTCACCTGGACAGATTGGCTACCAAAAAGAACCTCACAGGTGGGTGACCTTGAATTCACCAGGTCATGCCATCAGTTCAGAGCGGCCGGAGAACTCTGTTCTCTTGTGCATTGATGCCCCCGGAGTTGTGAAACACAGTGGCCCTGCTTTAGTTTTTTTAGATTTAGAAACTGATCAGTGTCAGAGCGATCAGACACAGGAATGTTAATTCATGTTCAAAAATAATAACCAGGCTAGCATTTGTTTAGCACTTGCTATGTGACAGGTACTGTTTTAAGTGCTTTACATGAATTGTTTAATCCTCACAACAACCCTGGGAAATAGGTCCTATTATTAGGCACCCTTTCTACAGATGAGGAAACAGACAACAGATTGGTAAGTTTCCCAAGATCACAAAGTAAGTCAGTGGGAACTCAAAGTAACCTGACTCCAGAGCCCACTCTCTTATCTAAGCATATACATTCCCATCACAAGAGAACGCCAGTTTATTCAAGTAAAATAAGGACTAGAAATTTACATCAAGAAATATATTCTTTCAATGTAGAATGCTGAATGGAAAACCAAATTTCAATAGTTGCCTACTGAACAAGATCATGAGATAACAACAAGGGAGTTGATTATAAATGACTAGAAGTTTTAAATGGCATCGGCGCTGATAAAGTGATAATCTCAGCTCCATGATATACTTGTCAAGCAGTTACTTACATCAATCTGCCTTCTAGGATATCCTTTCTCCTGGTTGATGCTTATATGATAGTGTTTTGTACCTTTCCTTTTTCACTGCTTCCATTGCTGACCAAACTACTCACCTCCATATTTCTGGTAGATATATTTTTTCTCATTGCATGTTAGTATCTTAAATTTAGTCCTATCTTTTGCTTGATCCTCTGGGCTTGACTTCCTAATCTATGTTCTGGTTTATGTTTTAGTTTGACAGTTGAGCTTTCTGAGGACATTCTTATTCCCAGTATCTTTTTTTGGGTGGTTGGGTTCTGGGAGGTGGTATTTGACTGCTGCTGATGTGTACCAACCAAGACAGTAGTCATTAAGTGACTAACAATAATGATTTCAGCAGATTATTATTACTCTTGGCAAAAAGCAAGCTTTCTCTATTATAAATGATTTTATATTTGTTTTGTTTTTCTTTATTTGTAATTTGAGTTCTAGCTTAACATTAATACTTCAGATAACTGTTAATACACTTTCATAAATCATACCCACATTCTTGAATGGCAAATAAATAAATAATCAAGTTCCGAGTAGTTTCTAAAGAGAGTAAACATTAAAAGTAAACATAAAACTACATAAAAATCAATCACAGTCTATTTATAAAGTTGGTATGAAAACAAAGATCCTAGATTTGGAACACTCATGATACTCAATATTTTACATATATCAGAGTTTGTAATTTCCATAACTTCATTTGGTAGTTAGACATATAGACAGAGAAGATATTAATATATTCATTTTATAGTTTAGGAAACAGACTTGGAAGGGCAAATAACTTGTCTAAGATGACTAAGCAGCTGAGTGAGAACCACAGCCTATCTGTGGCATTCAGTCTCAGCCATCTTTCCCTTGCTTCATAAGGATCGTTACTCTGGTATCAGTTGCTGGACTGGGATTTTGGGCATTTATAAATGTTTTTATTTTGGATATCACTGAATCACAGACAATTTCATCTTAGTTAAAAATTCATCTGACGTGACACTTGTCTAAATCTTAAAATATTAAATTTTAATGTATAAGGATGTTAATAATCTTTATATTTTAAGAGACTATGAAGTCAAGTCTGGCTAACTTAGATCTGGAAGTTTTTAGCTGTGGAAAGCAATTCTATTGTGTACAGGTTTCAGCCTGTGAAGGGAATTCATTGAAAATGCATAGAGATCAGAAGAACTAACACCTTTCTTGCATGGATTTTTCTTGATTATTGGCAGTTAACAATAAAATGTTATTAGATCACTGGTGCTTCTGTGTGGGGTTGAGTTTTTTATGATATCTCCTGTTAGACCCATAAGGGAGGCTGTGAGTTGTTTTCTACATCCTTGGACTATATAAGATCCTCTTTTAAAATTATATTTTATATAAGCACATGAAAATGGAATGAAATAATGAGTTGACATAGGAATTACCTACATATTTTGGCTGTACATTTAGTGCACAAAATATCCCTTTTTTGAATGCCAAATGGCCAAGTGTGAAAACCAATATTTGTTAAAGCTGGAGCAGAAGTCGGTATCATCATCATAGAGTAAACTTCTGGCATATGTGAAGATATGAAATGTTATCCCTGAAGTTATTATAATTTATTCTCAGAAATATTAGTAATCTTATTTTAAGAGTAGGACATTATAGTGCAGTAATGATAATTTTCTCAGTGCTGCCTGTTGCTAGATTGTTCCTATGATTGCTGTCATGCACATACAGACACTAAATTGAGGGTCACTTTCCACTGAAGTTAGTGGAATACAAAATAGGTGGAGGAACTTTCTTCCTCTAACGTCTTTATATGTGTCTGTGTTTATATGTGTGTGTATACAAATATGTATACACATACATAATATCTGGAGCAAAAATGATTATGTTGTACAGAACTTTTGGAGGTTTTCCTCCTTATAAAATTCTGAAGTGGTAGAGTTAACATTCTGCTTTTAATTTATCTCCAAAAAAATGTGAAGAATTCCCAAATAAGATTTTCTCATAGAAGATTCATGGATTTTGAGTCTGAGAAAAAAAAGGAAGAAAAAAAATTCATGGTATAAAATAACTAAAAATTAAATATAGTCTTTAGAAATGATTTTGTTTAGTATAATTAATACTGGTATGACAACTGAATGCAATTGAAATTATGATATAAAATTTCTATTCTGCTTTGTATTTTTCGTTAAAGTTTTTATAATTGTCATCTGAAAAAGGATTTAATATTCTTCTTAAATTCATTAGCTAACTCTCTCAATATTATTACACTATTATTTGCCTATTTGAAAATTGTTACTTTCTTTCGTACATAAATAGCATTCATAATCATTGTGACATTTTCTTCTTGCATTAATGTACATTTATACTTCATCTAATTGAGAAAATTTTAACATACAAAGTGACACAAAAAGATTTTCATTCCAAGTTTTATGTAAAACACCTCAAATTGGAAAATGAATATTCAGATACTGAGTAAATTTTTTTTTTTTTTTGAGATGGCATCTAACTCTGTCACCCAGGCTGGAGTGCAGTGGTGGGATCTTGGCTCACTGTAACCTCTGCCTCCCGGGTTCAAATTATTCCCCTCCCTTAGCCTCCTGAGTAGCTGGGACTACAGGCCCACAACGCCACGCCCGGCTAATTTTTGTATTTTTTGGTAGAGACGGGGTTTCACCATGTTGGCCAGGCTGGTCTCCAACTCCCAACCTCAAGGGATCTGCTGGCCTCAGTCTTCCAAAGTGCTGGAATTACAGGTGTGAGCCACTGCACCTAAATGACATACTTGAAAAAATATTCTCGGGCCGTGTGTGGTGGCTCACGCCTGTAATCTCAGCACTGTGGAAGGTTGAGGGTGGATCACCTGAGGTCAGGAGTTCAAGACCAGCCTGGCTAACATGGTGAAACCCCATCTCTACTAAAAATACAAAAATTAGCTGGGTGTGGTGGCATGCGCCTGTAATCCCAGCTACTTGGGAGGCTGAGGCAGGAGAACTGCTTGAATCCAGGAGGCGGAGGCTGCAGTGAGCAGAGATTGCCCCACTGCACTCCAGCCTGGGCGACAGAGCGAGTCTCCGTCTCAAAAAAAAAAAAATTCTCACTTTCTGTTGTTGTTGTTTGTTTAATGATTAATAGATGATTTATTTAAGCAAGAATACATAGTCATCATTGCCAGACTTAATATGACAGGTTAAATGTTGGACCCAATTTTCCTTCCCA
Source organism: Homo sapiens (assembly GCF_000001405.40). Classification (NCBI taxonomy): domain Eukaryota; kingdom Metazoa; phylum Chordata; class Mammalia; order Primates; family Hominidae; genus Homo; species Homo sapiens. The sequence goes on from NC_000002.12 coordinate 112,286,099, forward strand.
GATAAGTTTTTCTTTCCTATCCATGTCAGTTTTAAAAACATAATACCAGAAGAAGAGGGGCCCAATTCCACACAGAGCTCCCAAGAGTGAGTTTTTAGGAGTGGGTCTGAAATTAGGAAAGACACTTGCTGATCTTGCATAGGTCCAGGGAATCAAGGCAGGATTTTCGATGAGCCCTCGGCAGTTAGGGTAAGCAGGTTTCAGCCAGGCTCTTAATGGTCAACCACTTGGCTTGCGCCCGCTGGGTTTCCAAAAATATGTCCTGTTCGGCTGGGTTGAGGGCATAGTGGCCAGGGGCGAAGGAGTATACTTTGGGAACGACATCTTGGCGACCCAGCGCATAACTCACTTTTTTTTGGAAACAAGGTTGGCTCTGTCTTCCAGACTGGAGTGCAGTGGCGCAATCTCGGCGCACTGCAACCTCCGCCTCCCGAGTTCGGGCGATTGTCCTGCCTCAGCCTCCCAAGTAGCTGGGACTATGGGCGCACAACACCACGCCCAGCTAAATTTTGCATTTTTGGTAGAGACGGGGTTTTGCCATGTTGCCCAGGCTAGTCTTGAGCCTCCTGGGCTCAAGTGATCTGCCCGCTTTGGCCTTCCAAAGTGCTGGGCTCATAGGCATGACACTGTGCCTGGACAGATTTTTGTTATACTGTTTAGATATGATGGTAACTGAATGATCATGCAATCTCTGACCATGTGACATTCAGGGATACCAAAAATGACTTGAGATGGGCCAAGGGAGAATTGGAGAAGCATACTTTGGCTGAATACTTAGGCCAAAGTATAATTTGGAACATTTCTTTTAAAAAATCTACTCCCCTATGCCCCCCACTTGCAGTACCTTACAATTACAGTTAATCTAGTAGCAGATACTGGATTGGGATATTAGGTATTTACAGACCAAATGCCCATTGGGATATTACTAGGTAACAGGCAGTTTCACTCTGGTTCATTGTAGATTCATCCAGTAAGCATTTCTAGAGAACTGCTATATGAAAATATTGTGGAAAGTATCAACTTTTTAAACTTTTGATGTCATGGCACCTAGAAGATTATTTTCTGATACTCATATTCTAAGGGAATTTTGTTTTCTGAGATTTGTTTCTGTGGAATTTCTAGTTCCCCAGTCTGCACTGAAAGCCTAAATCAAGAGGATAATTTGAAAGGTAATGAAAGTAAATCAATTCTAGCTTAGATACCCAAGAGAGTAAATGAAATATAAAAATAATAACTTTTAAAATGTCTCAAAAAAAAGCTATGGCAAGCTAATTCAGTTTGACTTATTCATGCAATAGTCTGTCTCTGCTTATGACATAAAGTATAATATATTTTAGGAATAGTGTGGTTTTCTTCATGATGTCAAACATACAAGCTTATGGATATATTTAAAAATTCTTAATTTTCTAGATTAATGTTCAGCACTACTTCCATCTTGCATTGGATGGGGGCAGATAATTAATAATTATCAGATATTTTCTTATCAAAAACAAATTTGTTGGAAAAAAAATTTTTTTTTTGAGATGGAGTCTTGTTCTGTCGCCCAGGCTGGAGGTGCAGTGGCACGATCTCAGCTCACTGCAAGCTCCACCTCCCGGGTTCACGCTATTGTCCTGCCTCAGCCTCCCACATAGCTGGGACTACAGGCGCATGCCACCACGCCCGGCTAATTTTTTTGTATTTTTAGTAGAGACAGGGTTTCACTGTGTTAGCCAGGATGCTCTAGATCTCCTGACCTCGTGATCCGCCTGCCTTGGCCTCCCAAAGTACTGGGATTACAGGCGTGAGCCACCGCCCCCGGCCGTTGGAAACATTTTGAAGGAACTCTTTGTAAATAAAATACATGGCATGCCTTTCTGTTTTACTATACAGTTGCTGATTTATCCTTTAGTTGGTTACTTTGAATCATCATTAACATCTGTTGTCACCATAATCCCTGTGATCACTAGATGTCATACTCCATTTTATGTTTTATTGTTGCCTTGGGGAGACTTTGAGAGTATGAGAGGTGTTCATGCAGACTGCTGCTGAGTGTTGCATAGAGATGGAATAAAGTACAAATACCTTCAGGAACAGACTCCAAACTTGGTCTATTCCAGCTTCCTTTCATTTTTTTTTTTTAAACCTATTCCAGATAATTTTTCATTGGTATTCTCTGAAGGAAAATAAGAGAAATTTCCTCTTAGAATCCCTTCTCCTTGGATTTGTAACCTTTCCCAGTTCATTTCTGTGGAAGTACTTGTAGTCCAGCATAGTAATTCTATTCAGATATGTATAGTTCAGTTAAGTCACGAAGGGAAAGGAAGCTTTCGTTGAGGGCTATCTACTAGGTGGTACAGTGCTAGGTAATTAACTTTATCTCAATCCTTAAACAACTCTGCAGTGGTAAGGGTGATTAATTCATCCCATTTTGTAGACAAGGAAACTGAATGTTAGAGGGATGGCATAATTTGTTCATGTTCATATAGGTAGTACTTTGGGAAGCAGAATTTGAACACAGATCTTTCTGGTTCTAGAGCTTTGTGTTCTTCTACCTTGCTATGATGTTAAGTAATTAGTTTTAACATGCCACTTAAGTTTAAAGCCTTAAGTAGTCCTTTTAAGAAATCTTTTGTTGCTGGTTATTCTCATTTAACACTCCTATTTTAATTTCCAGGTTCAGGTGACCTCACTTTGCCAGAACCGTGGGTCTTCATGAAATAAGAGATTTCATTTGGTTTTTGTTTTGGTTTGCATCCTCTCTAACTTTAGGTAGAAATTGCTGTTAGGGCAATCACCTACCTCACTATATTCCACTCTCTCTTCTGGATATTGGTGCTCAGCCCTTTTTTGAACCGCAAACCTTATTAATAAAATAGTTTTCATTCTTTGAGCGTTCCTCTTCTCACTGCCCACCCCCCCGCCACCACCACCCTACTGACTTTGATGAGCTGAACTGAACCACTCTTTTTTTTCTTTTTTTTCTTTTTTTTTTTTGAGACAGAATCCCGCCCTGTTGCCCAGGCTGGAGTGCAGTGGCACAATATCGGCTCACTGCAACCTCTACCTCCCAGATTCAAGCGATTTCTGGCTAATTTTTGTAGTTTTAGTAGAGACGGGGTTTCACCATGTTGGCCAGGCTGGTCTCGAACTCAAGTGATCTGCCCACCTCAGCCTCCCAAAGTGCTAGGGTTACAGGCATGAGCCACCCGTGCCAGGCCCTGAACACTTTTTTTTTCTTTTTCTTTTTTTTTTTTTTTTTGAGATGGAGTCTCTTGTTCTTGTCGCCCAGGCTGGAGTGCAGTGGCGCGATCTTGGCTCACTACAAGCTCCGCCTCCTGGTTTCATGCCATTCTCCTGCCTCAGCTTCCCAAGTAGCTGGGATTACAGGCGCCCGCAACCACGCCCAGCTGATTTATTGTATTTTTTAGTAGAGACGGGGTTTCACCGTGTTAGCCAGGCTGGTCTCGATCTCCTGACCTTGTGATCCGCCTGCCTCGGCCTCCCAAAGTGCTGGGATTACAGGCGTGAGCCACCGCGCCGGCCCTGAACCACTCTTCATCAACTTATCTGGGACCCTGAAATGAAATAGGGTGACCCATTTTCTAGCTTTATATGATTTTCTGGCTTCATATGATTTAAATATTTTTACCGTTTTTTGTTTGTTTTGTTTTGTTTTGTTTTTGAGACAGGGTCTCTGTCACCCAGGCTGAAATACAATGGCCCAATGACAGCTTACTCTAGCCTCGACCTCCCAGGCTCAGGTGATTCTACCACCCCAGCCTCCAGAGTGGCTGGAGCCACAGCCACGCACCTAACACCTGGTTCATTTTTGTATTTTTTTATAGAGACGGGGTTTTACCGTGTTGCCCAGGCTGGTCTCACACTCCTGGGCTTGACCAGTTCACCCTCCTTGGCCTTCCAAAGTGCTGGGATTATAGGCATGAACCACCGTGCCCAGCTTTTGAAAAACCTGTACAATAAAAAGTTTGGACTAATGTTCTTTGAGCCCTTAAAAAAATGCTATTCAATTAAAAAAAAAACAAACCTATAGTGTCTTATAACTCCAAATCCCATACTGTCACCCAACTGGTCTGCCCTGGTGACCACCATTTCCTGACAAACATTCAAATCACTCCTGAGGAATTGAAGAAATTCACATTTATGACCCAGTGACACTGGCCTTGTCTCAGTTCCTATAGTGTGTCATACTCTGTTCTGCACAGAAGTTTTGCTCATCCTATTCCTTTGTTTGCAGAGGTCCCTTCCCCATCCCCTATCTCTCAGGCAGACTCCTCATCTCAGTTTATTTACGACTTCCTCAGGGAAAGCCTTCCACACTTCCCTGACGGATGACTTTCCCCTGTTGTGTGTGCTCATAGCACCATTTACCTACTTCGTATACTTGTGTGGTTATTTTATGTTTATTTGTGTGATTCTTTGATTGGTGTCTGTGCTGTCCCAAGATTAAAAACTTCATGAGAGAAGAAACCATGTCTTTTTCTTGTTTTTGTTTGCCATTGTATCCCCACTGAGAACATGGTGAATAAATACGTGTTAAATGAATGAATGGCCTTTTTTTTTTTTTTAGCTGGAAGGACATAAAATTCTTACATACATATAGTTTTTAAGAATTATGGCTGCAGATATTTTGGATTTCATCTCTGGATTAAGTCAGAATGTCAGACAATTGTGTACTTGCACAGTAGTACTTTGTTCCTTTACATAATTGTTTTTTCTTAATTGAACTTTGGTAGTGTGCCCTTGGCTCAAATTGGCATATGCTGTAAGCAATAAAATGTTGCATTGATTGTATGGACACTCTTGAGGACAGTGTCTGCCATATCAAGTACTATCCATTATATCAGGTAATATCATCAGGACCCAGAGGAGAAATTTCTCTCTGATCTTACTCCCAGAAAAAAAAGTGTGCTTTTCTTGAGCAACTGGTCTGTTTTTGTCTCGGAAGCACTGTTGTCTTAGGCCTAACTTTTGTTTCCTGAAGCTCAAAGTCAGATTTGTGACTGACATCTAAAAATTAGTTAGGGGTTTCTGGCATACCCTGTGTAAGCTAATCTCAGTTTTAGTTTCATCTTAATCTCTAGAATTTTAACTGTGATTATGTGATTATTTACATATTTTATAGTTTGTTCAATAAAATACTTTTTTTTTTTGGAACAGAGTCTCACTCTGTCGGCCAGGCTGGAGTGCAGTGGCACGATCTCAGTTCACTGCAATGTCTGTCTCCTGGGCTCAAGCAATTCTCCTGCCTCAGCCTCCTGAGTAGCTGGGATTATAGGCATGTCCCACTATTCCTGGCCAATTTTTGTAGTTTTAGTAGAGACGGGGTTTCGCCATGTTGGCCAGGCTGGTCTCGAACTCCTGACCTCAGGTAATCCGTCCGCCTCAGCCTCCCAAAGTGCTGTGATTACAGGCATGAGCCACCGCGCCAGGCCTCAATAAAATATTTTATAAATACCTTTAAGGAATAATACAAACACAACCAGAGCTTAAATAAATAAATGTAAATCAGTCTGCTTGCTGGTTAAGTAATGAGTTCAGTGTTTCTCTCCGCACAGAAAGTGGGAGAGATAGATGAAGAAGAAAATAAAGCTTATTACATGTTGGGAAGGATGCTAGGCACTAAGTTCCTTTTTTTGAGACAGAGTCTCATTCTGTCGCCCAGGCCAGACTGCAGTGGCTCGATCTTAGCTCACTGCAACCTCCGCCTCCCAGGTTCAAGAGATTCTCCTGCCTCACCTCCCAAGTAGTTGGGACTACAGGCACCTGCCACCACGCCTGGCTAATTTTTGTATTTTTAGTAGAGATAGGGGTTCACCATGTTGACCAGGCTGGTCTCGAACTCCTGACCTGAAGCGATCTGCCTGCCTTGGCCTCCGAAGTGCTGCGATTACAGGCGTGAGCCACTGTGTTTGGCCAGTTCTAGGCATTAAGTTCTAATTGGTTCATTTGGGGACTCGAAATTCTCCATTTTATTTTATTTTATTTTTTCTGCTTTTGTCACAAAAGCACAGACATTGCTTAACAAAGAGGTCTGAGATGGGATATGAATGTTAAGCTCAGGGACATAGGGTCAACACTTTTGAGTGCACAGACTGGGAACCTGGCACAGTTTTAACAATCCCCTCCCCTATTTTCACCATCCCTTATTCCTGTAGAAGTAGAGCAGATGATTACGTATTCACTGCTATATGGCTTATTACCTTTGTAGGAATTCTAACTGAAGGGCTTGGCATTTGGCCTGACTGAATATCAGAATCCCTTTATTTTTCGTTCCATTGCAAAATAATTTTTTGTGCCATCAGTGAAATAACAGCTATGCAGTGGCATATACAGCTCTGGAGACCAGGCATTAGAAGACTGTGAGACAAGAATAACTAGAACGATGATAAGGAGACACTGGAAGTCACTTTAGATTGATGACCAAAGATTTCCTTATTTTGACCAGGAGGTCAGATCTCAAGGGTCCTTCTGAGTCCACTTTTGATTAGCCAAATTGTCTTTTCTTTCAGTTTGACTATAGGTTAGTCAACCTTCCCTCCACATTCATCAGGGAATGTTAGCAATATGTCATATTTTTTTCTTGGTGTACCATTAAGCAATCTAAAGCTATGCTGTTACCTGTAACCACTTGGATTAATTATTTTAGATTAGTTGGTTATACTTCTAGGTTTTATGGCTTTATCTTTTCAGTCAGCATTATTAACCAAGTTTTGGTAGCTTTTTCAAGTTTTGTAACCCCCATCCAGGGAGATCAGTGTCCTCTCAGACACTCCCAGGTAAGCATGATCTCCTGGAAGACGTGAGAAGTCTCTTAAATCATCTAATTATTACATTGGAGCTATATAATAACTCCAGTATACCTGGAGTTATTATGCATATATGCAAGTTAGGTTCTAATGAGGCAAATGTAAGTAAATATGTTGTTGATTCAGGAGGTAAAAATTAGGAGAGCCATGTGTAGTTTTAAGAACAAAAGAGGAATTACTTGTAACAAAAGTAAGTAAGAAAGGAATTCTCAGTTATCTCTTGGGTAGAGATACCTTGCATAGAGTTCAGCAAAAATTCCAAAGGTTGTCATAGGACTATGGAGGCCATTAGGCTAATTAAAATTTATAATATTGCCCATATATTTGTACTAAGTCTCATTCCTGAAGGATTTTATATTTGGGTTGAGGCTTTGAGAAATTCTAAGACTGGCTTGAGCAGTAAAACAAACCAAGTAAAAATTGCCATGGCTGTAAATAGTCAAAAAGGGGTAAGCTAAGTTTCTGCAAACTAAACAATTTCAGAGGGTGTAAGAATGTATTGGATAAAGGATGAAGATAAAAAGCACTTTGAAGACTATTGATACTCATCAGATTTTACCACTGATAATTTTTCAAGAGGAACTGTTTATGAAACTGTAAAGAGAAAATGGAGATACAAAAAGCCATCCAAGATGTAAATGCCGAAGGCCAAGTTTTGAGATAAACAGAAAATCACGAAAACTCATGTCTGGTGGATCTTCCATGGCCCCAGTGTGAGCAGACAGTATTTTCCTTGAGGAGAAATACTAGTTTGGTGGGGGTAAGGTAGGGAGTTAGTTTAAGGATTAATCAAGAGAACTATACATGTGCTATTTAGGTTGAGGGAAAAGATCAGAATAGGCATGGGCAAAGCCTAGACTCAAATCAAGTTATCTATCAAGCAAGCTGACATATTCAGACAGTTTATTAATTACTTAGAGAAATGCATGATCAGCATAGTGTCAGCTCCTCATGTCCCTCATCCGCAGGGTAACACTGAAACTAAACGGGACCACATGATAGGTAACATGAGTGGTGGGCACTCTGGCTGAGGAACAGTTTCCATCCTGTAGCTAAGTAGTTTTTTAGCCTACAGCTACATCCTAAGGAGTGGGCAAGGTGGTGAATCTCAGACCTCATGGAACCAGGGAAGGTGGATGAGAAACTGCCTCCCAGCAGGCTCCCACAAAATATGGAGGTTGGTAAGAAATAGCCTTGTAGCAGCACCTCACAATACTGCCTATCTTTCCATATTCTGAAGGAACACAGAGCATTCTGCCAAAGCTTAGGTCAGCCTATCGTTGGGCTTACGTAAGTAGCCTATGTGGAGGCATGCGAGTTTTCCAGGGCACGAGTACAGAGCAGTTATCCTACCTTATCATCTATAGTAAGGAAGAAACGACCGTGTGAATTAGTACAAAAGCATGAAAAGAAAAATGTTATAAGTAATCATTTCAAACATCTAGGAAATTTTGTTCTGTTGGTCTTAGGATAAGCATTCTGCTTCTATTAAGTTGTTTGCTCCTGGACTGCAAAGAAATCCTAGAGATTCTGACACAGTCACTTGGCACATTCTGAAGATTGTCTTTTTTTGTGGTGATCATATTATCCCAAGAAGTTTGCATTCATGAGTAATGTCATTGTACTATCATCTATCAGGAGTACTTGTATAGTCTTTTATAGAGGCTTTTGTGTTTCTTCCAGAAGACTCAGTTTCTGATCTGTAGCTTGTAACAGGAGCCTTTAGGCAAGCATAAAAAAAAAGCAGAAACTACTGTGGAGGTAAGACTGAATAGTTGAGGTTAATTTATTTTAATAGCCATCAATATCAGAGTGGAAAAAAGTAGAATCCTCTATTAAGGCATATCAGTTTGTAAAGATTTAATGAATAATTACCTTAGAATAAGAACATCATGGGTGACGAGGGTACTGACCATTTTCAGAGTCTTGAATTTTTATACCATAGGGTATTATGATTTTCCCCAGTTGTCTCAATCTAGATACTTAGATCTAGAGAAAAAATATTTTTAACTATTTTTTAAAATAACAGCTTTATTGAGATACATTTCACTTTTAAAGTGTACAGATCACTGGTTTTTAGTATATTCAGAGTAGTACAGTCATTACCACTATTTAATTTTAGAACATTTTCACCACTCCACAAAGTAACCCTTTACCCACTAGCATTCACTCCCTATTTTTCCCTCTAATCTACCTGGCAACTCCTAATCTACTTTGTATCTGTATAGATTTGCCTAAGATATAAAATCTTTTAAAATTATTGTTTATTAACTGAACAGTTATTTACCAGTCATTGGTACAAGAACATGAATATGCTCCTTTTTTAAAAAGGACATAATCAGTCTATTGTGTTTATATTAATAAAACGTCACATATATAATTAATTGACTGAGGAACTTATCTATTTGATGTATTACATTTTTTAAAGTCTTGTGTTTAGTAAACAAAACAGCTCTTATATAATAGTATTAAGCTAGTTCAAAATCTAGAGAATGATAAGAACTCTTAATTATTTCTATTACCTCTTCTAGGTATTTCCCAAGATCACTAGGTTAGTATCTGATACATTACTAGGTGTTCAATTAAGAAAGCTTTATTTTATTTTGGTGATAGAGCTGGAATTAGAATCCAGCTTTCCTCCCATGGAGTCTCCTTCTCTTTCCATTATACCACACATGCTTTCCACATGCGTCCAAAGCTGACATTTCAAAGGGTTTGGAAGCAGTTCATAGTGTGAATTATTTTTCTCTATTTCCTCTTTCTCTCGCATTTTTTGTAGCCATACAAAAATATACAAGTTTAAATCTGCTATTATATGAATGCTGAAATGATAAGTAGGCTAAGGGAAACTAAAAAAAATTTTAAAAGCTTGCAGTGTTTTATATCTCGTAACAAATATAAATGACCCACATTTCACACTTAAATAATGTATGTAAAGTAGGACATGAGTTTATGGGCATTTTTAGCATGTTTACTTTGTTTTTAAATAGCTCTAGTTAAAATGCTAAATATGAAGCAGTGATTTCCAGATGTAATTTTTTTTATGCTTTAAGGAGCTCACGTTGAAGGAGAGGCGCAGTAAAAGAAAGGATAAACACTTATAGATTTTTTTTGTCATTTGTGTTTTAAATTTTATTGTGGTATAAATGTAGATAGCAAAGTACACAATACTTAAATGTATAACTTGATGGGTTTTTACAAATGTGTATAATGTATATATAGTAATCACACAGATTAATATACAGAATATTTCAGTACCTCAGAAGTTTCCTTAATACCCCTTTTTTTGTCACTTGCACTCGTGCAAGAGGTAATCACTATTCTGACTTCTGTTATATATTGGTTTGTCTGTTTTCAAAGTGCATATACATGAAATCATACAGTACTGTCTTGTGTCTGGCTTCTTTCACTCCTCATTATGTCTATAAGATTCCTCTATATTGTTTTTTTGTAGCAGTTGTTAATTTTTTCTTTGTAGTATTCTATGATATAAATAAAGCATAATTTATATATCTATTTGCCTGTTGATAGAGATTTGTTATTTATAATTTTTTACTATTATGACTACAGCTGTCAAAAACATTCTTATACTTGTCTTTTGGTGAATATGTGCACTCATTTTCTCGGATTGTAAGGTTTTGTAGTTTATAAAAGTTCAAAACATTTTAATTGAAATAGCCAGAATGCCAAGACTGCCTCATAAGCAATTTTCAAGTCTAAGTGAATATTACCTCTCTGATTTTATAGTAGAAGCTGGGGAAAATTCCAGTGACTTTACAGCCACTTTAGGGTCGTATCATATGCCTCTTCTATGATGCAAGAGTTATGGGTATTATACATTCAGGGATTCAGTAAATAGCAAGGTGCCATGCTAGGTGCTAGAGATACCTCTGTAAAAGACAGTCATACACCCTGCTTTCACCAATGAACAAACAAGTCATTTGACATAATGTACAGAGTGCAATGATAAGAGAAATGAGAACTAGCAGAGGAGTACTTAGAATGAAGCATCTCACCTAAATCTGGGTAGTAATGGGAGACATCTTGTAGGAAATGACATCTAAACTGCATCCGAAATACTGAATTGGAATTAGCCAGGTGAAAGAGGTGTGGTGAGGCTGGTGACATGAGCTGGGCATTGAGAGATTTTAGGCACTTTTTAAGGCTTGTAGACTTGAGAAATTGAAAGTAGCTGGGTGAGCAGAGGGAACCATTGAAGATTATCTTTTTATTATAGAACACCTCAAAAAGAATAGAATGAATCCTCGTATACACATCCCAGTTTCAGCAGTTACCAACTCATGGCCAATCTTATTAAGACCACGTCCACTATCCGTAGTGGATTATTTTGAAGCAGATTTGAGATATATCATATCATATCATTGAAGATTTATGGCAGGAGAGTGACATGATCAGTTTTGTATTTAAGAAATTACACATACCTGGTAATTCTAAATTACCTTTAAAATGCCCACACCATAGTTTAGTTGTTTTTCATTTGCTGCCATTTATACATAGACAGTTACCTTTCTGCATGTACTATTTGTAGTAGTTTGCACTTTTTCAAACTATAGTGTTTTGGAAGTATGATTAAATGTTAAAATTGTTTTATGTATTCATCTTTCCATGTGTATCGGTTGGTTTATTTGCATTTTAAAATACTATTAATGAATATTTTGGTTTCTATCTATAAAATGTCATAATCAATATAAAAGTCAGTTTGTTTCTAGGATTCAGCCTCCATAATAGCAAAGATACTAGTATTTGGAAAGAAATTAGATTTATAGTTCTACTATGAATCTTTTTTACAGATTCAAGTTGAGGAATTGTTTTGTGGCTTGAGTTTTGTTACTATCTGTGTATGAAAATTTGGTTTTTTGTTTGTTTGTTTACTTAGTGTTTGTTGGTAAGAATTAATATTGACTGGCTGGGCACGGTGGCTTGCACCTGTAATCCCGGTATTTTGGGAGGCCAAGGCAGGCAGATCACTTGAGGTCAGGAGTTTGAGACCAGTCTGGCCAACGTGGTGAAACCCCCATCTCCGTAAAAATACAAAAATTAGTCGGATGTGATGGCGTGTGCCTGTAATCCCAGCTACTCGGAGGCTGAGGCACGAGAATCGCTTGAACCTGGGAGGTGGAGGTTGCAGTGAGCTGAGATCGTGCCACTGCACTGCAGTCTGGGTGACAGAGTGAGACCCTGTCTCAAAAAATATATATATACATATAGATAGATATATTGCTTTTTAAAAAATTTATTTTTTTCAGATTATGAAAAACATTTGTATTAAATATGACCAACAGTACTAGTTTTGAATAAAATGTTTTACACAGATAAGTTTAAAAAAATAGTATGACCCCAATCCAAAAGAAGGACGGTGACACAAACAGGCAAAGTATGCAAGCAATATAACAGGCAGGGAAAATTCAACTTCACTAGTCATCAAAGAAAGTAAAATTTTAGACCTATTAAGCTGGCAAAAAAAACCAACTGAAATTCCACCACCAACATTAGTAAAGTTGTAGTAAAACTAATCTGCTGATTCACTGCTAAAGATGATCTAAATTGGTGCAGCCCTTGTGCAAAGCATCATGGCGATACACGTCAAAATTCATGAGCATGGTAATTTCTGTAGACCAGAAATCTCACTCTTAAGTAAGCCCCATATCAAGAATAAAATTCAACCAAAGAATTACTTCATGCTTAAAAATGCTTATTGCCGAGTTATCGGCAAGCAATCAAATGCCCAGCTCTATGTGAATTATTTATGATATAAAAGAACTTGATCAAATGAATATACAGCCATGAAATGTAAAATATTTAAGTACAAAATACAAATTGTCGTATGCACACCAACTAAAATTTCTGAAAATATGTAAGCACAGGAAAGGGAACAATACAATAAAGAAAAAAGTTATGATTCAAATGAAGAAATGTTTAATTATTTGATACTGATACAGTATTTTTTAACTTAAAATGAGACAGATCCTTATGTGCCTTTTGAGGTTTCCCTTTAAGCCACATGCCTGTATTATCTATTGAAAGAATTATTTTTTAGAAATAAAAATAAAAAAAGAATAATTTGGCCGGGTGTGGTGGGTGGCTCACACCTGTAATCCCAGCACTTTGGGAGGCCGAGGCAGGCAGATCACGAGGTCAGGAGATTGAGACCATCCTGGCTAACACGGTGAAACCCCGTCTCTACTAAAAATACAAAAAATTAGCCGGGCGTGGTGGCAGGCGCCTGTAGTCCCAGCTACTTGGGAGGCTGAGGCAGTAGAATGGCGTGAACCCGGGAGGCGGAGCTTGCAGTGAGCCGAGATGGTGCCACTGCACTCCAGCCTGGGCGTCAGAGTGAGACTCCATCTCAAAAAAAAAAAAAAAAATTTAAGAACTGTATGCATAGGGACAAGCCATAAGCTGCACCAACTGGATCCTAGATCCTCTTTCGCCAAGGGCAGCCCATTCTTGGTTCTTAGATTCCTTTTATTTTAAAACTATAGCTGTCTATGAGCCACTAAGTTAAAAATACCTTCCTGTAAGTCGAGTGTTTCTTAGAGCATTTTAGTTTAATTCCTTTTTTTGAAGAAAATTTAGTAGATGGTAACTATTGGAGTACTTTGGGATAGCACTGTATTTATTCATGCATTCATTTTGTGAGAATCAGTGATTTTAATCTAAGAGGTTTGCAAACTTCGGCTGCTGATAATGGTTCTTACATTCTTAAAGGAATGTTAAATGAAGACGAATTCGCAACAGAAACCATATATGGCCTGCAAATGTAAAATATTTACTATCTGGGCCTTTATAGAAAAATTTTTCAAGTGCTTGTCTAAATGAATATAACATAAATCCTTGGCATATGCTTTTTTTCTTTTGAAAATCTTTCTGTAAGATTTGTTTTAGAATGATATTTGAAAATTAAAATTTTCCTTCTATAGAGAAGATGGCGAATTAGAAGATGGTGAAATAGACGATGCAGGATTTGAAGAAATACAAGAAAAAGAAGCAAAAGAGAATGAAAAGCAGAAAAGTGAGAAAGCCTACAGAAAATCAAGAAAAAAACATAAGAAAGAGAGAGAGAAGAAAAAATCCAAAAGGAGAAAACGTGAGAAACATAAGGTTAGTTAGAATCTACTTTTTATTCTTTTGATAAATGTTTATGAAATATAAAATACTGAAAATTAGAAAGTAGAAGTCATTATTTTATTATAAAACATGTGGATTAGATATTTTCATTTATGTGATTAAACTTTCTAAACAAAGATTATATGAATTATCTTAAAGATTTAAAAAGTAATTAAGTTAAATCTTTTTTTTTTTTGAGATAGGGTCTATTGTCCAGGCTTGAGTGCAGTGGCACAATTTTGGCTCACTGCAGCCTTGATCTCCCAGGCTTAGGTGATCCCCCACTCAGCCTCCTGAGTAGCTGGAACTACAGGTGCACACCACCACACTTGGCTAATGTTTTATTTTTAGTAGAGACAGGGTTTTGCCATGTTGCCCAGGCTGGGCTCAAACTGCTGGGCTCAAGTGATGTGCCAACCGTGGCCTCCCAAATTGCTAGGTTTACAGGTGTGAGCCACCACACCGGGCTTCAAGTTAAATTTTAACGCAGATTGAAATAAATAATATTTTAATTGATGGAAGCTTGTATACATGGATATTGGAAGATTAAGGAAAGAGAGTTTCATTCTCTACAGATACAGATTAGCAGCATTGGCATTGTCCATCTATTTATTATTCATTTAGGTATATGATCGAGTGCTTACTATGGAAACCTTTATGCTGTATGCTGAGGGTTATAGTAGTGAGTGAAATAGTTGGCTCTTAAAGAGTTTACATTGCAATGGGAAAGCTATGAAAAAAACAACAAGGTACTGGATAGAGAATTATGTGGATTTGGGGTAGGGAAGAAGGGGAACCTATGCTGACTGAGAAATCATGGACAAGTTGGCAGCAATGTAGGAGCAGGTTTTGAAACTCCCTGAATTTCCTCCATTAAAATCACATCAATTAGGATAACACAACCAAAACCCATTGACAACATCTACAAAAAAAGGAAGAAACAAGTTATCTCTAATAAACCTAAAAAGTACAAATGACTGGAGCCAAACGATAGACAGCAACAAGAGCAGTGTAACAACAGCATCAGTACAAATGAAGCAGAGGGAAAATAAAGGGACTTCCAGAAACCAAGTTGCCAACAGATATTCACCTCAAATGGTCAGTGCCCAGCACGGAAACCTCATGGGCCTGAGAACAGCAACAGAAACTGGGAGGGGGCTGTGCTATCACCAGTTCATGCATGAATGTAAGGTGACCACAGAAATTGGATGGTGCTGAAAAGATCTGGACCTGATGAACCCCAAATATGAATCAACCAAATTCCTTTTTATGACAGAGTCCCACACTGAGGAGGTAACTGCTGGAAGTAAAGTCTACATTGAGAAACAGGCATATAGGGCCAAGGAAAGAAATAGTCAGATAACAAATGGGGGAAGGAAGCAGAAGAGGCATAGCTCAGAAAATAGCCATATTTTTGAATACTTCATGCTAACAACAGAAGAGATAACCCTAGAGCTATGAAGCTAGGAAAGCTTTATTGGCCCATTCCATCCATTTTTTTCACATGAGAAGCAAGATAAGACTATGGTCACATTCCATAGTTGTTATTGTAAGATAAAAGAGAATAATGGAGAGTAAGTCTTCCAGAAAAGAAAGCATGCCCACAAAGCATATGAAAAATTTAACCTAATATTTTAAAATGACAAAAAATTAAGAAAACAATATAAGCTATGCTCAAACAGCATAGAATAATAACAAAACAAAACAAAACCAAAAGGAAGTACTTAATAAAATTATAAGCAGAAGTGAATGAATTAGAATGAAAACCAATAGTTTTTTAAAAAAGATCAACAACATATATATCATTGACCAAACTTATCAATAATAAAAGGGAAAAGAAAAATAAATGTATATATGCTGAGGGTGAAATAACTATCAAAAAGGAAATTCAAATCATAAGAAATTTATGTATATAATTTTATGAAAATAAATATTAAAAGCAAGATGAAATGGAAAATTTTCTAGAAAAGTACTACCTAACAAAATTAATTCTAGAGAGTCAAAAAGTCTGAGACTTTTTGGAGTTTGTAATCTACCCTACCAAGAAACACAAGGACCAAATCTTTTCAGAGTATAATTCTATTAGTATTTTTCAGGTGAAAGGTTTTCCTTAGAGCTGGAGCTGACTTCTGATGGTGACTGAGCAAACATGGCTTTTAAATAGACACTATTTATTTTAAATCCTAGCCAAGAATGATTAGATACTTAAAGTTGAAGCATTTGACAGCATAATTATAAAAATATTTCTTTATGTCACCTATCAAATCAACAAAGACAAAAGCAATAAAATCATAAAAACCAAACTCCAGACCATTTAGGAACAAGATGGAGGAAAGCAATTTGTCTTTCCTAAAATAACATTTCAGGATGGATTAGAGAAAAACAGAGCCTTCCCTTGTAAAAGCATCAGAGTTCAATCATTTCAGCAAATTTTTACTGAGTTTGTACTAGATCTAGATGCTGGGACTGCAATGATAATAATACACAGAGCCAGTGTTTTCATTGCTAGGAAATGTAAGAACTCTTTAAAGAGAATGCTCAACTCGGGAAGGTAATCATTCTGACCAGATGGAGGAGATTTGGTCCCATTTTTTTTGAAATTGTATTAATACTTGAAAAAGCTTACTCTTGATATCAATTATCATTGTACTTGACATCAATAATCATTATCAATTACTTATGCTTTTCATTTCACTTTTGTTCAATTTTGTGGGCCAGATTTATTTTATTTTTGTAATTTGTAATGTTTTGGTATCTTTTAGTTTTAGGGTACTCATGCAATAGAATAAGAACTCCAAAGCCATTTTAGGTAAAAACAAATTAATACATACTCTACTCATGTTCTATGACCTTTCTTGGTGATCTAGGAGCCAATTTTACTTTCTTTAGGTTTAGCTTAAATGTAGATCATTTTAGAGCATAGGGGCAGAATATTTCTGTTTAGGTCAAAGGGATGATGAGGAAAATGTCATAAAGTCTCTGAGCAGAGAGGAAGATAGACTTCTCAGAAAACCTCAGCGAAGTTGGAATGGTGGTGGCCTTTGGGGCAAGAATTTTTCAGTAGTACTTCAGAGTCTCCTGGAATAATATAATCTACTGGTTGGTACCTCTGGCTGAAACAAGCTTATCTAATTACTAGTTAAATTTTCTTCCTTTTGCAAATGTAACATATTTGTCTTTCCCCTCCCTTCAGCATAATTCCCCATCTAGTGATGATAGTTCGGACTACAGCCTTGATTCAGATGTTGAACATACAGAAAGTTCCCATAAAAAAAGAACTGGTTTCTACAGGGATTATGACATTCCATTTACTCAGGTATTGCCATTTTTTTGTTTTGTGATAAAACATAGATAGCATAAAATGTACCATTTTAACCCTTTTAACTGTACAATTCAGTGATATTAAGTATATTGACAGTGTTGTTCAATCATCACCACTTATCCATTTCTAGAAATTCTTGATCATTCCAAACAGAAACTCAGCACCTATTAAGCAATAACATCTCGTTTTCCCCTGCCCCCAGCCCCTGAAAACCACTATTCTATTTTCTGTTTCTATGGATTTGCCTATTCTAGGTATTTCATGTAAGTGGAATCATACAGTATTTGTTCTTTTGTATCTGGCTTATTTCACTTAACATAATATTTTAAAAGTTCACCCAAGCTGTAGCATGTGTCAGAATTTCATTCCTTTTTAAGGCTGAATAATATTCCGTTGTGTGTATATATCACATTTTGTTTATCCATTCATCTGTTGATGGACACGTGGGTGTTCATGAAAAAAAGCTTCTACCTTTTGCTATTGTGAATCATGCTGCTTATGAACATGGGTATTCAAAAATCTTTTTAAGACTTCTTTCAGTTTATTGGGGTATATATTTAGGAGCAGAATTGCTAGATCATATGGTGATTCTATGTCCAACTGTCTGAGGAACCATGAAACTTTTCCACAGTGGCTGCACTATTTTACATTATTTACAATGTTTACATATTATTTACATTACAATAATGTAAGTATAAAAATACATTTACATTATTTACATAATGCCTGAGGGTTTCAATTTCTCTACATCCTTGCCAACGTGTGTTTTTTTTCTTTGTTTTCTTTTGGAAACAGAAAATGAGTATGAAGTGGCATCTCATTGTGGTTTTGAGTATTGCCCTTTTAAGAGAAAAATTAAACTTTCAATTTTATTCTTTCTGGTATTTTATCAGACATAGGCTGTAAATTTGAAATCTTTGAACAAAAGAATACATAATGTATTAGTTTGCTAGAGCTAACATAACAAAATTTTATAGACTGGGTGGCTTAAGCAATAGAAATGTATTTTCTCACAGTCTGGAGTCTAGAAGCCCCAGATCAAGGTGCCAGCAGGGTTGGTTTCTTTTGAGGGCTGTAAGGGAAGGATCTGTGCTAGGCTTCTCTCCTTGGTTTGTCACTGGCCTCCTTCTCACTGCTTTGTCCTAACATGGTCATCCCTCTGTGTGCAGGAACCCCTGGTGTTTCTCTGTGTCCAAAATTCCTCTTATTATAGGGACATCAGTCAAACTGGATTAGAGCCCACTTTAACAGCCTCATTCTAATTTAGTCACCTCTTTAAAGGCCCTATCTCCAAATATACAGTATTTTGTGCTAGGCAAGTTATGATGCTTCTCAGAGTCACTAGGAAGTATTTGGATCAGTGTGCACTTATCTGAAAAGCCCCAAAGTTTCTGAGTTCTCGTTTTTGCCAGTCTCACTGTTCTGGTCTACAAGAGCACTATTTTTTCTCCTAATTTGGTGTTCCTAATCTCTTGTGAGTTTAGAAACCAAAATACTATTTTTGTTAGAGTTATTTCTATAGTCTGATTCACTGTTGCCGCCTTTATAGTTGAGATTGCTAAGTGACCATTAAATAAATGAGGTTTTATTAAAATATCTTCTCTTAAAATTTGAAAAGAATTATACACTAGTTAATAATTTTATCTAGTTGGGTAAATATCAGAATGTTTATAAGGTCAATATGTCCAGTGATTTTAGAGTCAGTGGTTGTTGCTATTTCTCAGAACATTTTATAACTGTTCATTAAAAATATTTTTACCACAAGTGACAAAACTTTTAATTCAGCAACACTGATATGTAGTTAGATTTATTCTTTAGAAATATTCAAAAGTCATTTGGAGACTCTTACAATGAATGAAAAGATGCTAAGGATGGGCATTATTATTTCAAGTGAGAAGACATTTGAAAATATCAAGTAATGAGACAGGTTCTGGATTCATAAGTTATCACTGAAAGTAACCCCAAAGAGGAAGTTCCAAATATTTAAAATAGTGGCAGCATTATTGTAATAAGTACATAGCCTTCTATGTGGCCACTGTGGGAGGCAAGATGGATTTGTATGTATAAACAATAATGCAGTTGTTTTAGGTATCTCACATTTTTTAAACATTATGCAGTTATTTATTGTTAATATTACGCTGACTATTATATATCCCTGTAGACATACTGTTTTATTTTTGCTTCAAAAAAATCAGTTAAAGAAATTAAGAAAACGGATGGTCTTTTATATTTATCTACATTTCATTTCCAGTGTTCTTCACTTTTTTTGTAGATCTGAGTTTTAATATGATACCATTTTCTTTTAGCCAGACGCACTGCATCGTTTAGCCTTTGCTTAGCATATCTTATAGCACAGGTTTGCTATCAAATTCTCTCAGTTTTTATTTATTAGGCCAATGTGTTTATTTTATCCTCATTTTTTATAACTTTTCATTTTGTCATAATTTCAGGCTTACAAAAAAGTTGCAAGAATGGTGCAGAGAACTCCTGTATATCTTTCATCCAGATTCCCCAGTTAACGTTTTACCACATATGCTTTACCTAATCTTTCTTCTCTAGTCTTCTCTTCCCTTCAGAGAGATCTAATTTGCCTTTATTTATTTATTTGAGACAGAGCCTTGCTCTGCTACCCAGGCTAGAGTGTAATTTGCCTTTAAACCTATCTATTAAGTATTTTTCATACGTAGAAATTTGGTTCTTTAAAATCTTCTAAGTCATTTTTATAGTTTCAAGTTTGCTGCTGAAATGTTCATATTGTCTTTTACTTGAAAATAGCAGACTTCAGATACAAATTTCTATATCTGAAGTCTGTATTTCTTTTTTTTTTTTTTTTGAGACGGAGTCTCACTTTGTTGCCAAGGCTGGAGTGCAGTGGCGTGATCTTGGCTCACTGCAACCTCTGCTTCCCGAGTTCAAGTGATTCTCTTGCCTCAGCCTCCCAAGTAGCTGGGACTACAGGCATACGCCACCACACTTGGCTAATTTTTGTATTTTTAGTAGAGACAGGGTTTCACCATGTTGGCCAGGCTGGTCTCAAACTCCTGACCTCAGGTGATCTGCCCACCTCTGCCTCCCAAAGTGCTGGGATTATAGGCGTGAGCCACCGTGCACGGCCTGAAGTCTGTATTTCTATTGCCTGTTATTTTTTGCTGGTTCTCTTTCATGTGATCCTATCTCTTCATAAGCCAATTTTTGTTTTCAGTTTTTTCTATTCTGTGCTGAGCATTTTGTAGAAATAACTTTAGGCCTAGGATGATGTTCTTTTCCTTCAGAAAGGATTTTTACTTACTTCTGCCAGATTTCTGGTGACCCTTACAAACTTTATTCCAATTTCAGGATTTGAGACCTCTGAGCCACTCAGATTCCTGAAGGCTGGGCTGCAGTCTGTGATTCGCATTTTGAGATCCCCTTATAATTGAGGATGGGGTTTACTAAGCTTCCACCTTTTCCAGACTCTGGACTCCACCTTTTGTTTCCATAGACAACAGAGACAGTCTAAAGTGCTGTTGGATCTCTCACCTGGTTCTTCCTGATGGGGTGATACTCTCGGAGCAAATGCAGCTCCAAATGCTGCCCACTTCTCAGGATTTTCATCTACTCCATGGGTATTGGTCTAGTAATCCTTCACTAATTTGTTAGCTGTCTGATGTCTACAAACGGATTTAAGAAAAATATTTTGTCTAT
Organism: Homo sapiens; assembly: GCF_000001405.40. Classification (NCBI taxonomy): domain Eukaryota; kingdom Metazoa; phylum Chordata; class Mammalia; order Primates; family Hominidae; genus Homo; species Homo sapiens. The sequence goes on from NC_000002.12 coordinate 112,307,042, forward strand.
CTTTTCTACTTTTTTTAAGAGAGACAACTAGTCTGAATTGCCCAGTCTGCTATTTACAAGAAGAGAAAGTTCAGTACCATTTCTTCCATATATATATTTTAGAGTTGACTCACTGAGAATTAAGATTATATCCTAATTACATCCAAAAATCCCTTTTCTTAGATAACAAGTATCTGCTATATAACTTCTACAATTACAGGGCAAAATTTGAATATACTGTTAACCCCCCAGCAGTTAAATTAGAGAACTTAATTTAGCTTCTTTTTTCCTCATCTTTTTTCAGGGCCTCCTTTTCCTTTATTTGTTTCCAGTGATTGCTGTGGGGCTTGTTTTTGTTTTACAGAAACCAACTCTATCCCTGCAGACATTCTAGCAGTTTGTATAGCCAAATAATCAGTTGGCAAAGTGATTACAAAAGCTATCTATTTTTGTGGAATTTGTTGTCTTTTTCATTTATCTTCTCTCGGTTGGACTTGAAAAAATACCTGCTAGACCCTCGCCCATGAGTGCGTTTTGTTCATCCCAATGATGACCATATGAACCATAAGGAATATATGAACCACTCTAGAAAAGCGGGGCTGCTCTGTCACCCTTCATTCATTTCATGCTTCCTGGAAAACTCATACAACGTGGTGTGAATGCGAATGTGAAGGACCTTAGCAGTCCACACTAGAAGTCTTTAACCACAAAAGGAGCCCTGGGATGGAACGTGCATTCTTAGGGGACTATTAAGAATATTTACAGTTGGGAATCTAGGGAGGAGGTAAATGAAAATTTAGGGATAATTCTACTTAAGGTAAGAACACAGAGATTATTTTGATAAAGCTATGCCAATCAGAGAACTGAATTAATGTTAAGAATTTAAAACTTGTATGAGAAGCATCTAATCTCCAGAGAAAAATTGATACTCATCTATTAACAAAGTAATCTTCAATCATAAAGTGTTGAAATATATCAAGTATTAATATAGTCACAGTTTTAATAAAAGGAAATATAACCATCATTTAACTAGTTAATTTAATCTTCAACTTAATCTAAGCAATTATTTTTTGTTTTGCTTTAGTTTTCATAGTGGCTTTAAAAAATGTCAGAAACACTGTTTTGGCTACAATCATAAATTCCCTTTTGAACTTCTGAAGTGCTAGACTAAGAATGGAGTTCATAAACTTTAAAAAGTACTACTTAAAACAAATCAAAAATATGATAGTGTTTTTAAAATTTAAAATTGATGAGTGAATTGGTTTTCTTGATTAGTTATGCATTTTTTCTCTATTTTATAATTAGAAAGATCTAATACTTCATTGCATTTCATTAAATACGTAGTCTCATGTTGGTATTTTGCCAGAGTAGTATTTTATTTTATTTTATTTATTTATTTATTTATTTATTTATTTATTTATTTTGAGACAGGTTCTCACTGTGTCACCCAGGCTGGAGTGCAGTGGTGCGATCTTGGCTCACTGCAACTTCCTTTCACCTCCTGGATTCAAGCAGTTCTCCTGCCTCAGACTCCTGAGTAGCTGAGACTACAGGTGTATGCTACCACATTCAGCTCATTTTTGTATTTTTTGGTAGAGACGGTGTTTCACCATGTTGGCCAGGCTCTTCTCGAACTCCTGACTTCAAGTGATCCACCTGCCTCAGCCTCCCAAAGTGCTGGGATTACAGGCGTGAACCGCTGTGCCCGGCCAGAGTAGTATTTTAATATCACATTTAAAATGCACTAACCTGGCCAGGCACAGTGGGTCACACCTGTAATCCCAGCACTTTGGGAGGCTGAGGCAGGCGGATCACAAGGTCAGGAGTTCGAGACCAGCCTGGCCAACATAGTGAAACCCCATCTCTACTAAATATACAAAAATTAGCCGGGCATGTTGGTGCGCGCCTGTAATCCCAGCTACTTGGGAGGCTGAGGCAGGAGAATTGTTTGAACCCAAGAGGCAGAGGTCGCAGTGAGCCAAGATCATGCCACTGCACTCCAGCCTGGGCAACAAGAGCGAGACTCTGTCTCAAAAGAAATAAATAAATAAAATAAAATGCACTAAGCTAAAGATGAATTATTTGGTTTGGATTTGTCTAGATCCTTAAGTTGTAATTATGTGCAATTTTTTCTCGCTTTACTAAAAAAAATTGACAGAGGATACAATAGAACTAATAAAAATATTTCAGTGAATAGAGACAGACCTGAATACTGTCATTTAATAAACTTCTAGTACTAAAGTGTATTCTTTGTTTTCACATGCTTTAGTAAGGAAGCAATAAAACTAATCATGTTTGTTGTAATAAACAGTTTCTAATAAGCAACTTATTCACTAGATGTTTTTCACTATTAGGGAAAGCTCTGTTTTTTCTATTAGACCCTTGATATAGACATTTTCTTTTTATAAAATTTTCCACACATACAGTTTTTTATTAAATATAATGTAATTTGAGAATTTTCCAGTGTTAGGAGAAATAGTATGTTTTACCACACTCCTCCACCCCAAGCTATTTAACTATCTTTTCCCTATTTTCAAAAAGGCCTTTTCATTTTTTGGAGGAAAAATTTATGTATGATTGTGTGTATTTTTACTTTTTCCTGTGTGTAAGATACTGAGACATAGAACATAGAAAGCAAAGGCTAAAGCATAAAGATAACAATATTTAATTATCTCAGGGTAACATTTAGGCTTTTGAAGTTAGTGTTAAGTAGTATCATAGATAAGTACTGATCAAGAGTCAGAACTAATAACTGTCTTTTCTCCTTTCTCCAAACTTGCTGGGGGGAAAAGGATGTCCTGTGCTACTGTCAATTGCTATATATAATTGAAAAATCCTGATAATGATTGTCCATTTTCACTTAGCGTGGACATATATCAGGAAGCTACATAACATCAAAGAAGGGTCAACATAACAAAAAATTTAAAAGTAAAGAATATGATGAGTACAGCACCTACAGTGATGACAACTTCGGTAACTACAGTGATGACAACTTTGGTAACTACGGTCAGGAAACAGAGGAAGATTTTGCCAATCAGCTGAAACAATACAGGCAAGCTAAAGAAACCTCAAATATTGCTTTAGGGTCATCATTTTCTAAAGAATCAGGAAAAAAACAGAGAATGAAAGGAGTTCAGCAAGGTAAGTTTGAAATTACAGTCTGTCTTAGAATGTGAGAACCTTATTAAAACAGGCAGCTATGGAGTAAAAACTTAGAAACTTATCCCTGTTCAAGATTAGCTTATTCTTGTAGAACCTAAATTCATTTTCTTTTATTTTGTAGACCTTGAGAACAGAATCTACAAATATTTCAATCTGTATGATACATGAATATTTCAGTTGGAAAGATATTCTAATGATTTAAAAATACATAAAAATGCAATACAACTTTCTTATATTTTTCCCCTTGCTTCTGTGTCATGTCAGTATACAGTTATCTCTGTTGCTGTATGTATTGCTTTAAATTTAGACCAGCTGGGAAGCTATACTTTTATTAGGCTTTAAAATACAGCAGTCATTTTTGCTAAGCAAGTGTGCATGGACTATGAACATCTTTTAAAATTGGAGATAAAAACATAATCTAAAGACATTTCTGCACTGATCACCTGTTTATCTGCAATATTGAATTACATGGTCCCTGGAGAGACCAGGACAAGTTGCCAGCTCTTGACAATAAGTGAAGAAACTATGGGTCATGTAAGCCTCAAATCAGCCTTAAGTATTGGCTAGTCAATGTATCTGCTTCAGGAAAAGTGGAGCAATATGAGACTGAAATGAAGTAGTGAGGAGCCACACTCTGTATAACTACCCTTTAATTATCTTTGCATACAGGAATCAGTTATGAGTAAATTTGGTTATTTCTATGACTTTATTTTTTCTCGATTTCCTAGCAGGATTTCTTTGAAAAATATGAATGTAGGCTTTAGCTGAAATAAAGGGAAAATAATTTTTCTACACATATGCTGTTGTACTGAGCAAGTTTGTTCCTGTAGTCTAGATGTTGTGGTATCAGGGATCATCCCACTTGGACAATAAGGGTAATGCAAAAAAGTCTTGTTCATCCCTTCCCACCTGGGGCTTTTCTTTTCAAGCTCCTACTTGTTTGTGCTCTTAAAGAACTGAGTATTGGCCAGGCCAAAGGCTTACACCTTAAGTCCCAGCTACTCAGGAAGCTGAGGAGGGAGGATTGCTTGAGCCCAGGACTTCAAGGTTACAGCAAGCTATGTTCTTACCACTGTATTCCAGTCTGGGTGACAGAGTGAGACCCTGCCTCTAAAAAGAAAAACTAATTTTTGTAATTTGGGTATCTTTTTACATACTTTTAAATACCAAGTTTTTCAAAAACAAAAGAAGTATAATTTTTCCTGGAGATATATGTGTATATATCTACTCAAAATTACCAGTGGAAATTTGATTTGCTGCTAATTAACCACTGATACCTACAATGTCTTCCTTAAATAGGAATATAATATTTGATTCTCTTAAAAACAGAAAGGCTTGTTAATGATCTTATGCTAAGGAAAATTAAAAAGAATAAAACTTGATTTCGCTTCTCTAGCCATGTGTATCCTTGTTCCTTGCCTTCCTATGTTGTTAACATCCCTTAAGAAGCAGTACCAAGGAGATAAGATACAAAGATTTAATTTTTTTCATTGAATCTAGAAGGAAAAAAAAGAATGCACTGTATATTATAGACTATTAAAATGTGCTGTTCCTTATAAACTAATAAATTGAAAGGTATGCTGTTTTTCTTTTAAATTTAAGTACATTTTAACTTTTCTAGGTATTGAACAGAGAGTTAAAAGTTTTAATGTTGGTCGTGGACGTGGCTTGCCGAAGAAAATCAAACGAAAAGAACGTGGGGGAAGAACCAATAAAGGGCCTAATGTGTTTTCAGTATCGGATGACTTTCAAGAGGTACTAAGAATTTATGTATAAGGAGGGGAGGAGCTTTTTCATCTTTTAATTTATTTGATGGCAAAGAAAGCATTGTGATTTTAATGATACTTCTCTAGTAAATGAAAAATTACCAGCTCAGATAAAATGAGTATCAATAACCTCCAAAAAATAGTTGTTAATTAGTTGTGAAACTAATTTACAGATTTTGCTGACTTTGAAATAAAATTGTTATGTTTGAAAGAACCTCAAAATAAAATTGCTAAGTTTAAAAGCAAAAATATATCCTCTATTAGTCTTCTTTTGTGCTTTTCTTTCCTAGGAATCATCTTCCCCAGATGTAACTGGCAATGAAGTGCTAATAGCTCAATATGTAGGGGGGACAAGAAGGGAGGCAGTGGTAAATTAACTTCCTTTTTAGAGTTGAAAAGATTGAAAGAGAAGAAAGGGGGATATAAATGGTTGGAAAGGTGAACTTATGTATGTTACATGTTGTAGATATTCAATAAATATATGTCAAATTGAGTTGAACTCTGAACATGAACTTTTAACCTTGTAGTGACTCCCTGGATTACTGTGGTCCAATTCCTGTGTTCTACTACTGTTCTAGTAAGATTTGATTGAATTATAGAGGCAATAGTGGGTCATTAAAAGCTGGAGCTTTGGCTGGGCACAGTGGCTCACGCCCGTAATCCCAGCACTTTGGGAGGCCAAGTCGGACAGATCCTGAGGTCAGGAGTTCAAGACCAGCCTGGCCAACATGGAGAAACCCCATCTCTACAAAAATACAAGAATTTGTCGGATGTGGTGGTGCACATCTGTAGTCCCAGCTACTCGGGAGGCTGAGGCAGAAGAGTCGCTTGAACCCAGGAGGCGGAGGTTGCAGTGAGCCAAGATGGCTCCACTACACTCCAGCCTGGGTGACAGAGCGAGACTCCATCTCAAAATAAAAAAAAAAAAAAAGCTGCAACTTTGTGTGAGAGCTGAGAGGGATAGCTATATACTATAATTTGAAAATGCTTGGTTTTCTGATCTCTCAGTTTAAAGATAGTGGGCAGAGATTTCTTAATATGCACTCCTTAGTATACTGTTTCAGGAGATGTTAACAGGTGTGACCTAAAAAAAGAAGGTCAGACCCAAATAAATTTGCGAAACCCAGCACATGCCATCTGCTTTTGGAGATTCTCAGTTGACATTAATGTAGTAAAGCTTGTGAGCAGCTTAGGCAAAAAGAAGCTTATTTTGTTCAACCCATCATTTACTCAACTACAAACTATTTTTTTCCCTACACACCTACTAACATTCACTGAGCCACTCACTGTTCCATGGAACAGCAGCTTTGGAATTACTATGGTTATTATTTTAGAATTTTGGGGTGACTAAAAACCTGCCTGTCATCTTCTTAGACACCAGTAGACCTTTAGAATATGCTGATTTCCCTAACCCAAACTAATACAAATGCTTTCTAAGTAAGCCTGCACCTATACCCAGTTCTTACACCCTATACCTTTAAACAAAATTAGCTTCCAGGAAAGTGTGACTTTGAGCAAGTTATACCTGTCTCTTTGCCTCAATTTGCTTAATCTGCAAAATGAGGGTATAGTATTAAGTTAACTCTAAGGGCCCCATCAAGCACAGCATTTTAGATGTCTGTAGATCTGGGCTATACCTAAAAGATAATCATATAACAGAAAAATAAAGATAAAAATACATTATCAGTCATGTCAATTTATTGGCTATCACGAGAGACATTTCTTATGATTCCAGAAACAACTGGGAGTGTGCCAGAGCCCACGGAAGCAGTTCATGTTCAGGAATGGTCTGCAGGTGGCCCATCCAGAATAGCATGAACATGGAGGCCACAGCAGAGTGGCCAAGATAGATCCGTCTCTGTCCTAGGCCTTTCAGAGACTATGAGAGTCTCCAAAGCCAAATCAATTCGGGGTACCTTCAGATTCATCATAATTTTTTTGAAAAATCAAGAGTAGTCACAAAGAAGCAAACTTTCACTGAATTTTAAAGGCTTCTTCATTTTATTGGCCATAATACTCTTAAATTGTTTTAGTATTTACTGTACCTATTACATTTTTTTGTAATAAATATTATTTTCCTGGTAGATCCTTACATTTCCTCTACCTGATATATATTAATATTTTATGCTCTTGTCTCTTGTATCAATATATCTTCTAAAGTAAATAAGTTTTAAAATGACCAAGTACAGTAGGTAGCTTGGTTTTTTTTCTCCCTCCATCTCTCCCTCTTTCTCTCCTTCATTCTTGTATTTTTTTTTATTCGCAGTACTGTCTTGTAATGCAAAGAATATAGGAGGAGTTGCAAGGCACAATTCCTGAGTTCTGTCAGTCTGCTAACTCACCATATCTTCTGGGCACTTAATTTTGCCCTAAAAATTTATTTGTTAAAGTTGCTTTAGATTTTCTATAGTACCTTGATTATAGTCAGGTTTCCCATAGCTGTGGACACTGACATACTTTCTACTCATTTAAGTGGAACTAAACTAAAAAACAAAACAAAACACTTCCTCACCACAATCCTCTATTAAAACAATGAAACATTATTTGGAAGTAATGTATACAGAAAGAGTAAGTTATTAATGAAACGCTAAGTACAACTTGTTGCATTTTTCAGGGTGTGTGTGTGTGTGTGATTACCTAATTTTTTTACTTTTTAATTTCAGAGTTATATTCCTCAGGTTGCTCATTGATTTTTGCATAATTTACTTTCTTTGGCTGTTTATTTTATTTTATAACAGCCATGATTCTTTGTATAGAATGCCTATGTGAGCTGGTCATTTATATCTGCTTATTCTAAACGAATCTCTAAACATAAAAATGTTTGTGAATCAAATTTATATAGATTTGAGACACTTTAAATGATTCTGTCATAGTATATTATAAGCAATTTCATTGTGTTTTCCTGGGGTAAATTAGGTATGTTTATATTTTTAAAACGAATCTCTAGGATTATCTGTTTACTTTGTATTCTTGTACCTTTTTTAGAATTCTTACAGTAAAATGTGATTTGAGCTGTGAATGCTGGGGATCAGATTTCAATTTAGACATCTATTGCCTCAATGTTTGCTGTGAGGCAATCTCTTGTTTTCAGTAGATTGAACTTTATGCTCTATCTTTTAGCAAATTAAGAGAAAAGGGAAAACAGAAATCAAATCAGAAGAGTAAATAGTCATTGAACTCCTATGATATACAGGGCACAGTGCATGCCAGGTGCATGAAAAATAATGTTGTTTTTTAGAGTTGATGAATGTAACTCATTACATTTAGCATGGCTAAGCATCATACTCTGCCTTGTTACTTAATCTTATACTTAAAGCAGAAGTTGAATAGGGGACTCAGGAGAAGTAAGGAAAACAAGTAGGGCTATAAGATTTCTTTTCCTTTAATTTTCTTAAGTTTTTTTCTTAACTTTTTATATTTAAAAGTTAAAAGTAATACACGCCGCCTGTTTGTTTGCCCTTTTTTTCCCCTAAAGAAAGTACAAAATAACCACACACATAAAATCTCTAATCCTGCCATCCAGAGACATACACTGTAAAATATGGGGGTATATTCTTTTTGTCTTTTTTCCTTTGCCTTTATTTATTATTGTAGAATTGGGATCAATTTTTTACTTCATAAAATATTGTAAACTTTTTTTTTGTTTTTTTTTTGTTTGTTTGTTTGAGACACTCTCACTCTGTTGCCCAGGCAGGAATGCAGTGGCGTGATCTTGGCTCTCACTGCAGGCTCCACCTCCCAGGTTCAAGCGATTCTCGTGCCTCAGCCTCCCAAGTAGCTGAGATTACAGAGGTGTGTGCCACCACACCTGGCTAATTTTTTGTATTTTTAGTATGGACAGGATTTCACTATGTTGGCCAGGCTGGTCTCAAACTCCTGGCCTCAAATGATCCCAAAGTGCTGGGATTACAGGCATGAGCCACCATGCCTGATCTGTAAACAGTTTTTATGATCCAAAGTTGTTGATTTTTTAATGACTGCATAATATTCTACCACCTAAGTGTATCATAATATATTTGACCAGTCTTCTAGTTTTAAATGTGTAGAGTGTTTCTCGTTTTGCTGTTTGTTTTACTATGTCAGTATTTTATTATATGACTAGATCTTTGTGTCTCCCTGATAATTCTTTCAAAATAATCCCAAAAAGTACAAGTTGTATGTCAAACAATATGGATATTTTAAAGTCTTTTATAACATACCTATCAATAATATGAGTGCATATTTTATTGTGTCTTTGCCCAAATTGAGAATTGTGAATTTTTAAACTTTTTATAATTTTATTTAAAAAGTTATTCATCTTCATTAAAATAGAAAGAAATAGGCTTTTTTTTGCGATCACTAGTAGCATAAGTAGATTACTAGACACATATCTCTCTCCAAATAAATGAATAGCATCAGAATGTTCAATCTTGATCACTTTTTGTAGTCAATTTGTACTTTTTTCCAGATCAACTTAATCATACATTTTGATACCTATTAATATTTCATATGCTGCATTCAAATGGAATTTTTTTCTTGCAGTATAATAAACCAGGGAAAAAATGGAAGGTTATGACTCAGGAATTTATTAATCAGCACACAGTGGAACACAAAGGAAAACAAATCTGTAAATACTTCCTGGAAGGGAGGTGTATTAAGGTAAATTTATAGAGGTATCATAAGTCATTTTAACTTCCAAAATAATCTTTAAAATTAAAGTCTTTTGGGGGATGGTTAATTTTTTTCTCTTCTCATATAGTTGTAATAAAACTGGGTCTTTAAAATGTATCTTGCATGGAAATACCGTACATTAGAGCTCATTTAATTATGTTCTGGGACAATAACATAATTTGTTGAAATCGGATTTGTTTAAAAGACACATAATGCTACGTGGCAAGTACTGTTCAAAGTACAACTAATATTAAATGATTTAATCCTACAGTGACCCTACAAAGTAGTTAATGTTATTATCCCCATTTTATTCATGGCACCAAGAGGTTAAGTAAGTTCCCATGGTAGCTCAGCAAGAAATGGTGAGTGCTGGTTGCCAATTCAGGCAGTATCCTGTGAGGTCTTGCTCACTGTGCTGCCTTAATGCATGTAGCTACATCCACTGTCTTGGGCAGGAATTCTAAGGGGTCATTTGAGTTATTATTTGTTCATTATTAAAGACTGAAGATAATGACCATAATTTTACCATGAGACACCATGTAGAAAATTCAGCTGTTGTTTCTTTGTTTCTCATTGTTTCTTACCTTTTTTTCTTTTTTCTTTTTTTTTTTTTTGTGAATAGGGAGATCAGTGTAAATTTGATCATGATGCAGAGTTGGAGAAAAGAAAAGAGATCTGCAAATTTTATTTACAAGGATATTGTACCAAAGGAGAGAACTGCATTTATATGCATAATATCCTTTATTTAAAATGTATGTTAAATAAAATGCTGGGGTTTTAAAGCATCATTGAGGTTTTAAAAAATAATAAATACACCCTATAAAGCCTAGTTTGGTTTTAAATTTAAAACAACACATTACATAAACCCAGTCTAGTCAAACTTTGTACTTCAAAAGAGCAAACTGACCTTTATTCTTTAGGGAAATGAGATAACTGCCCTTTGGAAAAAATTCTGTGAAGGGAAGGTACTTTAATATAATCAGCTTAAAGTATTTCAAGAGATTGTGCTTCCTGAAGGAGTAGTTGGCAAAATACTTATTTTATTCCATAATTATTTTACTTAAGTTCGGGAGTAAAAAATTATCATTGTGAAGATTATAAGTCTTATCAAATCTTACCACTCAATGATAGATGCTGTATATTCTTCCCCACTCTCCCTTGGGAAATATATACATTTAAATTGTATTCCTGCTCCTACCCAAATTGGAATTTCACTATATATAGTGTTCTGGTCCTTTAAAAAAATGTATTCTGCAATTTTTCCATGTTAATTTTCCCCCAAATATCTGTCAGGTTGCTCACTACGACTTATGACTAATGAAGCTTTCCCCCACAGAATTGAAACTCTATCACAGACAAAATGTTTACATATATGGATTTTTCTTCTGGACTTCGTGTTTGGCTCCATGGATTTGTTCACCCTCATGTCTGTCTTGCTTTGCTGTGATTATTTCTGCCACAACAGCCACGGTAATATTTGGTAGATTCTGATGTTTATTTTTCCAGATAAATTTTTAAATTCTGTTGTCGTGTTTAAAAAATGTGAAAAAAAAGAAAGTGAATAAAATGAAAAATGCCTGTTATCATAGATCAAAATGTCAAAAAATGGAACGATGTAATTACCAGAGGAATACATGATGAATTGGAACAGAAAAATTTCCTGTCTCAAAATCCAGAAGCAAAAAGGGAACAGATTGAAATTTTGACTCCATGAAAAAGCTTGCATTTGCAAAACAAATACATATAACATGAGCTAAATAATAAGATAAATAATGAAGTGAGAAAGATTATGTGTAATTTATATCACTTACGAAGAGGTCATATCCTTAATATATGAGTTTCTAAACATTGAGAAGAAAAATGAGGGAAGAGATACAGATAATTCCCAGAAAGAGAAATGCAAATGGTCCCAAAACATACAGAAAGATGTTCAATCTTGTTCCTAATAAGGGGAATGTAATTTAAGCTACACTGAGATAACATTTGCAGCTGTGTCACGTTTGCAAAAATAAAAAAATCGTGACAGTGAAGTTTGTTAGCAAGGATGTGAGAAGACCTTGATGCTGGCAATGTCAAAATGGTGCATTCCTATGGAGGAGAGCTTGGTAAATGCAATATGCATTTACCCTTTGACCCAGCAATCCCACGTTTTGCAGTTTCTCCACAATAGACCTGGGCAGTGATTACTGATGGCTGCTAAAATCATGAGGTGAAAAGTTAATTAGGAACTTTACAACTGATGGATGGAGCTGACAACACCTGAAAGGACTGATCAGTCTTAACATTACTAAAAAGAAACAACCAGATATTAAATGCCTTTTGATATGATACAGTAGAGAGTATTTGAATACCATCTATGACCAATATTAAAATTAACAAATGATACAAAAATAAAAGGGAAAGGGGAACTTCTAGAAATCAGTAAAAGTAACTTGGGAGATGTATTAACTAGATACAATTTGTGGATCATCTTTATGTCCTGATCTGAAGAAAGGAATTATAAAAACATACTTTTTTAAAAGTCTGGAAAATTTGTATATTGACTGGTTACTAGTTGAAATTAACACATTAATTTTGCCAGGGTGGTAATGAAGTCGTGATTGGTAAGAAAAAGTATTCCTGGCCAGGCATGGTAGGTCACACCTGTAATCCTAACACTGGGATGCTGGGGTGGGAGGATTGATTGAGGCCAGGAGTTGGAGACCAGCCTGGGTAACATAGTGAGACACCTCCCCCACTCCCATAACTAATTTAAAGAGGAAAGGGGCCAGGCACGGTGGCTCATGCCTGTAATCCCACCACTTTCGGAGGCCAAGGCGGGTGGATCACCTGAGGTGAGGAGTTCAAGACCAACCTGGCCAACATAGTGAAACCCCATCTCTACTAAAAATACACAAATTAGTTGGGCATGGTAGCGTGCACCTGTAATCCCAGCTACTTGGGAAGCTGAGGCAGGAGAATCGCTTGAACCTGGGAGGTGGAGGTTGCAGTGAGCCAAGATGGTGCCACTGCACTCCAGCCTGAGCAACAGAGCAAGACTCTGTCTCAAAAAAAAAAAGGAAAGAAACAATAGTCCTTATGTTGAGAATAGGTATGGAAATATTTACAACAAATGATGAAAGTTGTTGAACCTATGAGGTCAACATGAGAGGGACTTCATTTTATTATTCTCTCTACTTTGGTATGGTTAATGACCTTCAAACAAACTTAGAAAAAAAATCCTAAGTAATGTCATCCTACAGAGAACCATACTTGGAGTATGGCATAAAGCCTTTCAGACTTTTTTTCTATGCTGGTATGTATGTATGAATGGATGTGTATATGTTTATACACATAATTTTTTATTTTTGTGAGACGGAGTTTCACTTTTGTTGCCCAGGCTGGAGTCCAATGGCGCGTTCTCCGCTCACTGCAACCTCTGCCTCCCGGGTTCAAGCAATTCTCCTGCCTCAGCCTCCCGAGTAGCTGGGATTACAGGCATGCACCACCACGCCTGGCTAATTTTTGTATTTTTAGTAGAGATGTTGTTTCTCCATGTTGATCAGACTGGTCTCAATCTCCCGACCTCAGGTGATCCGCCTGCCTCGGCCTCCCAAAGTGCTGGGATTATAGGCGTGAGCCACTGGGCCCAGCCTATACACATAATTTTTTAGAAAAATGAAATCTATAATGATTGTGAATATTGTATTTTTAAATTTAACATTTACATTAATATGGACTGTATTTTAATACACAGTGTGTTAATAAGGACCTTTATTCAGATGATTAACTCATTGTCTTATCTTTACTGATTTAAAATGGCATCTTCACCAGACCCTAAATTCTCATTTGTACACAGTTCTGCTTCTATACTACTCTTATCTATTGTGGTATTTGATTATTCACCTCTGTAAGAGTATGTTTGATATTTGGTAAGGCAAATACTCCTTCCTTTTTAAAAAAAATGTTGTAATAGTCTCAGGTCAGAAGTGATTTGGCAAATAATAAAAACAAATAAAATGTAATGAATTTGTCCTATTCAAGAAAAATAAATTTTTTCAGATTTGACATATTTCTTTAGAAAGCAAATACTTTATTCTGTTTCTGAAAGCTTTCCATCTATTCTTATGGGGTTTTTGTTATATAGTCATGCTGTTTGTAAATAATAATAATTTTACTTCATTTACAATATTTATACCTCTTATTTAATTTTAATTGTATTGGCCACATTTCCAGAAGAATGTTAAATAATAGTGACTGTGGCAGACATAAAACATGTTTTAATGATAGTGCCTTTTTGTTTTAGCTTGTGGCTGCAGTTTTAAAGTAAGTTTTAAAAAATCAATTAAGAAAGTATATTTTTATTTTACTAAGAGGATTTTTTTAAACCTAAAAAAGAAATCTAAAAAAGATTTTGAATTTTATCAGTTGCCTTTTGCATCTGCCAAAATGATCATATAATTTTTTTCTTGACCTTATCAGTGTTTACAATAATAAATTTCCTAAAACCATCCAGCTATTCCCTGAACATACATCACCTGAGAGTGGTATATTTTTCACTATACTTCTAGATTTAATATTTTCTTTATACGTTTGTCTCCAAAATCCTAAGATTAGTCTGTAGTTGATTATTGGGATATTTGCCTTTAACATGACATATTAAGCCTCTTAATTTTCTTTATAAATATAAGCTCTTGCTACAAAATTTATATAATATTTTATTTTATTGTGAAAAGTAACAGAGCTTATGTAATTAAAATATAATAGTGTTTGCTATAATAGTGATAAATGTTTTTTTTCCTTTAAAAAGTGGCTTTCTAGTTTTAATAGAGAAAAAAGCTGTTTGAATGTTTTTGTATAATTAAAATATCTAACCTTAATAGAATTAAAAATAAGCTGATGTGATTATAGTAAATTCAGTATAATATATAATAATACAGCCTTATTGATTCAGCACAGTTGTGGTTTTGTGTGTGTGTGTGTGTTAAGAACACTTAGCATGAGTTCTACTCCCTTAACAAAATTTTAAGTATACAATACAGTATTGTTGACTATAGGTACAATGTTACATAGCAGATCTCTAGAACTTAACTATCTTGTCTAACAGTTGTAGGTTTTGGTTTAAAAAAAAATTAGACCTTGATTTTACTTGGTCTTTTCCTTAATATTTTTATTTACATGAATTTCCATGCAAGTTCTATCATAGTGGAGCAAAATGTTACCAGGGAGACAACTGTAAATTTTCCCATGATGATCTAACTAAAGAAACAAAGAAACTTTTGGACAAAGTGAGTAATATTTTTGTACCTTGATTATGTCTCTCCACAAATACATTTGACTTGAATCATATTTTATAAGTGATATTTTATGAAACTGCTGAGAAATTGAAAGTTTACTATTTTATATTTTATTCTATTTGAGCAATATTCTTTACCTTTTTGAACCTCATTCTGTTTATAAAAAATGAGGAGTTAGCTATCTCCAAACCATTTCAACTTTTTTTTTTCTTTCTCTCCCCCTTCCCTCCTTCCCGTCTTCCCTCCTTCCCTCCTTCCCTCCTTCCCTCCTTCCTTCCTCCCTCCCTCCCTCTTGCTTGCTTGCTTTTTCTTTCTTATTTCTCTCTCTCTCTCTCTGTCTCTTTTCTTTTCTTTTCTTTTGGCAAGGTCTCGCTGTGTTGTCCAGGCTGGGTGTAGTGGCGTGATCTTAGCTCAGCTTACTGCAACCTCCACACCCTGCTCCTTGCCAACCCCCTGCCCTGCACCGCCCCCCACCCCTGCCCCTGGGGTCATCCTCCCACCTCAACCTTCTGAGGTGGGCACTACCATGCCCAGCTAATTTTTGCATTTTTTGTAGAGACAGGGGTTTCTCCGTGTTGCTTGGGCTGGTCTCTTGGGCTCAAGCGATCCAGCTGCCTTGGCCTTCCAAGGTGTTGAGATTAAAGGCGTGAGCCACTGCGACCAGCCCATTTCAACTTTAATATTATTTTTCTACTAACCAAACTTAAGTCTTCTAGTTTTAAATGTGAGGAAAAGACTCGCTTTGAAATAGTAATCTTTGCCAATTATTTTTAGGTGTTGAATACTGATGAAGAACTCATAAATGAAGATGAAAGAGAATTAGAGGAACTTAGAAAGCGTGGCATAACTCCTCTTCCCAAACCACCTCCAGGGGTTGGGCTTCTGCCAACCCCTCCAGAGCATTTTCCCTTTTCTGATCCTGAAGACGATTTTCAGACAGATTTCTCTGATGATTTTAGGAAAATTCCATCTCTTTTTGAAATAGTTGTAAAACCTACTGTGGATTTAGCGCATAAAATTGGGAGGAAGTAAGTGAAAAACTTTCAAAATGACATCAAATATTTTTTTCTGAAAATTATCATTAAGAAACTAAGTCATACTCCAAGCTAATCATGTAATTAAACTTGGTTAGAGATAGCACATATCTGGCATGCACGCAGATTGTTGCTTCCACCTTTGTTTTCGGTTCCCACCTGCTGCTTGCCATCAGTGCTTTCCCATATGGAATCCTTATACAGCTTCTGAAACTTCTCAGCATAGTAATCCTGAAGAACCCTGCCTGGTGGGTGGATTTGGCATTTTCACTTGATTATGAGGCTGCATTGTCATTGATAATGCCTTCAGATTGTGGGAAATAGGTCTCCACATATTTGATTATTTTGAAGAGCAATTCCTTAGGCTATTGGCGGAAGACCTCTGGATCCAGATTTTCATTTTCTAACACCACCATTTCAGCCCTGCTGCCAGTCCCCAAGCGTCTGTGCACCTGGGCCCTAAGTCACATTGTTGAGCATTCGTTTAGTCCTGACAACTCAGGAAAGCAAGGAGGTCTCAGCCAATGAGGAACAAGAAATCTATAGCAAATATCACAATTCATTTGAACCATTAAAAGTATTTCTACTAATGTCAGGAAGATAAGTATGTCCACTATTTTGGTAATATTATATATTGTATCCTGGTCAATGAAATAAGAGAAATAAAAGTTATAAAGATTAGAAGTGGAGTGGCAGCCTAATTATTTGGGAAGTTTCCCTCAACCCAAAGGAATCAACAGACAAAACTATTGGAAATAATAATTAAATTAGCAAGATGTCAGGAAAGAAGAGCAACATTCAAAAACTGAATGTCTTTTTATATGCCAGCAATAACCAATTACAAATTATTATAAAAAGTTGGATGTTTATATAGTAGATTCTAATTTTACTGTAAAAGGTTATATATGCCTGAAAAAGAGGACTAGTAGGAGAGAACCAATAAAATTTTATCTCTGGGTAGTGGGATTAGGGGTGATTCTTATTTATCTTTGTACTTTTCTGTGTTTTTCAAAACAGTAAGTTTTAGAACAGCTAACGGTAAGCAGCAAGTGGGCTAAAATGAAAGCATGAGGTCTATTTCGTGTTTCTACCTATCGACGCTATGGAACAAATTGCTTCTTAAACACACAGTATTCTATTCTGATGTAAAAAAAGTACTTAACCAATATCTGTTTAGAAGTGTTAACATTCTTGTTTGTTTCTTTTTCTTTGAACTAAGAAATATTATTATTTCTGTCTACAGGCCACCAGCATTTTATACCAGTGCCTCACCACCAGGACCACAATTTCAGGGAAGCAGTCCACACCCTCAACATATCTATAGTTCTGGGTCAAGTCCAGGTCCTGGACCTAACATGTCTCAGGGACACAGTAGTCCTGTGATGCACCCAGGCTCCCCTGGACATCACCCATGTGCAGGACCTCCTGGTCTACCAGTGCCACAGAGCCCACCTTTACCACCTGGTCCACCTGAAATTGTAGGTCCTCAAAATCAAGCTGGAGTGCTTGTTCAACCAGACACATCTTTGACACCACCAAGTATGGGTGGGGCTTACCACTCCCCAGGCTTTCCAGGACATGTGATGAAAGTACCCAGAGAGAATCACTGTTCTCCAGGTTCATCATACCAGCAAAGTCCTGGTGAAATGCAGCTCAACACCAATTATGAGTCCCTGCAAAACCCAGCTGAGTTTTACGATAATTACTATGCACAGCATTCTATACATAATTTTCAGCCACCCAATAACTCTGGTGGTAAGTTTACTTTTTTGAAATAATTTATTCCTAATTTAAAATACAGTCCTATTTTTCATTAAAAGCATGACAGAAACGTAAGTTTTAAGTAAAGCTGAGTAAAATTGATAAGATTGAAACCTTAAAATGTTTTCAGTTTGCCAAACTTTTGAAACAATAGAATTTTAGATAACTTTTAGAAATATTTTAAATGATATAATTTGATAATCCAGTGTGCCTGTGATGAAAGCTTTCATTTCTTATGACTGGTGAAGTTTTGTGCTCACTCAATGACTGTCTCTCCCCATGTTATACATGTAGATGGGATGTGGCATGGTGAATTTGCCCAGCAGCAGCCTCCTGTTGTTCAAGACTCACCTAACCATGGGAGTGGGTCTGATGGCAGCAGCACTAGGACAGGCCATGGCCCTCTGCCTGTACCAGGCCTCCTCCCTGCAGTGCAAAGAGCTCTTTTTGTAAGACTTACTCAGAGATACCAAGAAGATGAAGAACAAACCAGCACCCAACCTCATAGGGCACCAAGCAAGGAAGAAGGTGTGTCAGAAGTTATTAATAGCATCTTACCTATTTGGATGGGTTAAAATTTTTAAATGGCCGAGGCAGGTGAATCACCTGAGGTCAGGAGTTCGAGACCAACCTGGCCAACATGGTGAAACCCCATCTCTACTAAAAATGCAAAAATTAGGTGGTCGTGTTGGCATGTGCCTGTAGTACCAGCTACTCTGGAGCTTGAGGCAGGAGAATCGCTTCAACTTGGGAGGCAGAGGTTGCAGTGAGACTAGGCAACAGAGTGAGACTCAGTCTCAAAAAAAAAAGGATTAAAAATGAGCTCTGTCTTCTATTTCCAATGTATTTCATAGCCACTATCTTGTGATTGATTGTGGTTTCAGTGCCATTAATTGCATTAATACTTAATTGCTAAAGGTTTGACTTGAAGCAGTGAAAAGATCTGAAGCTAGAGTTCAAGGTTGTGCAGACTTGCAAGTAATTAAGCCTTTTGCTTTTTTTTTCTGAAGAAAATAAATAGAACAGGAAAAGGACAACTTTCAGTTTAAGGATTTTGAATTCTAGCCCAATTTCAAAATGATTCAGTTATTAGAGATATTTTTATGTCATAGGCTCTATAATTAAGGATCTGCTATAATAAGAAATATTTTTAAATATAAAAAGATTATATGGAAACTAAGTTTATCTTAGTATTTTTGATACTGGTAAGTATACAACAGTTAGTTAATTCAGTAAAGGATGAGAAAAGTTTAAAGCATCCAGTTCTGTTTATGAATTACAAAACTGATGTTTGGCCACTCTTAAACATGACATTTATGAAAAACTATGTAAAACTATGTAACGCTAGGTAGCTGCAAGCTATTATATGAGCATTTAAAATATATATATTTATAATTTTTAAATTATTTTTGTGGGTACGTAGTAGGTATATATATTTATGGAGTACATGAGGTATTTTGATAGAGGCATGCAATGCATAATAATCACATCAGGGTAAATAGAGTATCCACCACCTTAAGCATTTATCCTCTGTGTTACAAACAATCCAGGTATACTCTTTTAGTTTTTTTTTAAATGTACAATTAAATTATTATTGACTATAGTCACCCTGTTGTGCTATCAAATACTAGGTCTTATTCATTCTTTTAAACTTTTGGTACCCATTAACCGTCCCCACTTCCTCCCTATCTGCCAGCTACCCTTCCCAGTCTCTGGTAACCATCCTTCTACTCTCTATGTCCATGAGTTCAATTGTTTTAATTTTTAGCTCCCACAAATAAGTGAGAATATGAGAAGTTTGTCTTTCTGTGCCTGGCTTATTTCACTTAACATAATGACCTCCAGTTCCCTGTTGTTGCAAATGACAGGATCTCATTCTTCTTATGGCTGAATAGTACTCCATTGTGTATATATGCCACATTTTCTTTATCCATTGTCTGTTTTTTGTTTTGTTTTGTTTTAAGACAGAGTCTCACTCTGTTACCCAGGCTGGGATTCAGTGACACGATCTCGGCTCACTGCAACCTCTCCCTCCCAGGTTCAAGCAATTCTCGTGCCTCTGCCTCCCGAGTAGCTGGGATTACAGGTGTGCACCACCATGCCCAGCTAATTTTTATATTTTTAGTAGAGATGGGGTTTCACTGTGTTGGCCACGCTTGTCACGAACTCCTGACCTCAGGTGATCTGCCCGCCTCGGCCTCCCAAAGTGCTGGGATTACAGGTGTGCGCCACCGTGCCTGGCCATTGTCTGTTGGTGGACACTTAGGTTGCTTCCAAATCTTGGTTATTGTGAATAATGCTGCAGTAAATGTGAGAGTACAGATATCTCTTTGATATACTGATTTCCTGTCTTTTGGGTATATACCTGGCAGTGGGATTGCTGGATCAGATGGTAACTTTATTTTTAGTTTTTTGAGGAACTTTCAAACTGTTCTTCATAGTGGTCGTACTAATTTACTTTCCCACCAACGGTGTATGAAGGTTCTCTTTCCTCCACATCCTTGCCTGCATTTGTTATTTCCTGTCTTTTGGATAAGACCCATTTTAACTGGGGTGAGATGATATCTTACTGTAGTTTTGATTTGCATTTTTCTGATGATGAGTGATGTTGTGCACCTTTTCATATCCCTGTGTGCCATTTTTATGTCTTCTTTTGAGAAATGTCTATTCAGATATTTCGCCCATTTTTAAATTGGATTATTGATTTTTTCCTATAGAGTTGTTTGAGCTCCTTATATATTCTAGTTATTAATCCCTTCTCAGATAGGTAGTTTGCAGATATTTTCTCCCATTCTGTGGATTGTCTCATCATTTGTTTCCTTCACAATGCAGCTTTTTAACTTGATGTGATCCCATTTGTCCATTTTTGCTTGGTTGCCTACGCTTGTGAGGTATTACTTAAGAAATCTTTGCCCAGACCAGTGACCTGGAGAGTTTACCCAATGTTTTCTGGTAGCAGTTTCATAGTTTGAGGTCTTAGATTTAAGTATTTAATCCATTTTGATTTGATTTTTGTGTATGGTGAGAGATAGGGGTCTAGTTTTACTCTTCTGCATATGGATATCCAGTTTTTCCCAGCACCATTTATTGACGAGATTGTCCTTTCCCCGATGTATGTTTTTAGCACCTTTGTCAAAATGGGTTCACTGTAGATGTATGGGTTTCTTTCTGGGTTCTCTGTTCTGTTCCATTGGTCTATGTGTCTGTTTTTTGTTAGTTCATTTTTTTGTTTTTGTTTTTGTTTTTTCTTAAGACAGGGTGTCACTCTGTTGTACAGTGGTGCGATCTCGGCTCACCACAACCTCTGCCTCCTAGGTTCATGCCATTCTCCTGCCTCAGCCTCCCAAGTAGGTGGGACTACAGATGTGCGCCACCATGCACAGATAATTTTTTTGTATTTTTAGTAGAGACACGGTTTTACCACGTTGGCCAGGTTGGTCTCAAATGCCTGGCCTCAAGTGATCTGCCTGCGTTGGCCTCCCAAAGTGCTGGGATTACAGGTGTGAGCCACTGTGCCCAGCTTATGTGTCTGTTTTTATGGAGGTACCATGCTGTTTTGATTACTATAGCTCTCTAGTATAATTTGACCAGGTAATGTGATTCCTCTAGTTTTGTTCTTTTTGCTCAGGATAGGTTTGGCTATTCTGAGTCCTTTGTGGTTCCATATAAATTTTAGGATAGTTTTTTCTATATCTGTGAAGAACACTATTGGTATTTTGATTGGAACTGCATTGAATCTGTAGATTGCTTTGGGTAGTATGGACATTTTAACAATATTGATTCTTCCAATCCATGAACATGGAATATCTTTCCAATTTTTGGTGTCCTCTTCAGTTTCTTGCATCAATGTAAGTGAACATTTTTTGTTACATTTTCAAAGAAGATATTATTAATTCTTCATTTACCTAACATCACAGGAGAATGAAGGATTCCTAATAAGTGAATTTCCTGTACAATTTCAATTATAAGCATTTTAATAGCAATCTTTCAGCCGGGCGCAGTGGCTCACGCCTGTAATCCCAGCACTTTGGGAGGCCAAGGCGGGTAGATCACGAGGTCAAGAGATCGAGACCATCCTGGCCAACATGGTGAAACCTTGTCTCTACTAAAAATGTAAAAATTAGCTGGGCATGTTAGTGCATGTCTGTAGTCCCAGCTACTCAGAAGGCTGAGGCAGGAGAATCGCTTGAACCCAGGAGGCGGAGGTTGCAGTGAGCCGAGATCATGCCATTGCACTCCAGCCTGGGTAACAGAGCGAGACTCTGTCTCAAAAAAAAAAAAAAAAAGTAATCTTTCGATAGTCTTAAAAGTTTTATGTTTTCATAAACAAAGATATTAAAACTTTTAGATAATAGAAAATTTTATTCTATAATGTTATATAATTGGTAGTGTTCTATGGGAGTTGTTGGCTCTGATACAGAAATATTTTGAACAGCTAGGTTTACTTGTGTTTGTGTTAATTTTTATGGATTTTAATGCTTTTATGCATTTTATCTCTGCTTTGATAAAAGCTGCTAATTATCATTTTTTATCTAATATCTGTTTTCCACCAGCCTGTCTCTATTCTTCTACTCTCCCTCTGTTACTATTTTCACTCTCATTTAAGAAAGATTTTAAGTATGCTTTATAAATCATGAAATATATATATAATGCTTATAAAATATATTGATATGGGAATGAAAAGAAAGTAAGGATAGAAGTAACAAATACTATGAGGAGTGAAATTACTATACAGAAATATTTAAAGTAATTGCAGCAGGTAAAAGTGAATCACAAATCCATCTGTAGATTTCCTTGATGTCAAAGAGAAGAAAAGAGATCTAGTGTCTAGAAGTAGTTTTTTCAGATATTGAGATCTGAGTAAAACTTTTTGCAATTGTGACATACCATATGCTGTTTTAATCCACATTCTACCCTAAATACCAATGCTTGTTTTGTAAGCACTGCTTTGTTCAAACTAACCCTGTAACACTAAAGTTCCATGTAGTAGGCATGCATTAGTGAGCAGTGAGATGAGGTAAAAATGAGAATATCTAGGATAGTCTGCTGATCCAAGATACTCCAGGATGGAGATACATATATGCATATACAGTATATCTATACATCTGTATTCCATGTTCTGACTCTTACGTTCTGGCAAGAATGTGAACAGTAGATACCTTGTGGCCAATTCAGAGCCAACCTGTGTATATTTTAATGGAGAGGAGGGAGAATCACCCTTCTGAAACATCAGTTTGTAATTCCTTCTGCTAGAGAAAAGACTTACGATAGGTAGGCTTCTTTAGGTAGGCTTCTTAAACTTGCATCTAATATGCTAGAGTTAAATAGGCTTTAAGAGTAAGACTCAAAGTGTTCTCATAAAGTATGTAAGTTTTAGGATGGTAGGTTTTTTTTTTTTTTTGAGATGGAGTCTTGCTCTGTCGCCCAGGCTGGAGTGCAGTGGCTAGATCTCAGCTCACTGCGAGCTCCGCCTCCCAGGTTCACGCCATTCTCCTGCCTCAGCCTCCTGAGTAGCTGGGACTACATGTGCCCGCCACCGTGCACGGCTAATTTTTTTGTATTTTTAGTAGAGACGGGGTTTCACCGAGTTAGCCAGGATGGTCTCGATCTCATGACCTCGTGATCCGCCCACCTCGGCCTCCCAAAGTGCTGGAATTACAGGTGTGAGCCACCACGCCCAGCCAGTTTTGTTATTTTTAAAGTTAATGTTTGAATAGCTAATATAGTCACACAGGTCAAATATCTAAACATATAATAAAGAGTAAATGAAAAGTCTCTACCCCATTCCTCATTTGCTCAGTTTCCATTGCTACCTTAACCATCACTTTCAGTGTTTTGTTTTCTTTTTAGTCCATTGTTAACTTGATAAATTCAGAGCTAGGAAGCTTAAGGAATGCTTGATTTGAAGAGACCTAGCATATTTTAGAATGCTAACAGCATTTTCCTTTCTCCTACAGCCCACCACACATACAACACACATATCTGAATTCCCTTTGGCCAGTTGGAAGGAAAGGTCCTGCCTTTTCTCTGACTGGAAGGACATTACACATATTCTAGTATCACCCCACTTCCTTAATAGAGTATAATGACTGAATCGATAGTTTTCTTACCACATCTTATTTTGTTCCAGTATTGAAATCTGGCATTTTTGTTATGCATTTTCTTGAAGTTAGATTATACTTATTTCAGAAATAGTATGTGTTTTTTAATATTAATTAAGGCTACATATAAATGTAGCCATATTATAAAGAATAATTTATAATTATAATATAATAATTTTATTATATTATAAGTTTATAATATAAAGTTTATAATAAGTTTTTGTCTGCATTTAGATGATACAGTTAACTGGTATTCCAGTAGTGAAGAGGAAGAAGGAAGCAGTGTCAAATCAATACTGAAAACATTACAGAAACAAACAGAAACTTTAAGGAATCAGCAACAACCTTCCACAGAACTCAGCACTCCTACTGATCCAAGACTTGCTAAAGAGAAAAGTAAAGGAAACCAAGTGGTTGACCCTAGGCTTAGGACTATCCCAAGGCAAGACATTAGAAAGCCTTCTGAGTCTGCCCCACTGGATCTTAGACTTGCGTGGGATCCCAGGAAATTGAGAGGGAATGGAAGTGGTCACATAGGCTCTTCTGTTGGTGGAGCAAAGTTTGATTTGCATCATGCAAATGCTGGCACTAATGTCAAACACAAAAGAGGCGATGATGATGATGAAGATACAGAAAGAGAACTGAGAGAAAAAGCTTTCTTAATACCTTTGGATGCCTCACCTGGCATAATGCTCCAGGATCCAAGGTCACAATTGAGACAGTTCAGTCACATTAAAATGGACATTACTCTAACCAAACCCAACTTTGCAAAACACATCGTGTGGGCTCCCGAAGACTTACTTCCAGTACCTTTACCTAAACCTGATCCAGTGTCTTCAATCAATTTACCTCTGCCCCCACTTATAGCTGACCAGAGGCTAAATAGATTATGGAATACAAAAAGTGATCTTCATCAAAATACAGTGTCCATTGATCCAAAATTAGCAGCCAAAGCCAAAATTAACACAACAAACAGAGAAGGCTACCTAGAACAATTTGGAGACTCACACGGTTCAGGAGCTAAATTAGGAGATCCTAGACTACAAAAAAATTTTGATCCTAGGCTTCACAGACTGCCCAATACAGAGTCTCATCAAGTGGTTATGAAGGATTCACATGCATCAAAGGGTGCCCCTCACTTACCCAGATCAAACCCTGGTTCATCACAGCCCTCAGGGGCAGGAACTAGCAATTCTGGTTCCGGGGCTCTGCCTCCATATGCCCCTAAACTCTCTTCCTCAGCTGGCCTTCCACTGGGAACTTCCACTTCAGTTCTTAGTGGTATTAGTTTGTATGACCCTAGGGATCACGGTTCATCATCCACATCAGAGCTAGCAACAGCTTCTTCAGGAGAAAACTCAAAGAACCAGAAAAAAAGTGGTGGCTTAAAAAGTAGTGACAAAACTGAACCTTCTCCTGGAGAAGCCATCCTTCCACAAAAACCCAGTCCAAACGTGGGAGTCACTCTTGAGGGGCCAGCTGACCCACAGGCGGACGTTCCCAGGAGTTCTGGTAAGGTTCAGGTCCCAGCAGTGCACAGCCTTCCTGTTCAGGCATTAACAGGCTTAATTAGGCCACAGTACAGTGATCCAAGGCAGGCAAGGCAGCCAGGACAGGGGAGCCCGACCCCAGATAATGATCCCGGTAGAGAAACAGATGACAAATCTCTGAAAGAGGTTTTTAAAACTTTTGATCCAACTGCTTCACCATTTTGTTAGCTATTGTGTAACTGAGCAATTCTTTTCACTCTTGTGACTATCTCAGTCCTCTGCTGTTTTGTAACTGGTTTACCTCTATAGTTTATTTATTTTTAAATTATAAACACTTTTCAGCTGCTAGTATCAGAACCACATGAAGTTATAGCCTCTAAAGCCTGTGGTATTTTATATAATATTTTTATAACTTTAAGAGACTGTAGTAATTGACCTAAAAACTTATGTTAGCTTCAGTAAAAGTACTTTTATTGTAAATAAACAATCATGAACTCAACACTCTGCCTGAATATATGCCAGTTGTCTTTCATAATCAATGTTTAGATAAATGATTGCCACTTTTTATATGGTTGTTTAGTTTCAAGCAATATGATGTACATTACTTTTGAGAAACAGTATTTTGACTAGGACCTCTCTTATTTGTCAGCACAGAACTGATTAATATGTAATGCTACCTGCTAATTAAAATGTAAAATCAAGTAAAGAAAACATTTTAAAATTACAATTAGCAGAGCAGTTCATGTTTAAGGGCATCACTTTTATTAGTATTGGCAATATTATTTGTGTAAATGAAGCATTTGAATGTCATATCTTTTTAAAGTATTTTATTGTATACTGTATCATAGAAGTTGGAGGTATATAAATAGAACATTTTGCTAAAGTGAAAAATTTCCAAGTTCTCTAGCATAACTTTTTACATTTAATTTTTCATATGAAATAGCAATTAGTTACTGCTGTGTTACATTGTGATGTTTATGTATGTCAATGTTTTTGTCTTTAACAGCATAATTTATATTGCTTTTTCAAATGATGTAGCTGCATTAATTGTGTTCATCATGACTTTGGCGATTTTTAACAAAATTTTTAAAGACCCAGTGAGAGTCTGTAGTGATTATTACACGGATAATGTTTTAAATGTCTAGGTTCTGTATTTTTTTCTTAAATAGCAAGAAAATACAGATTGCTAGTATAGTCAACAGTATTTGGCTATCAATAAAGAATCTCTTTAAGATCTCACCCGGCTGGCATTCTGTAACAGAGGGGATTACCTGGTGTTTTAAGTATTTAATGTCCTCATAGTGTGGAAATCCCCTAAATTGATTAGAAATTGTATTTTATGAAAAATAACTTGTATTCATTCTTGTGTATTTATTACAATATATAAATAATGGCAACTCTTTGTTTTATACATATATAATTTATAACTGAATCTAAGTATTAGACTGCTACTCATATTTTGAACTGCAGGTGTAGGACAGTGTTTGCTGGTAACAACTCCAATGTGTATTAATAACTTGAAAAGGAGCATTTCACTATAAAAGATAATGAAGTAGGTAATGAAATCAGTCCTTGAATGAAAGCAGTGCCCTTGAGAAGGGATTTTTTTTTAAATATACAGTAAAATATTTCGTGGGAACCTAACACTCACATAGCATATGGTTTATTAATAATGCATATCCTTTCTAATCACTTCTTCAATTCTTTTTGCTGCAGTTCTGTGCTAAAATGGGGTTGTGGTTAAGTGAACGAGAACTCTGCCTACCTAAGAAGTTCATTGTGTTCTAAGTGGAAGGAGAGTTACTGAAGGGAATGTGAATTTTTACCGTTTGTACTTAAGATACATTTGTTGTCTAAAATGGCTCTGGATAACATTTTTGGGTTAAAAAATGTAATTTAAAGCCACCATAGAAAGTATTTTCTGATTTACTGTCCAAATGAATTTTGTTGTTAATTGAGAAGTCA
The DNA here is from genome assembly GCF_000001405.40 of Homo sapiens. Lineage (NCBI taxonomy): Eukaryota > Metazoa > Chordata > Mammalia > Primates > Hominidae > Homo > Homo sapiens. Next base: position 112,334,226 of record NC_000002.12, read on the forward strand.
ATAAAATGGATTAAACTGACAGAAAAAAAACATATATATATATCCCAAGGTGTAATTTACTCTTTTGTCAGGATAAAATCAGAAAAATGGCTGATTTTAGTAAATGAAATTTTTAGCAAATCTTTCATTCATGTAGTTTATAATTATTGTGTCAAGCAGTGCTGTTTACATTTTAAGCATCATACAAAAAAGATAATTTGGCTTGCTAAACATCAAAATAGAATCCAAACTCTTAACCGAATATCTTTTTTACAACTAAAAGAGATATTCCAAGATTTATTAAAGAGTCAGGTTTAAAAGTTATTAATGCAAATTATGTAATGTTCATTTATTCAGTATTCTTGAGTCCCTGTTACCTCAATTGGTGTTCTAGAGGCTATTTTACAAGAAAGTTTGAACTTAGTTTCAAATTTGACAATATATTTTATATGAAAATGTTTATGTTTAAAATAACTTATTTATTATGCAGCATTTTTATTGTGATAACGTTAGTTTATGGGATATTCTGTCATATCCTGTAAACATAGTTTATTTTTCTTCTTTTTTCCCATTTTCTCATACAAATTGAATAAGTAGCCATTTTCCCCCAATGAATACCTCTTCTTTTAGGTCAATTGGTGTTTTTAGAATCCATGTAATTTGATTTGCACTGTTAGATTGAAAAGTAAGTTACGTTCCTGTTCTTAGAAGCCACACATTTAGAGATAACAGAAATAACTTGAGTCTTAAGAGTATGGATAGGCTCATCCAATGAGATGTAACTTAGCTATTCATACTGTTTGTGATGGAAATTCTATACCTGTTTACTGTGATGATGAATACAGTGGATATAGCAGGGGGTTGAAATGGAACACACAGAAGATCATGACAATTGAGATTCAGCAACTGCTGTCTCATATCTTGGTTAAGACCTCATTGTGAACCTTGAACACAAATCAGATGTTGGAGTGATTTCAAACTCTATTTCAACAATTGGGTCTGTTTCTATATGGACCCTCTATTTCCCAGCTGAATGTTTCAAACCCCCAAATTAGGCTGCAACCGAAAGAGCCTAATTGTGAAATGATGTGCGCTTATGTTTCTGTTTATCCTTTAGCCATGGAACTTTAAAGAGTAGTGTTCCTCCTACTTACTTTAAGCTGGAAGAAGAGTTGAGTAGTAAATCCTGTGTGAACTTTTAGCTCAGCTACTCTGCTGAATTAATTAGAGGTAGGAAGGACTTACAAGGGCTGGAAGTTTAAAGAGAATAAATTCATATTTTTTGTTCTGAATTGATTTCTGTGTAATTTATATCAGTATCTAGTTGCTTATCTGTGAAATTGGGTTAATTTTTATTGATCACATTTGATGTAAAGAATGAATTATTTTTGTAAAGTATTTGTAAATATAAAATTGCTTTATAACTTGAATGAACATAATCATTATGCTCCCATTAGGGTGCATTAAGTTGTACAAATTCCAAAATAACATGGTATGGTTTGTATGGTTTAGCAATTTTACGAAGCTTCAGATGACATGCACTGGTGACACAACAGTAGAATTTCCTGAGAGGTTGAGTGAATATTAACCCATCAAGTTAGCAATTTCCTTAACTACATGAGTATCAGGAAGACAGGACTTCCCTGCCTTAGAGCTATATAGACTTGGGCCTCTTCAAGATCTGACTTCTCTGCACATTCTATACAGGTTGGATATTGATGGAGGGTTAAAAATGCTATGACAGTTCATGGTGCATGGTGTGTTTGTTTAAATCATAGCATGTTTAGGCAAAGTGGCCAGCTCATTCAATATAAGAGCCACCAGCTCTTAGAAACAACAGATATATTCACACCCAGTCTGTAATATGTATTTCTTCAGGCATGTCACACTGCGGTCTTCCTGAAAGACTACTTACTTCATAAAGGTATTATGTTTCTTTAATTAATGGCCACTAGAAGTTAGGAAGCTCCTAGGGACCAGGATATGAGATCTTAAAGAGGCTGTCAGAATCTCTTCATTTGCATGACATAGAATCTGTGGTGGAGATGTTTTCCCTGATGTTTTTGGAGGGTTGGACTGTGTTGAAGGCTGTACCTTGGTGGGGGTGGTCTGCAGTCATGCAGTCCACTGATAGGGTCCCCCACCCCGCAAGCTTCAATAATTGAGCTTTCTGTTAATTTCTTGAATTATCTTTTCAAAAATGGTTTGGCAGCACTTGATGACATTATGTTCAAAATTAAGTCCAGTAAAATATATAAGCATTTGTAAACTATAATTATAGTTTAAATAAGACTTAGTTTAGGAAATCCAAGTTTTGACATATATAACCAAACGGCCTAAGAGTTCAAAGCTATTTTCTTAGGTGTTACACCTTAGCATTTACATAATGCCTTCTCCCCAAGCAGTTTCATGTGGTTTGCAGAAAGTTTTGGCAGCTACCAGTCACTATATTGCTGGAGTTTTGTGTTTGAGTATGTCATTTATGTCATTTATCAGCAGTATCTGCCAGTTGTGACAAAGCCCTCCCTATTATCCTGCCTTTCCTGGAAAGGATACAGACCCAAGAAAAGTTAACATCTACATAGTACTTAGAATTTCTAATTTTAAAATAAGAAACAAAAAGCACATTTAAAATAATATTTTATGCTTTTGGAGACAGGACCCACATGTATCTCCTTATTTTTATACTTGCCATAGAAACAAGCCTAGTTGTAGGCCTACAGTGGGTGCTTTGTTAACTGCTTGTTGATGGCTTCCTGACATCCATCCAAATGTCACTTTTACAGATGCTGTCACCCGTTAAACAGGTGTGGCAGAAGTATTCCATGACTGCATTAGGAAGAATGCACCTTATGGGTTATATCTCTTTTGGTAGACAGCCCACCTGCTCTTTTTTGTCCCCACCCTCAGCCCAAGCAATGTGAAGACAGATTATGGCAACTTAGGAGCTCCATGTTTCCATAATAATTCATAACTTTAAGAGTCCTCCAGACTTACAAGATTACTTCATGGTGAAAGTTTGGATTGATCAATAATTTATTCCTATAAAGGTCTGCAGGATTTTTTCTGTAACCAGAAAAGTAACTGCATAGCCATTCTTTTTTTTTTTTTTTAATTTGTTGTTGTTTTTGTTTGAGACAGAGTCTTCATTCTTGTTGCCCAGGCTGGAGTGTAATGGTGCAATCTCGGATCACTGCAACCTCTGCCTCCCAGGTTCAAGTGATTCTCCTGCCTCAGACTCCCAAGTAGCTGGGCTTACAGGCACGTGCCACCACACCCAGCTAATTTATTGTATTTACTAGAGACGGGGTTTCACCATGTTGATCAGGCTGATCTTGAACTCCTGACCCCAGGTGATCCACCCGCCTCAACCTCCAAAAGTGTTGGGGTTACAGGCGTGAGCCACCGTGCTCAGCCTGTTTTTTATTTATTTTTTTGAGACAGTCTCACTTTGTCGCTCAGGCTGAAGTGCAGTGGCGCTATCAGCTCACAGCAGCCTCCGCCTCCCAGGTTCAAGCAATTCTCCCACCTTAGCTTCCTGAGTAGCTGGAACTACAGGTGTGTGCCACCACACCCAGCTAATTTTTGTATTTTTTTGGTAGAGACAGGGTTTGACCATGTTGGCCAAGCTGATCTTGAACTCCTGGCCTCAAGTGATCCACCAGTCTTGGCCTCTCAAAGTGCTGGGATCACAGGCATGAGCCACCACGCCTGGCCCAGTCTTTTTTTTTAATTATTATTTATTTTTATTTATTTATTTTTTGAGACGGAGTCTTGCTCTGTTGCCCAGGCTGGAGTGTAGTGGCATGATCTTGGCTCACTGCAACCTCTGCCTCTGGGTTCAAGCAATTCTCCTGCCTCAGCCTTCTGAGTAGCTGGGATTATAGGCATGCGCCAC